>NC_000006.12:166331091-166646166 GCF_000001405.40 Homo sapiens | reverse complement strand
ACTAAGTTTAAGGAAACCAAGCCACCCCTGGGTCATGGGTTCAGTGCTCAGGGACCATGGCAAATTTCCCAATTCCTACAGCTAAATTCCCTAACAATAGGAGCTATCAACTCTGATTTACAACCTCACCACTACAACTCTAATTGCACAGAGGACTGGCCCTAGAAGCAAACGTTTTGTTCTAACGAGCACTTGCAGACTCCAGGCCCGCTTTGGCAGCTTTGAGGGGCACGCACAGATTGTCTTTGCATCCTTTAGTTCACCTTCTGACAAGTTTCTCCAGACTTGGCCAAATATCCATTGGGAGGCAAAATAATCTGTGGTTAAGTTGAAATGTTGACACATGTAAACCACACTTTGAGTTTGCAAAACTATGGCAAAGTTAATGCTACTGTTTAATTCATACCTTTACTTATTTAGAGCTAAAAATGAATTCTTATGTGCCAAGAACTCTGTGGGTACAACATGGACTATGATGAGCTGGGGCCAGGCTTCCTGGAGTGCCCCCATCTCCAGGTAGATCCAGAGAAGGGGGGGCACATTCCCGTGAGCATGGCAGGGCTGCTCCAGGAGGTCCTGTAACCCAGCCTAGGAACCAGGGCAGACCTCCCAGGAGTGGAGTCTTAGCCAAGGCCTAGGAGAGGGACAGAGGTGAGCAGGTTGAAGAGAGAGGAGGGGAGGTGGAGAGTTTGTGACTGGCAGAAGGAACAGGGTGTACCAGTGCTTAGGGGAAATATATAGAAAGCGGCTAAACGGAAACTCCAGCCCAAGTGTTCTGATCCCATTCTCAGTGTTCTTTTACTTAAACAGCTTCCCCCACACGACTGGTAATTCAAAAACTAACGTTGTGCCTCTGATTCCAGCTCCATAATTTATCTTATTGGCAGCCTGGTCACCCTTTGCCATTCTTCATATTGAAAGGTGAATACTTGTAGATGCTATTATGCATCTTGTTACATTTTCAAGTCTTTATCAAATAGGAAACTTTAATAGCTAGCTTTAAAGGATGCGTAAGTAGTTTCGTTCATTTTCTAGGTCTGCCATAAGACAGCATTACAAATTGGACAGTTTAAAATAATAGGAACTTGTCCTCCCACAGTTTTGGAGACCAGAACTCCAAAATCAGGGGTGGGCAGTGCCTCACTCCCTCTAAAGGCTGTAGGGAAGAATCTGATTCATGCCTCTTTCCAGCTTCTGGTGTTGCCAGCAATCCTTGGTGTTCCCTAGTTTGGAGATGCCCCGCTCCAATCTCTGTTTCCTCCTTCACCAGGCATTCCTCTGTGTGTATGTGTCTCTCCTTATAAGGACACCAGTCATATTGGATTTAGAGCCACCCTAATCCAATTATGACCTCATGTTAACTTGATTTCATTTGCAAAGACCCTATTTCCAAGTGAGGTCATGTTCACAGGTACTAGGGGTTAGGACTTCAAGGTGGCTTTTTGCAGGATGCAAGTAAGCCACAGCACTCATTATGTTAATGCTACATGGACACCACAAACCCCTAGGCTGTAATTTCTCTCTTTACTTTTTAATATGTATGGGCCCTTATTTAAAATACGTCTAAGCCAAAACACATTTGCAATATACTTTCACGCAACTTAAGTCAGATCCTTCCCTGAGAATACCGGGAGGTTTAGCTAAAGCAGTTGCTCCTGGAAAATGATGATAGGATTGGAGCCTCAAACTTCCTAAAAGTCACCAGAATCTCCAGCCAGTTGTTCCCGGAAGGACATGTAATCACAAGAATAACTGGAAGAAGTGACGTCATGGACTGGGGGAGCAGGCACAGTAAATGGGACGCACATTGATTTGAAGAAATGTGGGCTTTTCCCTGTGTTGAACTTCAGGATGTACCATTGTGAATATAACATCTGTGCCCTACTAGATAATTCCCTTTCTTTTCGTTTTTGAATAGTACATGTTGTATGCCCTTAGCAAATCTAAAAATAGTATGTAGAGTTACTGACTTATTGCCTCAGTTGCCCAAGGTTATGTGCTAATTACTGGCTTAAAAAGAGGAAAAGGGAAGGAGAGGAGAAGAGAGAGAGGGAACCAATTGTCACAAGTTAATCCTCATTCTGCACTTCCATCCTGTGGCACAAAGTGCATGTCAAAAAAGCAGTAGTGGCCATCTGGCTGCCAGTTCAGTGACTGCTTTCACTCGTCTATCCATTCAGCAAATATTTGTTCTAAGTAGATCAGCCATCAGTAACAGGCACTGTGTATAGTGATTTGCCAAGGAGACACAATTCCTGCCCTCACAGGGTTTACAGTCTAATAAAAGCATTAATTAAATGCTCACACACATACACCTAAGTAAGTATTCCCATCTAAGAAATTCCTAGTATCTTAAGAGCATCTGCCAGGGCACCTGACTAAGTCTGGGGGTCACAGAGAGCATCCTTGAAGGACTGACAGCGGAGGTCAGAACTTTAGGAGGATTCAGTATTAATCTTGGTAAACAAAATTGAAGGCAGGTACCACATCGTCCAGATGAGAGTAGCAAGATATACAATGGCCCAAGACATATATTGAGACAAAAATTTTTCTAAATAATAATGGATTTGTCAATTTCTCCTTTTGGTTTTGTCATTTTTTGATTAATACATTTTGAAGCTATATTATTTGGTGCATGTAAGCTTAGAATTATTGTATCCTCCTGGTGAATTGAAACGTTCATCAATATGTAGTGCTTTTTCTATATCTATGAATGCTTGTTGCATCCTATGTATGACATTAATGTTACTTCTTTTCATTAGTTTTTGCATGATGTATCTATTTCCATTATTTTATTTGAAACTTTTTATGTATCTTGTTATATATGTTTTTCTATAACTAAATTTATTGTAAACCTATTTGGCACTCTTTGTCTTTTAACTAGAGAGTTTAGCTCATTAACATTGACTTTATTTTTTTACATATTTTGATTTATTTCTATTTAGATTGTATATGGTCTAGGATTTTATTTTGCCTCACTTACAAACTACTAATTAGCCCAATAATAGCTACTAGAAGAGTTGGTGGATATTGGAAGATCAGAGATAAAGGACATTTTAATTCAAGGAACAGAAAATGGCATGAGTATCATATTTGCATAGGACTCCTTTGCCCCCCACATCCTATGGGGGCCTAGATGCATTCTATGTTTACAGTAAAACTGCATCTCAGTTGAGGAAAGCTGAGCTTGGGGAACCTGGTGTTCTTTAACAAGAGGTCAGCAAGCCTGCTTTTGTCTTGGAGGAAAATGTTACCTCATTTCCCAAGGTTGCTCACTGCAAATGTGACACTGAGCAATGGCCTGGGTTAACAGTGGTCAGTGCCTGACATTCGTCACATACTCAGCAAGAAGGTGCAGTGACGCTCAGGACCCATGGCGGTGGCCCTTCCCAACAGTTGGTATTTTTTTTACTTATCCTGCTTTTTCCAGGTGTCTTTTTTCCTGCTTTCTTACTATCATTTGAAATTTTTTTCTTGTTCTATACTTTGACCTCTATTAGTTTGGCAATTACACATTGGATTTATATTCCTTTAATTGATTGCTTTGGAAACTTTAGCATGTATGCTTAACCAATCTATTGAATTTTTGTCTAAAGGTAATCAAGCCTCTTTATCTTCAGAAAAATATGAAAACATTAGAAGGTTTTAACTGATCACTGTCCCGTATATGCTATTTTTAAATAGCATATTTAAGACATCAATTCCAACTTAAGTCCACAAATTATACAATACACAAATGATTTACTTTCATGCAGCTCGTGTGTGTCTAGCTTTACCCACACAATTTCACTGGAAGTGAGAATTTTCTTCGATTGTTTACTTGGAAATGTCTTTGTTTTGTCCTTGTTTGTGAAAGATTTTTTTTTTGTAGGACAGAGAATTCAAGGTTAAAGTTATTTTCTCTTAGCACATCGCATATATTATTCCACTCTCTCAGCTTCCAATATTGCTGTTGAGATGGTAGCTGACAGTAATTAACATTCATTTGTAGAAAAGTTGTCTTTTCTTCTGGTTGCTCTGGAGAGATTTTTTTTTTCGGTTTTTGGTATTTCAAATATTTAATATGATGTATTTAGGTATCATTTTCTTTTCATTGAATCCTCCTGGGGATTTTGGGGGTCTTTATAAATATGAAGATCGGTATATTTTATCTACTCTGAAAAATTCTGCAGTATTGCCTCACCTCTTTGAATAGTGCTTTTCTGTTTTTCTTTGTTTCTTCTGTCTCATTCTAATAGTCAGAGGCATGCTGGATTTTTCTCCTTCTATCTTCCATATTTCCTAACCCCCCTTTCATATTTCCTGTATTTCTGTCTTTCTCTCAATTATCATCAGATCCAACGTCTCTTTTACCAACTCTTTGTTGGACTTTGCCCAAACTGCTGTTAATTGATCTATTGAATTTTTTTTTTTTTTTTTTTTTTTTTTTTTTTTTTTTTTTTTTTTTGTGACAGAGTCTCACTCTTTTACCCAGGCTGGAGTGCAGTGGTGTGATCTCGGCTCACTGCACCCCCCGCCTCCCAGGTTCAAACTATTCTCCTGCCTCAGTCCGTGTAGCTGGGATTACAGGCATGCACCACTACACTGGCTGATTTTTGTATTTTTAGTAGAGATGGGGTTTCGCCATGTTGGCCAGGCTGGTCTTGAACTCCTGACTTCAAGTGATCCGCCCACCTCAGCCTCCCAAAGTGCTGGGATTATAAGCATGAGCCACCACACCTGGCCAATCTATTGAATTTTTTATTTAAATTATTACTGTTTCAATTTTAAAGTTTTACTTATTTTTACAAATCTGCTTGGTCATTTTATAATCTCTTGTTTTCTTGTAATGCTTCAACCTTCCTTGCTGTTTTTCAAATGTATTGAAGACACATATTTTATATTATTTATACAAATTCCTAACCTTTGCTATCTGTACAGGTCTGATTTTGGAATTTGTTGTCTCTGCTGACTCTTGCCCACAGTTTGTATCTGTGATTATTTAGTGATTTATGTTTGCGAGCTCATGCCCCTTAGAAATTTCCCGTTTAAACTGTGACACGTGTTTAAAGCATGTTCCTCCTGATTGTACTTACATTTGCCTCTGCCTGGTCCTCTGGGTGCTACCAATCTGGAACCTCTAAAAACTATAAGTTTGGATTGGAGTTTTTCAGGCCATACTAGCAGTGAGGATTTTGGCTTCCAACTGGCTGAAGTGTGAGCTAAAGAAATCTGAGAGGGCAGTTTTTACCCCTTGCTCTTTGCCACACTCCCACCTGAAGATGCAAGCCTCCTTCTTCACAGTGAGGTTCTTCCAAGGTCACGCCGTTGAGTCTGCTCTATGGGAATGCCGACTCGGATCCGACCCCCCACACCCTGCTTGGCCCCCCACTGAACCTCTGGTCTAGATGGCAGAGACTCACATAAGCCTGCAGGACAGGCACTGCTCAGAACAGTGCTCGACCTCACAATATCTCCTTATCCTCATTTTTGCCTGCGTTTATTCTTCCCTGCTTACTATCGGACCAGCCACACTTCATTAGAAGAGATTTCCCCCTTGTTTTATCTAGCATTCTCATGTGTTCCGGGAAGGCTCTCTCTACATACGTGACCCAGCAGGTTGCCCAGAACAGGGAAAAACCCAGCGGAGCAGGGAAGGGCGGTGCTGCCTCCCAGCCCCAGCTTCCTCCCGAGCTCCCCTGATGAGGGGAGGAGGAGACCGCACCACAGGGCGCGCCTCTCCCGGGGCTGCCACACGGGCTATTCTCAGCTCCCCCTGTCTGGCTTTTACGTGTTCATCAAGTTCTCATCTCTAGTAGAGGTATTTAGTGCCTGAAATACTATAGGTGTTTATGAAATATTTTTAAACAATGAAAATTTGCTAAAACAAATCTAGCAAAGATTTTATGTTCTCTTTTGTACCCATGCCAGATCTTGAGAAATTTTTCTATGATGGGTTTTTTTTTTCCTTTTTAAGCTACAGAAATCCTTCCTGCTATAGTTGTAACCTGTTTCCTCTTTCCTGCTGACTCCCTTCCTTTTGAATTCCTCTATAATTTATGTATAGGCTTGGAAAAGTCCCTTATTTCTGTGTTAACCTCCTAGAGCCTCACCATCTTCACTGCATAAGGGGGTTCGCTGTGTCTCTTTCGTAGATAAATGTGTCACAGAAATAATAATGTAGACCAAAGCTCTTCCTAATCAGCAACCCACTGAAAATAATCCTAGTAACGTCTGTTTACACACACGCATGGAACGCTACGGACACTTGCTTCTCTGAAGTAGTTTAACATTGGTGGGAGAGAGAGGGGAACCCAAAGTTTTAATACAGCACAGTGAGCAAACTAGAGGAACCCAGGAGAGACCCCAACAGGGCCTGTGGGGTGGAGTGATCTCGGTGTGGCTTCCTGGAGCAATGCTGGGTCTGGAAGATGCTGGAAGGAGATGTGGCCAGTGGGCAGAGGCAGAGCGGGCAGGAAGGACAGCCGTGGCCACTGCGTGAATGATGTCACGGAGACACCACAGTTCATCTTCTTAGGAGTAAGTCAGCGGGGCAGGAGCAGAGACTGCACCCTGGAGGAAGGAGGAGAGGCAAACGCAACATGGAAGAAGGCCTGGCTAGGAAGAACAGAGTCTGGGGCTTCCAAGCTTCCAAGCTCTGGAGCTATGCATGCCCTGGGGTAACTGAACCAGATTCGCTTCTAGAAGGATCAGGCTGGTGGCAGGACCACAGGTGGGTTGTAGGGAAAGCCTTTAGCCAGTAATTACTATTTTCTGGCAAGAGCTAAGGAGGACCCACGCTGTGTTATGGAGGGCAGGGTTGGAAAGAAGGCAAGACGGGGAAAACATGTAGAAGGCACAGTTGACAAATCTCAGTAACTAGAGACGTAGGGAATAAGGACGTGTCAGGAGGTCACGGTAAGTCTTACCTTCTGGTTTGGGCAGCGGGGCACATGGTTATGCCTTGCATAAGACAATACAGTTGAATAGGGGAGTTTTCAGATACAAATTCTCATATTTGGGAGTCGACTGCCTTCCCAGCCATTTCATTAATTTTCTGTGTGAAACTCTAGGATTTCTACGAATAACTCCATTGAGCACCTTATGATTTATAAAGCCCTTCCACATATTGGTTTAACTGCATGAAATTGCTGTTTGCATAGGTGACGACCTGGTGAGAACAGGGTTTTTTCCCTCTTCTTCCTCCCTCTTCATCCTAAAGTGAGCTTTTTCAACCTCACCATCAACATTTTTAAAAATAGACTTTATTTTTTAAGAGCCATTTTAGGTTCTCAAACAAACTGAGCAGAAGGAACAGAAACTACTGACATTTTTGATGGACACGTCTTGGTAATGAGCCTGTCCTGTACACTGTAGAGGGTTCAGCAGTGCCCGGCCTCAACCCACGAGATGCCGGTAGCCCCACCCAGCTGTGACAATCAAAAATGTCTCTAACACTGCCAGACGTCCCCTGGGACCCATCCTCTACCGCCCCAGAACCACTGTTCTAGAGACTCAGAATTTCAGCCAAAGTCAGGTCATAGGATCTGAACAGCGGGTAGAAATTTAATTCAAGATATTTTACTTCCCAGTGTACAGTCCATCACAGGCTCCTGCTTACCGCGGTCGTTTTTAGATCCGTCTTTCGCCTGTCTCCAGCTACATCTAATTTGCTCTTTAATAAATGGTACACGTGCTCAGCTATATGTAATTCATGTCTTTCCATTTCAAGAGCGACGTTGTTCATTTTTTTATCTGCTTGGTCACTTTGAGTCTCTTGTCTTTAATGGCATTTTCATATCTTGCTTTTATCTCCTTAAGCTTATCAAATCTGACATTCACTGCTCTCTCCTGGAGGGTCCAGTGGCTGGAGCCTGCTCACAGCCGAGTCTGCGGCTGGCTGGCTTTCGGGCTGTGCTCCTGACTTCAGCGGTCTTGTGGATTTTGCGCACAGTGATTGCGAGCTTGCGCTCCTTGGAGCTGTGTCTGAGGGATTTCTTTGAAGCCTGGCTCTAATGCAGATTCCTCTAGAAAGCATTTGTGATTGTTTCTGATAGGCACCTAGGGCAACAACAACTCAAGACCACTTTAAATTGTCAGCCGGAGTTGGTGCTGCTGTTTTCACACAGGCGGTGAACCGAGGCCGTGCCCCTGGGCGAAGGCTGGCTGTGGCCACAAACTCCCAGAGGATTTCCCACGCTCCCGGCCCCCTGCTTAGCGCCAGTGTTCAACCACGATTCCTCATCCAGGGGGTTATGGGGTCCTCCCTCAGCCCCGCCCTCAGGCCAAGTGCAGCGCCCTGCTGGATCCCCACTTTGGGGAGTGGGCTCTGTCCCCTGCGGCCCCCACGGCTGAGACACGGGGTCTTATGCTGCAAATCTGAACCCGCTTCTTGGTTCCTGCCTCTGCTTCCTCACCTCATTGACTTGAACAAACCTGGCTTGAGATTGGGTCAAAACACACATTTCAATGTCCACCAGTGGGACAAACGCCCCCTTCTCCAGTGAGGACCCTATCACTTTCCACAGCTTTTCTTCCCACTCTTGGACAACAGACAGCCCACACTGACTTTAAGTTCTGAGCGCTTGGTTAGTATTTCCGGTCTTCAGGATGGGTCCCTTTCAGAGACCTGCGCAGGCAGCCTGCAGTCTGAGCTTGCTGGCTCTCCTACTCTCCACCTTGTGTGTCCCCTACCACCCTCTCCCCCGACCTGGCACCTGCTCATTGTTCCTCTCGGCTCATTGTTCCTCTCAGGGCCAGAGCCAGGAATGAGGAAGAGGAGGGGAGAGAATGGGCTTCGACTGATCTCCTCTCTTCCCCAGCCTGACCCTTCTCTCCTGGAGGTCCCTGTTGGCTTCACTCCAGGCAGGGTCTCTGAGGACTTCGCATGGCCCCTCCTTGGCCCAGGCCCGGCCTGTAGGAAGCACTCGTGTGTCCTTGGCCAACAAGCCTTGCGCGGACAGGGTCAGCCACCACACAGCCTCTCTGTCCTCCTCGCGTTCCCCTCCAGATGGTCCCAGTGGAAGCCAGACCTAAGCCACCTGGTCCTAGCATATCAGCACTCCCCAAGGGGCCCCACAAAGTCATCCTGCCTGGGCTACAACAACAGAGGCGGCACCTCCCCAGCCCTTTAGGTGGTGGAGAGGAAGGGTGCTCAGCACAGATGCTGCCGAATTTCCTCCCCTGCATGCTCCCCTCCTTTACTCTCCAGGCCATCCTGTGTTCTCAGAGACCGGAGCAGTGTCAGGGTTTTGGAACAGCCTCTCAGCACTTTTTTTTAAAAATTGGCCTATAGCTATTTGTCCTTGAAATTTTCAAACTTAGTGTATCTCAGGGAGTTGGTAGAAACTTTCCTTTCAAATGATCAATCCTGAAATCCTGTTTGTTCTAAATTTAACCCTGGAGTTCATCCACTTCCCTTCGGCCACACCCTGCTTCTCCTGGCCTCGTTCCCCAATGTCTTTATTCAACAAGGGCAGCAGATATCCACGGAGTGCCTACTGTGAGCTGGGCTCTGTGTCACAGCAGCCTCTGGGATGTTAAAGTTCCTGTCCTTTAGGGCCTTATATTGTGATTACTGGAGACAAGCATTTAAAAGGTGAAAAGGATGAAGGAGAAGGAGGAAGAGGAAGAGGAGAAGGAGGAGGAGGAGGAGAAATATGTGGAGGAGGAGAAAAGGAAGAAGAATCACATATTATCAGAAGTTTTGTAAAGAAAATGAGCATGAGGTGTTCTAGAGAGTAGTGGAGAGAGGCCCTGTCTGAGATAGGCTATCCAGAAAGGCCTCTGCAGGGAGGTGCTGATTCAAGCCTGTCTGAGATAGGCTATCCAGAAAGGCCTCTGCAGGGAGGCGCTGATTCAAGCCTGTCCGAGATAGGCTATCCAGAAAGGCCTCTGCAGGGAGGTACTGATTCAAGCTGGAAGCCAAAGCTTGAGAGCGAGCTGGAACAGGGGCCCAGGCAGAGGAAGGAGCCAGAACCCAAGGCTGGAGGTGGGACGGCCTTGGCGGTTCCAAGAATGAAGGGAAGGCCAGGCTGGTGGAGCCCAGGAGCAGGGTGGGGCAGGGCGGGATGGGCGGTAGGTGGTGAGACCCAGGGTCTTTGTAGCAGAGTCAGTGTAGGCAGAACGAGGAGTTTGGGTTTTATTATACTTTACTGGCAAGAAAGTAAGAAGCCTGGAAGAGTTATAAGCAGAGAAGTGGATGATTGGATTTGGATTTATGTGGAATGGCCATGGGCGGCCAAGCTAGCAGGTGACCACCCTGGTCTAGAGTAGGGTTGGTGGCTTGTCCTGGAGTGGACGCAGAAGACGAGCAGGGTCAGACTTAAGACACCCTTTACCGGACACACCCAGGTCACCCTCCTGGGGTGGATGCAGCCTTCTCCCCAGGGTGGGGATGGTGGCTTGTCCTGGGGTGAGCGCAGTAGGTGGGCAGGCTCAGAGTTGAACGTCCTTCTGCAGACACACCCAGGTGATGCTCATGGCATCCTCCTGCCAAAGCCTCCCGGGCTCTTCCTCCTCTTCTGGGGTAAACTCCATGGGGCTCTCTACCATGTGACCTAGCACCCCTCTTCTGCCCTGTCCCCACTCCAACACACCCTCACACAGCAGCCAAATGAACCTCCTCAGGACCATGCTCTCACTGGCCTTTAGCCTGAGCTTCCCTGACGGAACACCCTTGTCTGTCCCTGTGTATCTGGCTGGCGCTTGCTCATCATAGCCTGTGAATGTAGCAGTCATCTGCGAGACTAAGGGCTCCTCTGGGGGCTCCCGTAGGGCTTTCTCTCCCCTCTAAAGCCCTTCCTGCCTGGGAGTGAACGCACCCTGGCTTGTCTGTGCTACCCCAGAGACTGCAGTGCCCGTCAGGGCAGGAGTCCCTGCTGTGCCCAGCCCCTCAGATCCCAGCCTCAGCACAGCCCACAGCAGCAGGCACAGTAGATGCGCAGAGGACCTGGGTTGATGAATGACACTGGGCTCCTGCCGTGGTTCTCTAACTCATTCATGCCAAGGTGTACGTGGGAGAGAAGTGATTGATAATTAGTGAGTCACAAACATGAATACAACCAAGTATGCCCCACACGGTCACTTTCACGTACTACCGTTGGCTCTCCGTTATCACAAGTCTTTTTAAAATTATTATAATTTAAAAATTATGGTCTCATTTTCCTCATATTTTAAAAAATTGTTCTAGTTCTTGAATATTAGTTTTTTTCCTGTGGATTTTTAAGGATGTGAGGTATTTATGGTGTGAAACTATACCAAACACTAAAAAAATCTGCAAATGAACACTGAGTGTAGTGGCTCACACCTGTAACCCCAGCACTTTGGGAGGCTGAGGTGGGCGGACCACTTGAGGTCAGGAATTCGAGACCAGCCTGGTCAACATGGCAAAACCCCATCTCTACTAAAAGTACAAAAATTAGCTGGGCAAGGTGGCGCACACCTGTAGCCCCAGCGACTCAACAATCACAGGAGGAGGAGGTTGCAGTGAGCTGAGTTCACACCACTGCACTCCAGCCTGGGGGACAGAGTGAGATTCTGCCTCAAAAAACATTTGCAAATGAAATTCCCTTTTTAGAGTTATGTGTTATTTTCTCATCTCACATAATTTACACATGTCTTTGTTTTTCCATGTTTGTGGTCATGTTGGAATAAAACCTGACAGTTTTGCAAGTCATGGATTTACAGGGAAGCATCTGAGTGAACTGTGTAAAAGCTCAGCGATTTCGATTTCGATTTTGATTTCGAGGTGGTAAAATGGAGGGATGAGGAAGGGGGAGGAGCAACTCAGAGGTGGCGCCTGTGGACGCAAGGACTTATCCTGGAAACGTCCGGCCCCATTTCCTTCCCCTCAGCCCGTGGGTCTGCGGCAAGTTCTGCTCCCAGTGTTACTGCCCACCTCGGCCTCTTGCTCTCCATCACTGTGGCCACTGCGGTTTGCTCTTCATGAGGACACTGTCCTGCCCCACAAGACTGTCACAGGGGCACCTCCCCGAATCTGCTTCCTCTGCTGTGCACCCTGCTGCCAGGAGAACTTTCTCAAATGCAAGTGTGTCCCTGTCGTCCTTGGCTTCACGTTTCAGTGGCCTCTTTGTTAAGCTGAGAACAAACGTCATTCCCTCTGCCTGACCCCACGCCCTGAGCCCACACTCTGCCCACACAGTGTCACTCACCCCAGGGCCTTTGCGCAAGCTGCTCTTTCTTTCTGCTCTCGTCTCCACTTGCCTGGTTTGAAAAACCGTCCCCGTGTCCCTCTAGTCCTTCCTCCCTCCCCATGGGCCAGCTGCATGTTTGTCTGCCTTAAAGCGTGGCACGTTCCGCTGACTCATAGTATATTTTTGTATCTGATCATTTGTCACTAGCCCGTGATGATCTTGTGAGAGGGCACAGTGCTGAGTACAGAGGAAGAGATCATGAAATGCATGATACGTGAATAAATTCAAACAAGTAATTCTTCCATCCTATAATTATAACTGTAATTATAATCTCACAGCATTTTCTACCATAATGTTTTACAAATATTATGACTATTAAATAATCTGTAAGTAACTTTTATAAAAATTTAGATTTAGTAACTAGATTTAAGTCTGGATTAACCGAGTGAATAACGAATGCCTTGCTCAGTATATCAGTTAGGATTCCTTTGGCTGCTAATGACAGAAAACTCAGCTCAACGAGAAGATTTATTTTCCACAGAAGTAAGCCTCAAAGCGGTTTGGCTGCAGACTTGGTTAATGCAGTAACTCAACAGTGTTATCAAGGATCCAAAATGTTTCCAGTTTTCTGCTGTGCCATGCTTAGCATGACCTCATGGGCCCAAAGTACTGCTAGCTCTGAGCATCCCATCCTTACACACTGGCCAGAGGTAGAAGAAGAAACTCACCCCTTTACTCTGCCCCAATTTCCTTTCTTGCTCTGTGGACTTAGGCAATCTCCTCTGAGGTTGTTTTTTGGTTTTTGGTGTTTTTGAGATGGGCTCTCACTCTGTTACCCAGGCTGGAGTGCAGTGGCACGATCTCAGCTCACTGCCGTCTCCGCCTCCCAGGTTCAAGTGATCGTCCCACTTCAGCCTCCCAAGTAGCTGGGACCACAGGCACACACCACCACATCCAACTAATTTTTGTATTTTTTAGTAGAGAAAACATGGGTTTTGCCATATTGCCCAAGTTGGCCTTGAACTCCTGGGCTCAAGTGATCTGCCCATCTCGGCCTCCCGAAATGCTGGGATTGCAGGCATGAGCCCCTGCGCCCGGCCCCGAGGTATTTCACGCCCATGTTGAGTCCACGTTGTCCTCTGGCCTCCCCACACCGCTCAGTGTGCCTCTGCCTCTCCCCGACCCTGTTCCTGAGTTGCGCTGTCTGTCCCTGCTTTCTCCTCCCTCACTAAGCTCGGGCTCCCAGTTTCCTTTCCTTTGGGTTAAGTTCCTTCTTGGTCTCCTGGTCTTTGTGTCTGTCTTCTGGTCTTTCTCCTCTGTGTTGTTGCTGTTGATTTCTGTATGTCCTTCCTCATTCATTCTTTTTATTTTCTCCAGCTTTGTTGAGGTATAATTGACAAAGAAATTTTTTTTTTTTTTTTGAGATGGAGTTTCGCTCTTGTTGCCCAGGCTGGAGTGCAATGGTATGATCTCCACTCACTGCAACTCTGCCTCCCAGGTTCAAGGGATGCTCCTGCCTTAGCCTCCCGAGTAGCTGGGATTACAGGCATGCGCCACCATGCCCGGCTAATTTTGTATTTTTAGTAGAGAAGGGGTTTCTCCATGTTGGTCAGGCTGGTCTCGAACTCCTGATCTCAGGTGATCTGCCCACCTCAGCCTCCCAAAGTGCTGGGATTATAGGCGTGAGCTACCCCGTGCAGCCAAAAGTTGCATAATTTAAGGGACACCCCATGGTGTTTGCTGTAGGTATACCTCATGTAAGGGTTCCCACAATCAAGCTAATGAACACACCCATCATCTCACATAGCTACCTGCGGGCAACACAGGTGGGCCTGGGGACATCATACTAAGTGGAATAAGCCAGACATGGGGAGACAAATGTCCATGATCTCACTTATCTGTGGAGTCTAAAAACTCCCCAGGGCTGGGGGTGGGGAAGGGCGATGTTGCTCAAAGGGTACAAAGCTTCAGCTATGAGGCAGACAGGTCCTGGAGGTTGAAGGCACCGCATGGCAGCTGGAGTTAGTATCCTGGAAATGTGCGGAGAGGAGCGCTGTCCCCACCGCCTCTCTGTCTGAATTTCATCTCTCTCATGTGGTGTTTGATTTAGGTCTTTTCGAGGCATTTACACCTTAGCTGATACTGGTGCTGCCCTGAGGTGCCACCTGTCTGGGCTCCGTTTGCCGCGCAGCCTCTCTCTGGTCTGTCTCTGCTCCGCTGTGTCTATGACTGCTCTGTGTGTTCGCATCTATCTCTTGGGTTCCACTGTCTCAAAGAGAAAAAGGGCTCACTGAGGCAGGGCCCTCCCTTCTCGCTGTTTGGGAGTCATGACTCCAGCCGTGCTCCGCTGACACCATGGAAGGCACCAGAGTGCCCCAGGCAGAGGGACGAAAAAAAATCTGTGTTACCAGGAAAGTTATTTGATCAGCCTCTCTGTAGATTCTGGCCCTATGGTTTATAAATGGGTTTCAAAAGAAAGTGGTATGAAGGAACATAGTATTTAAAAACCAATAAAATCCAAAGCTGTCCTCACAGCGGGCTGGCGGGGGAGGTGTTGCAGGTGAAGCCCACCTTCTGTGAGCCCTGTGCCTTCCTACCCAGGTTGGATGGGGGATGAGGGCTCCAGCGGGGAGGGAGGAAGCCAACCATGATGGTTTCCACAGCTTGAAACCCAATGTGGTTTTTCTTCCTAAATGTAAGCCAGTCAATAAGGGTCAAGTACAACTGGCCTGTGGGTTTCCACCTGCCTCTCCTGACTACTCAGAAACCAGGCCCTCTGGTTTCAAATGTAAATTCCATTTCCTGGTACTTCACCATTAGAGCTTTATTTCTGTCATTTTGAAGACTTTTACGCATTAAGACTTTCTTTTTAAATTTTCGATATGCTCAGAGATTTTAAACTGTTAAACTGAGGGCACAGGTGTCATTCTGACATGGCTTGGTTGGCACCCAGATGTGAATGAGACCCAAGTGTCCTGTGGGTGAGGGCCAGGGGCCAGCCAGAGACCAGAGGCAAACTTGATCCCTTCTGACTTTTGCCGAGGGCCCAAGAAGCCCTTCCCTGACAGCTCCAGGCCCCTTGCTGACACCTGCTCCGAACGTGCCCCCACCTGAACTGTCCACTACAGTTTACCTTCTAGGGTCTCAGGACTTTAAGACCATCTTCCTGAGCAAGGACTAATTCCTACATTCAAGAAACTTCAAAGTCATAAACATTTCAAGTACACGGGGATCCACAGCCCAGGAAAAGGATTCCTTTCTGTACACTCAGGGACTACACTAAGGGAAGCTTGACTAAACCCATTTGTATCACAGCCACAGGAAGTAGTTCACAGGGGCACACACTGAAGCCCACCTCCCTCCCTCGTACTGGCTGGACACTGTCTCTGGAGCATCCAGCAGGATGCCTGTGATGGGCAGAGCCTTCGAATGCTGATACTCCGGAAAAGCACGACTTCCTGCTTTCGCAGATGGCCAGCACCAGGTGACCCTGGTGATCCTGGTGAAGTTTTGCATCAGGTGAACCTAGTGAATTCACCTCCCATGGCAAAACTTTAGTCCTAATGAAGACCGAATGTTTCAATTTATTTTAAAGATATATAGTTTCACTTGAAGTGCAATTTAGCGTTTTATTGAAAATATGTGGGAGTTTTAGAAGCTTGAAACTTTCAGCAGCCTGTAGGACTGTTTGGAGACGAACAGACATTTGTGGTACTTGACTAATTAGAAGCTCTTGGATGTCACTCAAGCCACTCCTGTGGGGTGCCCCGAGAATGTGGCATCTTCCCATATGCAGAGAGCACACCAGCCTTACCCACAAGGTGCCTGTGTAGCAGGGAGAGATGGGAAACCTTGTCACAGCTGCCTGACAGTGCCCTGTTATTCCTCAGCCTGGGACTCCCGCCTCCTCTTGTCTGTCCAGGAAACTTATTCCCTCATCTTCTTACCCTCAGGGGTTCAGAGCAAAGGCCATCTCCTCCTTGACTTCGCCAATTAGAATTGGCTTCTCATTCATCTCTTACGCATTTCTTTCACTTTACATAAAAACGGCATGAGCTTTGTCTGTTCACTCACCTTCTCTTCCATAAGACTGTGAACTTCTTGGGATGTTGTAATCATTTTGTGTCACAAATGACCACCACAGTGCCAGATGTTAGTGCTCGATAATCACTTGTGGAATTGCATTGACCACACATCAGCTAATCTGGTACTCATAGAAGCAGCAGTCACCACGGAATTCAGTCTCAAACTTACTGTGCTTGAGTCAGAGGAAATGTGAGATACTCAGAGGTCTACCAAGCTCTTTATCTTCTCTTCAGTCCTCTCCCATTCCATCATCTGGGCAAGAGCCTTTATCAAGTTCACTTTCTTTTCTGGTATTTGGTAAGGATAATTTGGATTTCGGTTACAGTGGGTCTTGATATTATACCTACCCTAGATTTAGTGGTTTTGGAGGATTTCATTACATAATCACATGAAGTAGTGTTCCATGATCACTAGAGATTTTGGTATACGTGTATTTTACCAGGAGAAAAACAAAGGCAAACAGATTTATTGTTCTAGCAATGAATTCCAGTGAAATCTGAATGATTTTCCCTCCCAAGTTCAACAGAACAGTTTTGTTGCCTTCAAATTTGGGGAACTAATGAATGTCCCATGAAATATTTCCTTTCCAATTTTGTCAGATCAGGTCAAAATACTATTGTTGGTACAACACAAGCCTTGACTTAGGCCTGCCTGCCTTGGGGCTTTTGTCCTGAACAGGATGCCCATGAGTTGGTATAGGTGGCATTCAGCACTCCTGTCTCCGGCCAGTATTACTGGCTCCCCTTCCGAGGGAAGCATGGTCGGGTTGGTCCTCCCTCATTCCCGGAGTCTGTGTCCAGTTGGAGGTCCATCTACCTCTTCCCGTGCTGGGTACAGAGTGTCTTTGTGTTTGCCTAGAGCCAGGATGCCTGAGGGTCCCAGCAGGGATACAGGGCACTAAGAGGCTGGTTCTGAGAGCACAGATTACTACCCTCCCAGCAGAACCTTAAAGGAAGCAGGCAAAGCAGTTTTCATGGGCACTTAACTGGCACACCATCTTGAAAAGGAGCAAAAAGTGGTGTTTGGTGTCCTTGTGGGGTCCTGCACTTCTGTTTTTAAAGAATAGTCATTATAGATCCTTTAATACATAATATGAAAATCAATTGCACTATTTAAATTCACAAAGCACTCCCACATCCGTGATCTTGCATAAGCCTCTTGGTATCCAGTAAGGGAGGTGAGACAGGTTTCACTCGTATTTTCCTCTTAGAGATGAGTCGTGGGAACAACGTGCAACGGCACCCAAGTTCACCAAGCAAGGAAGGGGCAGCGCCAGAGTCGTGGTGCTAAACTCCCGGCTTCCACTCCGGAGCAGCACCGCTCAACGCGGGTCTCCAGGAAACCCAGAGAGCCTATCTGACCTCACCTCAGCCCGGATGCAGCATGACTTTAAAGCTCTTATTTAAGGACATTCTGACCTCTCTACCCACCTTAGCCAAAATAGACTACACAAGTATTAACGCAACATCTGACTAGTCCAGGGAGCAAAACAACGCGAGGATTTTGCAGTTCGCACTGCAAAAGAGCAAGCAAGACTTGTCAACTCACCACCGCACTCGTTTCTGCTCTTTGCAGGTGGTGATGGTGCTATGTCAATGGGCTCGGTTTCTCCCTGTTTTTAAATACAAACTCAACACGTGCACAAGAGGAAAACAGAGCAGGCTGCACGGGGTCGTGAGCCCGCATTCTCGGCCCTGCTGCAGCCCTTGGTGAGCATTTCTAGGAAAAAAAAGAAAAAAGTGTTTCCCTTTAAGGCGGATCCCGAGCGGCGCTGCCGCCAGCAGCGGGTCTGAGGGCCTTGCCCTAGACCCAGGTCACCCCGCCCGGGTATTCCCAGCGCGGGCCCTGATAAGCCATCTGTGTAGACGTTTCCTAGAGCGGGACCGGCTGCGGAGGGCGGATGCGTCTTTGTTCTGCAGCCGCGGGAGGGAGGCGCCCCGAGGGCTGCCTGAGCCCCCGCCCTCGGGCGCCTTTGTCCGCTCCGGCGGAGGGAAGGCGCCGGTTCCGCGGAGGGCGGCTCCTGGCCGAGCTGCAGGGCCCGCTGGCAGGCGGCGGTCCCTCGCTCGCTGTGCCGCTGAGGTTTTGGCTGCGTTTGCTGATCAACAATTAAAGTTTGGTTCGGCAGAGAAAAACATGATGACAAAGTGTGCATAGGGATGTTTTAAGGAAGGAAAACATAATGACGGCCCCAAGCTGGAAGAAAGAGCAGCCGGGCCGAAGTTGCGTGACAGGAACGCCCGCGACTGCGCGGCTCCGGAGCAGCTGCACAACTCGCCCGGGCCGGGAGCTGTCCCGGGCCGAGGCTCATTAGGTATGCGGCGGCTGCGGGCACTGATTGGCGGGCAGTGCTGTGGGCGGGGCCGTGGGCGGAACCGCGTGGGGGCGGGGCTGCACGGAGCTGGTTCTTGTAGGAAGGAGTAGAAAGAGGAGGAGGGATGGGCACCTGGAACCACAGGGCGGCGCTGATGATTGGAGGTATCGGCAGAGGCGGGGCTCTCCCGGGCGGGGCGGTGGGCTCTCATTGGCAGTGCTGGTGGTGGGTGGGAACGGGAGGGGTGGTGAGCGCTGATTGGCCGTAGTGGCGGGGCGGGGCGGAGGAGGAGGAGGTGTGCGTGCCGGGGCGCGGAGCGGCGGGCGCTGATTGGTGGTAGTGGTGGTGGGCGTGGTGTAGGCGTGGCGCGTGGCCGGCGCTGGTACTCGCAGGGGAGGCGGAGAAGGAGGCGGAGGGAGCGATTGTGGCCCCGGCCGCGGTGGCCGGCGCGGCCTGCCCTTTGTGACCGCAGCTCGCGCCCCACGCCCCGCGCCCATGGCCGCCGTGCCGGGCTCCCTGGCCACGCGTGCCCGCCCGCGGACCTGAGCCCCGCGCCTGGGATGCCGGGGATGCGCGTCCCCCGGCCCTGCGGCTGCTCCGGGCTGGGCGCGGGGCGATGGACCTGAGCATGAAGAAGTTCGCCGTGCGCAGGTTCTTCTCTGTGTACCTGCGCAGGAAGTCGCGCTCCAAGAGCTCCAGCCTGAGCCGGCTCGAGGTAATGCGGCCGCCCTCGGGGCGCGCAGGTGCCGGGCACTGAGCGGGCCGTGGTCGCCCGAGCCCGCCTCGCCACCCCTGGGTGGACCCCGAGACCCGTCAGGGAGTTCAAGTTACTGGAAAGCTGGTCCGGTTCCGAAAATCGAACCAAACGGCTCCAAACGTTATCGCTGGGACTCCGTAGTAATTGGGCGGTCCGTGGGTCCTCGCGGGGGCAACTCCACCCCCACTGCATTTCCAGCTGGTTTCTCCGCCGCTGGCTGCACGGGGTGTGGGATGGTCCCCTGTGGGCCACAGGGAGCCCCGGGTGAGGAGGGGCTTTCTCTGCAGCTAGACCGCCGAGTGGCGCGGAGCGCTCCGCGGGGGTCCCTCAAAGTCCCGAGTGGAGAAGCCCCCCAGCTCCGCCCTCCGAGGCGCTGATCAGGTGCTGTCTGCCGTGCCCGGCCGGCAGGTTCCACCTTATCTTGTAGCTCATTCGTGCACTTGAAGTCAGTGTAGAATTCACAGAACGGGGAAGAACAGGCAGCAGCACAATCTGCTTAGGCGTCTAAAACGGCGTTCAGGAGTAAAGAGCCTGATGCAATATCCTCGCAGCGCCGAGGCTGATACAGATTCGTCCTGAAAACCCAGAGTACTCCCAAAGCCCTGTCCTTTCTACCTGTCCCGCATCTTGGCATCTTAGAGTTTCCTTGTGGACGGTTCTCTCGTGGTGTGTTTTATTTCAACCATCAAATCTTATTCTCTTATTCCCAGTGTCCAAATCACATTGTTGAATCTATAGATGACAAAACAGTGAAACGTGTTTAAGTGAAAAAGACATGGTGATGGGGAGACTGAGGCTGGGACCCAAAGATTTCGCCTGACACTGTCCCGCCTTTGCCTCAAGGCTGGCACCTGTGGGGTTTTGGTTGGTTTGTTTCAGCTGGAACAATCTCAAATGTTTCATCTTGGTTTTCTTTGTCCCAGCTGCCATGATATTAGACACAGACATGGGTTCTGTAACCATTGAGAGACCTGAGGAATAGACAAAAAAGTAGAAGAGAATTACTTGTTTAAAAAGTTTCTCTTATGGCATCCCTAAATCAGAATTGGAAGTACTAGATAGGATCAGTATGGCCGGTTCCCGAGGGTAAAACACATCTTTCAAACAAAACTGTTAATCCAGTACTGGAGGAGGGCTTGCTTTTAAGTCTAATATTGAAAGAAATGAAGCACACCAGTGAGGCAAATCATTTTCCTGGGACACAGGCACTTAAAAAATCTGAAGTTGACAAGATCAGAAACTCAGAACAGTATTTATCTTTATCCGGATACATGTCTTTGTTTCCTGTTTCATCTCAATGCCAAGTTTATTAGACAACTCCTTGTCTCCTTCCATTTACTGTCTTTGCCAAGAAGAGGTACACGTGTGAGCACACTCCAGGCATTGTTTATGAAGAGCAGCACTAGACACTGGCTGACCAGTGGGAGTTCAGGAATCTGCCTGATTCTGGATACACACGCCTCTGGTGTCACAGGGTTCTGCAAGGAGGGCTGGGCTGCAGGCGTGCCTCCGGAAAGAATACAGTGGGAAACAAGCGGGGGGGGGGGTGGGGGGGTGGTGGGAATAGGAAACGAGGTTTCTTCCATGTAGAAATAAAATTTCTAGAAGTCATACATAAACCATCAGCGATGTAGGAGGTCAAATGGGCTGAAAATACATGTAGTCTAAGAGCAAGTAGTCAATTAGTGCTTCCTGTGTGCCAGATCCCGTACTAGGTGCTGGAGGTCTCACTAAGATGGTCAATAATGGCCGGGCGCAGTGGCTCATGCCTGTAATGCCAGCCCTTTGGGAGCCTAAGGCGGGCGGATTATGAGGTCAGGAGATCGAGACCATTCTGGCCAACATGGAGAAACCCCATCTCTACTAAATATACAAAAATTAGCTGGGCATGGTGGCGCGTGCCTGTAATCCCAGCTGCTCAGGAGGCTGAGGCAGGAGAATCGCTTGAACCAGGGAGTCAGAGGTTGCAGTGAGCCGAGATTGCGCCACTGCACTCCAGCCTGGCGAGAGAGCGAGACTTGTCTCAAAAAAAAAAAGGTCAATGCTAATACAATGCTCTCTTTTTTACAAATGCATTCCCCAGCTTTCTATTATTTGATACTTGTGAAAATCGGGGTAGCATATGTAACTTTCCTCATTCTATTGCTAAGGGGAAGAAACCCTGAGAGTTTGAGAGTCTTGTTAAAAGCTTTCCAAGGAATTCATTCTGCAAGTGTTTATGGAGGACCGGGTCTTGGGCTGGTCTTTTTCTGGATACTGTGTCCAAAAAGACACGAGACATAGAAGTCCTGGCCTCAGGGCACTTCCACCCAGTGATGAGTCTCACAAGCAGCTGACTTTGTGCCCCAGTCCAGTAAGTTCCTCTTCTGCGCCCTACCCATACTTGAGAAGGCTGCCTGTTCGTTTGTGTGTTCACAGCTGGTTATAGGCCAAGAAGCACTCATCAAAAAATGTAAAACTGAGCAGGGGAGGTCTGTCAATGGATTGAGGTTGAGAAATAGGACACAAAGTACTGAACACAGATGTGTATTTCCTCTGTGTGGATGAATGAGAAAGATAACTTGTTTTATAATAGGAAACATTTTAAAATTGTTTCTGTGAAATTTATATTTTGAAATATACAAAGACTTTGAAAATTTTTGTTATTTGAAATTCAAAGTCTAGTGACATAAACAGGAAATTAATGTAGTTACTTTAAGTTGAAAACAATATCTTCATTTAAAAGGCTTTCAGAGAGAGACTCAGTCCTAATGTTTTCATACTTGATTTTATTTATTTTCATTTTTTATTTTTTTAAATAATGAGAAATTTCTAAAGTTCCTTCTTTTTTTTCCTCTCTTTTACATTTATGCTTGGCAAAACTTCTCTGAACATACTTGATTTTAAAATAAATTTTACGTCCATAACCCAACATTTGCTAAACCCTAAGTGACAGAGAAGTCAGGTTACTTAATCATATTTGGAAACAGTTTATTAATTACAGATTAAAATGAAATTCACTGAATATTTTTGTCCTCTATCAGCATAGAACCAAGTGAGATGGCCAAGTTGTTGACTCTGGCAACTATAATTTTGGGGGTTTCTAGAGGAAAACTGGGTATCTTCCATAGACTTCCATGGGTGTGCCCCAGAAAGGTGTCAGGTCTCAGTGACCGCAAGACCCTCATCCCCAAGAGAGCTCTGCTTTCAGGGCATTGACAGTATTGCCTAAGAACCACGACACATTGCTGGGCAGAGTAACCTGCATCTCATTCAACAGTCCACTTCATAGATGAGGAAAGGGGACACTGGCCCATTTGCTAAGCTGGAGTTACCGTCACCTGGCTGGGATAGGATACCCTCTGAGTGTCTGGCCTATGAGTCACTGCACTTATCTACAAAATACGTTACCCATGCCAGTTGCCTAATGAGCTAAGGTGGCTTTGAGAGCAAGGAAATGCACCACCCTCACCGTCCTAACTTAGCAGAACCATAGGTCCACTGAGCTGAAAGGAATCTTCTCCCCACTCAACCTTTCCACACGCCAGTAGAGCCTCAGAAGATGGGATGTGGAACCTCCAAAGCTTAGTTTGTATTTCTTCCAACAGGGAATGTACATTTAAACTAATTAAAAGTGAGATTATTAACTCAAGACTTCCACCAACTTGCTAAAGGTGTCAATATGCAAAGTCATTTCATTTAGGAAGCAGTTATTAGTTTGGAGTTACCAAAGCCAGAGGGTTCTCTTTGGTGACCTATTATTTGAGCTATTTCAGCTGTAACTGGCATTTCTCCTGAAAGACAGTAGGGAGTGAATGAGGAAGACAAAATGCGAGACTCTACCTGGGATATTGCTAGTGATGAACTGCTGAGTGGAAGGAGAATTTCGTTTTATTTATCTATTTGCTCAATTGTTCATACACTCAAAAGATTTTAGCACATACTGTGTGCATTGTGCTAAGCAACTGGGACATAAAAATAGGATCCCTGCCCTCAGTGAGCTTAATGTCTAACAATAGAGGCAAACAAGTCAAAAGAAGCTTGCTATCAGGGTATAAGTGCTGTGAAATTATTGGCAGCTTTGGATTTAAATGGTCTGATTAGATCAATTGTCAATTTATTTCTATTTCTGGTGGTCACAGATCATCAGAATTCATCTATCTGTACATATAAAGACATTTTAATTGCTCATCCCTTTTAAGGAAAACATGGTATCCTAATAAAGGAAGTGTGAAGGGACTCTTAGCAAGCATCAGGAACAATATTGGCTCCAGTCATGGATAAAAAGAAAGCTTCCTGGAAAGTTTACCACTAAGGCTTATTCTTGGGGCATGATAGGTGAGCTCTTCTTCTAGATCTTGGGTGGTTTCCAAGAAAACCATTTCTAATTAAGATAATTTTCAGGTACTCTCAATAAATGCTCCCAAAGAAATTATGTTTATCTTAATTTTATTGGATTTTCTGACAGCCAAAAAAAAACCACAATAAATAGTCCATATTAGTGAATACTGAATTGGAATTTGTTCTTCTTTTTGCTCCTTTATATACTCATTTTAAAGACATTAAGCTTAATTCCTTATTTGTGGTCACAATTTCTGTGATATGCCTTATGCTTGGAATTTCATTACATACTTTCTCTCTTTACGTTCAGGAAAAATCCCCGAAATAGTGTTGTTGTTTTTTTAAACGATGTGAAAAGACAACTAAACGTAGTGAGATTTTGCCCCTTTTGCTTTGCCCGTCCTTTTCCGTAAACCCACGTGCTGACTGTCTTTGGCCACACCCAGCACAGCAAAGACTGTTCAGACTATTTTTCATGCATTCAGAAGTAGAAGAATGAAGTGGAAGCCCATTAAATAAAAAAGGAACTATGTTCACATCCTCTGACTTACCATTTACCTGGAATTTCATTCTGTTTCTCACATGTGGGGCAAATAGTTTCTCAGAAGTGGCAATTTAATAGTGGGTGGGAGAAGTATGAACTCTCTGAGGCAGCTTCCAGGGCTGCTGGCTGTGAAGGGGAAGGGGAGGAAAGAGGCTTTAGGGCTGTAGCTTCAGGATGAAGGCAACGTTCGGGTCAACCAGAGATGTGTGCGGCCTTGGGGACCTTCAGGGAGCTGCCAGGAGAGTGCTCCTTTGATATGGGGGACCAGGATGAGTTTACTTTGTATGACGTGGAGTTGGTAACCAGTAACTTAGCCAGAAATACTCTACCTTTTTTGCTCCAAGGATCTGTGCTTATTAAATAAGCAGAGCTGGTCTAAGACTAGCAGCATTCTCTAGAATGCTCTGCTTTTATTTCTGATTACACTGAATTAGGTTGTGTTGCATTTTCTCAGCGTTTTATGTTTGCTGATATATTTTCACTAGTAAAAGCTATTACATTGAATTCAAATAAGTAAAAATTATCAACAAATAGGCTGTTAAGCTACAGTGTGATTTAATCAAGCAAATGGATCAGACACAAATATATTCCATATGAAATACTGTTAATCACATCTGACTTGCAGCTGCGTGAGAAGCCTTGCCTGCTAACTGCTTAGCTAGGGGAAAATAATGGTGCAGCTACAAGGAAGCCGGAGGCACCTGCATATCAGGGCGTGGAGGACAAATGTGCGTAACCATACACCTAGGATTTATTACCAAGCAGGCCAGAAGCAGTGTTTCCGACCAGCCAAGATGTGTACCTGTTGTTATGCAGTCATTTGCATATGTTATGCAGTCATTTGCATGCGTTCCTGGAGATCAGTCAGAGGGTGTTCCCAAGAATGCTACTGATATGAGAGCCCTACCTGATTCCATTCGGCGAATGCTCCCTAGCCAGTCTTCCTCTATGAGCCTTGGTGTGCAAAGCTCCCCAGGCTGGGTGGTTTGCCCTTGCCTTGCCCCGTGGAGGTAGGATTCTGCAGGCATGGAGCAGGTGGTGTCCCTGTTTCCCTCCTGCCCCTGCTCGGTGCCAGTCTCCTGCCGTGGGAAGTGCCTGACCTTGCCGGCTGCCCCTTCTCCCAGCCACCTCACACTGCCCTAGTGTTCTTGCTGTCTCCCTTGCCAAACCACTGAATCCTTCTGAGCACCTGTCTCCCCAGCTACAAAATAGGGGTAACCCTGTAATAAGGGTTATCTGCAATTTATTAAATGCTTCATCAGTGAAATGTGCCTTGTCAGGACAGCTTGCACTTGGCATCCGTGGTGTTGCACAAAGCTGACTTTGGTGAGACCATATCTGTAAAGGTTCTTGCACTACATTATGGGGGAAAAATGTTTTTTCTCTCCTGCCAGCCTCTTTCCTTGCCCCTTTGAATACACATCTGTTTCTAATTAGTATTATCACCATGAAACTAGCTTTTCCTAGGTTATAGCTATGTTAAGTTTATATACAATGATGGTTTAATCTTTGATGCTGTCATTTTAAACATAATTCGTGGTAATAGCCCCTCTTGGAAAACAGACTTGTTTTCCACGCTGTTTCTGGCATCAGCCCACAAGGAATGGCTGAGTGGGGACTGTTGGGAGAAAGGAGAAGGCACTGGTAGAAATTATCTAGCCTTTTAGAGAAAAGAATTGTTTCTTCTTTCAGTTATTCTGTCTTCTGTATGAAATTAGCAAGATTTTTAAAAAATGAATCAAAGATTAGTACTTAGGTATTGGCCAGTGTATTTCCTCCTGTTGCCAAAGAAAAGAAAGGCTTGAATGAGATTGACAAATAAGAAAAACAGGCCTCATACCTGTGGAATGATTCGTATGCTGTAGTTTCACAATCTGAATTTTCAGATGGACATTAGCCAGAATGCAAGCCTGGGGCCTGCTGTGGAGAGCAGTCTCTGCACTCGAAGTGCACGGTAACATTCTTTGCACCAAGACATCTTGGCCACACATCCTGCCAAGGGCCTGTGGGCTTGCAGCTTTTACTCATTAAACTGTGAGGCCAAATTTATAACAGGAGGAGTGGGGGGATTTTACTTTGAATGACTTTGTTTTGGAATGGTTATGGTAGAAATGCCCTAGCGACTACTTAAGAAGCTCGCACAGGTCCCAATTTTAATGCTCTCAGCCCAGGATAATTGCAACTAGTTCTCTAGAACTAAGGTCAGATATCATATTAGCTTCCAAATAGTTTTACATCCATAATATCATGTGGACAATCTTTCTGAGGGTGAAAAACCAAGGAAGCCTCTTGTTCTGAACTGTGGGTAAAACACAAGAGGAGCAGAGAAGATGGCTTTGAGAGGACTCTGTGTGAGAAAAGCTGGGAGCCGGGCAAGGCTGGGAGGAGGCAGGAAGCCCAGGGGGCTCTGCAGGCCCTCCACGAGCCTTAAGACTTCAGGCCACATGGCCGTCAGCTCCTGCAGGCACCTGGGGCCCTGGGCTCTCTGTCACAGGGTCAAGCCCTGGAGAGACTGCTGCGTTCTACACTATGCTTGCAAAGGTGCTACGAGAAGCCCTCTTGCCTGTAACTTGTTAAAGCAACTCTGTTGATTGGTTGACTTTGAACATAGCGAAGGAAAGAAACACAGACAAACAAAACAACTTTCAAAAGAGCATTTATTTTTAGAACACCTTTGACTTCTTGAATTCTTCTTGGTTTCTCATCACTTCAGGGACTGAACAGACGGGCTGCGGGAATCAAAGTGGTGACTATAGCTGACTGCCTTCATTCCAGAGAACCCGAGACACAGCATGAGGTTGGGTCTGTCTCTTATTTCTAGATCTTAACAAAGAAAACGCATGGATCATGATGTGTGACTCAGTCAAGTCCTTGTAGAGTACAACCCAACAAAGAAGTGAAAAAACTTTGCTGATGGCATCGATGGGAGCCCATACGCACAGGGCTCGTGCGCGAATCTGATGGCATCGATGGGAGCCCATATGCACAGGGCTGGTGCGCGAATCTGATGGCATCGATTGGAGCCCATACGCACAGGGCTTGTGGGCGAATCTGATGGCGTCAATCGGAGTCCATATGCACAGGGCTCTTGCGCGCAGCGTCCAGTGTGTCTCTCAGGGTTGTAAGCGTCTAGACCTCTGTCCTGATGTCTTCCTGAGCGCGTCGTACTGCGGTGTCAAGGCTCATGACAGCAGAACAACAACTGATGGAGGGAAGGGAGTGTGACCTGCTAAAATGAGCTGGCCACAATCACTCTGTGTGCGTGAGGCAGGAGAAGAGATGTACGTCTGAGACGCTCGTCCTACCCTCCCGAAGCTTGGATGTAACGGAGGTGATGGGCATTTGCCCGAATTGCCATGGGAGTTATAGAGTAGTGCCCGTGTTTTCATTTTACTATCTCCACCTCCCACTCAGCCAAGGCCTCTCACTGCCTGTGAGCCTGATCTTCTAGTGATGGTCAATCTTTTCCTTGGTCTCACCCCTGCCCACGCTGACCTCCCTCCAGGTCACCTCTCTACCCCAGTGATCTTCCCTTCCCTGAACTGTCTGCCCCTCAGTCCATTCTCAGGCCCTACCCATACCCCTTCCACACCCAGGCCTCCTGCTTTGCATGGCCCTGAGCTTCTCAGGGGCTTGGACTCAGGGCTGTCTCTTAGGGAGACTCTGGCCCAGGGACACTTGGATCCAGACAGGATTCGGGAAGAGAAGTTACTGTCCGTATGTGACTGTGGGTATAGTGGAGCTCACTGCATCTGAGTCCTAGCCTAGAGGTGGTGGTTCGTGTTCAGATCACAGAAGAGAGGAGTGTGCTGCACAGAAAGCACATTGAAGGTTTCTTCCCTGTGATGTGGCTTGGCCACCCATGGTGGGAACATTCTGGAGTTTCAAGGCTTGGTCACCCACAGTGGTATATTCTGGAGTTTTAAGAAGTGTCCTGAATCACAGGTCCCCTTGCATGGCCAGGCTCCGAGTCTGCAGAGCTTCACGTTCTCTCAGCCATCCGGGACAGAGCACACGGGTTCTCCCCAATGGTGTCATCAGCCTGGACCCCATAATACTTCTTTGCTGTGTGTGAATTTACAGAAAACCTCGGGCTGATTTGTGGTCTGTGCCGCTAAAAATGCTGGTGAAGCTTGTGCAGAAGGAAGGTGCCGCAGGCTGGACTTGGCGTTTGCTCGGCAGCCACAGACAGCTGTGGCTGTTGCGGGACCGTTGCCCCCGAGCCATGCGTGGCCATTCTCCATGTAATTCGCAGCTTCTAGGTTAATATGTACAAAGTCCTTGGAGGTCATTTAGGACATTTTATCTTAGGAATTAGCCATGGACTGACTATTCACTACGTGCCTAAATTATCAGTAGGACTTGGGTGTAGAGGGTTAAAATGCAGACAAAAAGTGGTGCTTACCTGACGCCAATGGAGGAGGAGGTCATTAAAACCGTCGCGTAAGTCAAATTACTCAGAAGCCACGAGAGAACCACATAACAGCATGAGGTGGTGCTGGCATTGGGTTTCTTACTAACTACTGTTTGGCCTTGAAAAATTTTCTGTAGAAAAAATGTCTAATCTAGGCTCACAATATAGCTGATCTAGTGTTATCTTACAATAACATTTTTGGGAAAAAATCCCCGAACAACTTTGATTACTTAAAAATTTTTAAAAGCAACAAAATATCTTAAAAGATTGAGAAACTATCAACATTTTTTAAAATGCACAGATTTCCACATGTATTAATGCTGGTAATTTTTAAGAAATAGAAAAACAGGAAAAGTCAATAAGGATGTTTGTTTTAAAAGCTGTTGCTTCTAGAATAGGTTTTATTCTAGGAAGATGGCCTTCGTGACATTGCTGATAGAGATTTATAGTGAGATTTAAAGTCTTTGACTCCTGACGCTGAGTTTCTGTGATGAATGACTTCCCTCTGCACATTCCAGCCTGTGACTGCCTTCGGCCCACGATGGAGCGGGCGCCCGGCACCTTCTGTCAGGCAGAGCCGGGCTTCTGTCAAGGGCTCTCCTGTACCTGGACCCATGAACCTTCTGGGCTCAGTTCTTTCTCCCACATTCATTTGTTCCTCTTCCTCTTGGGTGTTAGGGGCCTTGGCGCACCTTAGATTAGGAGAGTCAGGCACCTGTTGTCAGGGGCCTTGGTGGCTCTGGGCTAGGTCAGCACTGTGGCTCCTGCTGGGCAGCCCCCCATGGGCACCACAGTGGGCTCACTGCCCCTGTGTGAGCCCAGGTCTCTAGGGCAAAAATCCTGCCACACCCACATGTGGCCATCAGGCCCTGCTCCCCAGCTGGCCTGACACCCACATGCAGCTCAGAGCTGTGGGCCTGGGCTCTGGCCTGGCAGAGGGAGGATGGATGGGAAGGATGGACCTGCAGCTGAGAGCCTTTGGAGCCATTTTCCGGAGTCAGGGTCGGGGGTTCTGCATGTTCATCTCCCTCTCTTGAGCCTGGCTGTCCCTAGGCTGTAGAAGGTGCGCCATGCACCTACCGGAGCTGTCCGCAACTGTACCGTCATGTATGTGAACACGTGTTGCTGGACAGGAGCGACTCGGTTGACATGGCCTCAGGCAGGCATGAGAGCTGCTGCTGGTGAGCAGGGCGGGTCCCGTTAGTGGTGGTGGTGATTTCTCCTGCAGCTGGTGAGGGGAGCTGTTGCCTGTGATCCATGCGTCGGGGTTGGGGCTTTGGAGGTAGCCCCCATGTTGTGAATTCTGGCTCTGCTATGTGGCACTCATATGACTTTGGCAAGGTCACCAATGGGAACTTCTTGAGGCTCAATTTTCTTCTCTGTAAAATTAGTATAACATCTGCCTTACAGGGTCTGACCCGTAATAAATGAAACTCCAGAGTGCTGGGGGGCTCTCAGGTGGCATGGCAGGTCAGCCGGGGTGTGGTCTGACTGGCACCTTCTCCCCACTGAGGCTGCGTCCCTGCACCCACACACAGTGGGTGGCAGGGTACGGCAAGAGACACGGTAGAGGCCTAGCGCAGGGACTGCTGTTACAGGGATTGGGTGTCTAAAAAGCGTCGTCATTTAGGCTGAATTCCATTGAATGAGAATGACTGCAGTGAGGCCTGTGTATGCAGGGAGATGTCTCCCAAATGCAGCAGATCCATCCCCTTGTTCACAAAGGGCAAAGAGTGGGCGGGAGTCCTGCGCTGAGTGGGCAAGTCCTCAATGGTGTCTAGACCCCACAGGCAGCACAGGGGACAGAGCGCCCATCCTGGGGGGGTGTGCTCTCCCTCTCTGATGTTCAAGATGGTCCAGGACAGGATAGAGCGGGGATAAGGAGAGAGGTCCCGGAGACCATCGGTATCTCATTCCAGCACCTGCACCCAGCTCTTGCTTTTGCTGTTTCCTACCTGGTATGAGCGGAGCGAGCACACGGTGTGTGGGCACCGTTGGCCTGTGCGCCGCAGGTTTGTGTTTCAAGCGGGAAAGGCCGGGCATCTCTGGGGCCCCAGGGGGTCAGCAGGTCCTTCCGATGTGACTGGGCAGGTCAGCCTGGCCTTTGTCCACTGCTTCCTTTCATTAAAAAGAAAAAGGCATCCCCTCCGATATCTTCAATCATCTTCAGAAATGCTTTTCTTACTCCTCCCTTTATTCTACATCTTCTTCCTCTACGTTTCCTTTTTGCTTTTGTGACCTGTGACCAAAATACTGTGCACAGGGAGTCCACGGTGGCTGGAAGGCCAGCCTGGGAGTGTGAGACACGATGTTCTTTCTGGTGTGTGGTGCGGGAGTCGCATGGCTCAGCCCCCAGTGGAACATCTATCTATGCTTGTTTCCCAGTCAGATGAGTCAGCTGAGAGGGAATGTTAATTATCAGAACTGAACTTCTGAAAAAAGGTGCTAATGAACAATGCGGCCACATCCTGCTGGGATTTCAATGGCAGGAAATAAAGTAGGACTAGTCGGGACCTGGGCTTCATCCGGCTGAGCCCCACATCCAGCCCTGACGCAGGTGCTCAGGTGTAGACCCCTGGTGTTCTTGGTGGGTGTGGAAGGCTGGATAATGTCTCCTCGAGAAAGCCACAGCCTAAGCCTGGAACCTGGAGCTGTTCCCATATGTGGCAAAATGGGCTTTGTAGGTGCGATCAAGTTAAGGACCTGGAGATGGCGTGATGTTCCTGGATAATCTGGGGAGGCCCTAAATGTAATCACAAGAGTCCTCGTGAGAGGAGGCAGAGGAGGTCTGATTGCAGAAGCGGGAAAGGGTGTGACAGGGAGGCAGAGGTTACAGGGGTGGAGGAAGGGTCAGGAGCAAGGAACGCAGGTGGCCCCCAGGGCTGGACATGGAGTCACCGGAGGGACCGGCCTTGCCAACACCAGCAAAATGGATCCCGAACTTCCGATCTCCACAACTGGGAGGGAAAACCCTGTGTTTCAAACCACTGAATTTGTGGAATTTGTCACAGCAGCAAGACAAAGCGAATATTCTGGTCAGTTCAGCTTTGAGGAAGATAGCATGTTGTAGAAGATGCAGCAGACAGGACGCAGGCAGGGCTGTGGCCTCAGTGTGGGAGGGACACGGGCAGGGGCCAGGGCAGGGCAGGGCCTGGTCACAGAAGGTGAACACCTGCCCTCGGGGCCTGGGTAGGAAGCGGGCCGGGCAGCACAGCTGTGTCCCAGTGTCCTTCTGGGAATGGGGGCTCGAGGTATTACGATAGAGGGCTCGAGGTGTTCACTAGATGTCCACATGGCATTCCAGAGCCAGATGTTCAGCCTCCGACAGGCGTAGGAAGCTCGGCTGCATCTATATCTGTCTACAAATCAAGTCTACATAGAAAAATGTACTGATCTCAAACATACACAAATTGTAAGGCATGGCAGGGAGCCATGAGTGGCAGAGGAGGACAGTGTTTGAGAGGGCAGTCCAGGGAGACATCTCCGCAGGGCTGAATGAAAGAGGTGATTGGCCCCTAGAGGGTGTGGGGCAGAGTTTCTGGGGGAGATGTGGCTCAAGCCTGGTTCCTGAGCTGACTGGGCTTTGGCCTCATCTGGCACCTGCCAGAAGTCAGTGTCCCCAGAAAGACGGGGAAGATGGGGTGGGCTGTGAGAGCCCAAAGCTCTTGGGGCCTTGGGGAGGAATCTGTGTCCTGAAGGCCATGGAAAGCCCGACTGTGTCCTGAAGGCCGTGGAAAGCCCGACTGTGTCCTGAAGGCCGTGGAAAGCCCGACTGTGTCCTGAAGGCCGTGAAAAGCCCGACTGTGTCCTGAAGGCCGTGGAAAGCCCGACTGTGTCCTGAAGGCCGTGGAAAGCCCTAATGTTTCACATAAGGGAGTGATGGGATCATATCTCAATTTAAAAGGATCCTTTGGGTGATGCGTGCAATTAGATTGAAGGCTGGCAGAGAAGAAACTGAGCTAGCAAGCTCTCGGAGCTGCCATCCGACACCAGGGTGGACAGGCCTTGCAGATAGCCTGGACACACTATACATGACAGAAAAATCAAAGATGACTCCTAGATCTTCAGCCTGAGCTACCTTTTAGAAACAGGCGTGACCGTGAAGCAGGGTGAGTAGCTCAGGGTGTGGGTTAGTGAGGCAGGTCAGAGCTCTCCTCTGTACAGGATCAACCTGAGACTCCTTCGGTGACGTGTTTTGCAAATTTCAGCAGTAGACAAAATTGTTTTGAAAAAACTCCATGTTTCTCGTTATACTGCAATCTGTTTGCTTCACTGAAGTCTTAAAGACTTTCAGCAGCACTGCTCCTAGCTCTTGCACCCCAGCCGCCTGAATGGTGGCGACAGGCTGAGCTACAAATCAGCAGGTCTATGAAATGCAGCACCGGAAGCATTCATGTCAAACTGCAAATGCCACTGAAAGTGAAGGATTCCAGGTAAAAGCAGGCATGTTTCAGGACTGGAAATTTTTCTGATCACTAAATCAAACCTCCCCCCTTAACTTAGAAAATTCAGACACGTGCTTTTAACTAAGGACTTGAAATACAGGGAAAGGCCCTGAAAAGTCCACCCAAATGGATAGCTCCGTGTCCTCTGGGTCAGCTTTCTCTGGGAGGTCCGGGAAACACTGCTCAAGCATCTGTCTTTTAAACAATAATTAAAGGGCAGGAGGAGAGGGGAGAGAAGAGGCAGGAAGAAGAAAGACAAGAGAAGGGGAAGAGTGGAGAAGAGTCAAGAAACAAGTGGGACGTAGTGCGCAGGGCCAGAGGGAGGAGGACAGGTCAAGGGCATGGAGAGAGAGAGGCTGATGTGGAGTAAATTTGGCAGTGGCCACTTGGGAAAACATCCAAATGTAAGAGGAGATGAGCTTCCCAACTGCACAGTCCTGTTACCTTCACTCAGCATTTTCCTACCCGAGCATGGGTAACAACAGACGCCCGGACAGAGTGATAAATGGAGCACAGCCCACGGGCTCTGCAAAGCAGTGTCTGACCTCGGTCAGATGAGCAGGATTAGTGGAGGCAGTCGGGCAGCAAGGCCCCAGCTCAGAGCTCATCATTTCTCCTTTCCTCGCCCTGGTCTGTCATGGAGGGAGAGAGGAAGAGTGCCTGGTTGCAAGCCCGCGAGGGGAGCCAGGGGTCTGCAGGAGCCACCGTGTGTTATAGCTTTGCCAGGTGACCCAGGGGTGCATGCCATCTTTCTCCTAAGGAAAACTACAAATTCAGAGTTTCACTCATGCACCAGCTGCAAGGAGGATAAACGTCTCTGAGCAGACCACTGAGAAGCCAGAAAGGACAAGTCCCAGTCTCTTTTCTTCCATCACACCTGCCCACATCACACACCTCGTCAAGGGGCTTGACTCCCCTGAGCTTCCCACAGAGAGTCTCTTCCAGGCTTTTCCTAGAGCCCCCCCAGATGGTCAGTGAGTTCCCTGGCCCTCACACTCAGATTGCGGCCCTTGCATCTTGATGTTGGACGACGGAGGAAAAATAAGAGGAAAAAGAACAAACAGGCCTGGGAAAGGGGTGTTGGAGAATGGGTTGGATGCCTTATTCATTCACAGTATTTCTTCTGTGCAATTAGAGGATGAGGCAGTTGGAGAAAGCCAAGCCTACCTTGTTTTTAGAGAAACTTTTTGTTTTTAAGTTTGTTTGGCCCCAGGGAGATCTGCATCCTGGGCGTGTGTGCCCTACCCATGGCACTTTCCTGGTCACAGGGATGAGCTCAGGGTTGAGAATGTGGCCCAAGATGGTCAAATAGGATGTAACCTGAGATCCCTGCCCAGTGGCTGTGGAGAAACATGGAAACGTGGAGTCCTGACTTGCGGTTTTGCAGCCATCTGTGACCATAAGTTACCCAGCTTAAGGATGGTGCCAACACACGAGAGGAAAGAGCTGGGAAATCCACAGAGAAATGAGATTGGAGCCCTGATCAGCCTGAGCTTGAAGTCCACATTACCTTGAGATATTTCAGTTATATGAGCCAAGCAATTTCTTTCATTGTTTAAGCCAGTTTGATTTGGATTTTCTCTGACACAGATAAAGGCGTTGTGACACACATATTTTATCTCATTCACTCTGTACAAGAAGCTTGCCTGAGGATAAGTATGTTATATACCTTTTGCCTAGATGAGGAATTGGAATCCAATGTTGAAAAGGTCCTCTGGCCAGGAGCAGGATAGGTCATGTCGGATGATGGTGGAGTGGGTGACTGAGATGGAACAGCTTTTCAGCAGCTACAGGCTAGTGATACTTTCTGAGCAGAGGGGCATGAATCTGGTAATGTATTTGTGTTATTGGTTCATTAGAATAAATGGGCACATATGGTATATTTAGCAGCTTTGGACTTGTTGAAATTATGCTAAATGGCTATATGTGAAAAATATGGGCATGTCTTAATAGGATGTATATTTGGAAAATATAATAATACTTTTAAATTTGCTTCAAAACATAGTAGAAATGCTTTTTCAGTTTTACCAGTCTATTTGAGATAGTAAACTGGGATAAATAGGATTAAATTTATTTCATTCGTTGAAAAAAATAAATATATTATCTGTCTGCAATCATTCTTTTTATCCTTTCAGGGTATTTAGTAGGTTTAAGGATACTTTTGTTCTTTTTCTTTGTACTTCTCATTCTCATAATACTCTCCCAGGCTAAAATCCAGAATATGCAGATAGTAATTTAAAGAAGTGAGGATTCAAAAAAGAAAGACAGAAATAAGTACTGATTTTAGGAAAGGTATATTATTTATTACATGTGGCTTTCCAGTTTTAAAAACTATTCTGTTATAACTCTATAATAAATGTAATAATTGTATATGCATATATTTGTTGGTAGGATGAATTTTATGAAAACATGGTAACATTATTTCTTTACCACTACTTTCCATATGATTTTATGGTCAAATATTTGGCAGCGCTGCCTTTTAACTGCAGTGATTATGTTTTGATAAATTAGTAGAAGGAATTTGTTATTAATATAGGAAACAACGGAGAAGGTAAAGACTCCTGAGGGGCCCTGGGTGAAAGTAGCATTTTTGGAGGCCTCCATGGCCCTCGGCAGAAACACATTTTATGCTAAATGCATATTTAAGTGTTTGGCCTCATGAAGTGTGTAACCCAGTTGCATAGGTTTTATCTGTATTAACCATCATGAATTCTTTCCTTTGAATTTTGTTCTTGATTTTTGCTACAGCCGATGGGTAACTAGTTCTCTCAGAATTCAGAAATTCACATGAATTTCCTGCTGCGCTTCCTGCTGCCAAGGCCTATGTTGGTGGGATTATCTCCTTATTCACGGGAAAGGAGCGGAAGGCCATTTGCATTTACCTTCTGTGCTACTGCCAGGCTGCTCAGGAGTGGAAAGAATCATTTACGACTTGCTATTTATACATTGATCAAATGACGTGCCTCACGTTGTAGTTGATGCCACACGTGCTTATATAACCATTTCAGAACATCTTTCCCTCACGCTGTTTACCATGAAGCATTGCTGTTTCTAGCAAGCTATTTGGTTGTAAAAGATCTCATGTTGAACTAAATAGCAAGAGATATAATGAGGAGATAGGAGGAGAGAAAAAAATCAAGATGAGAAAATGAGTAGGAATGATTAGAAAAATATGTAAAAGAGAACAAGAATAACTAGTCCGAAGCTAATACATTTTTTAAATCTTCAAATAAGTGTAGGGAGATGTTTTCCAATTGCCTGAGTATTCCAGTTTGTAAATTTCCCATTTTCGAGTAATTACAGATTAATAAAATATACTTGACACTAAAACTTGTCTAAATAAAATTAAACTTTTACGCCAGGCACGGTGGCTCACGCCTGTAATCTCAGCACTTTAGGAGGACGAGGCGGGCAGATCAGCTGAGGTCAGGAGTTCGAGACCAGCCTGACCAACATGGTGAAGCCCCGTCTCTACTAAAAATACAAAAATTAGCTGGGAGTGGTGGCATGCGCCTGTAATCCCAGCTACTCAGGAGGCCGAGTCAGGAGAATTGCTTGAACCCAGGAGGCGGAGATTACGGTGAGCCAAGACTGCACTCCAGCCTGGGCAACAAGAGCAAAACTCTGTCTCAAAAAAAAAAAAAAAAAATTAAACTTTTGATAATTCAGTATATCAGTGTCTCAGTGCTCCTGAGTCATTGATATAAGTACCAAACTTTGCAATACACCATGGTAGCTATAGCAATTTTAACCATAGAAAAATAATGAGAATCATCTAATCTCACCCCAGACAGCCCAACAGATCTTTCTGTAACAACCCCGAAAGTAGATCTAAATCAAGGTTCTGCCATTTATCTCACACCCGGAACCCAGTTTTTTAAACATCTTATGCAGAAAGAGCCACTTTTTAGGGGCATCTGCTTCATCTCTGTAGTACCTCCCACTCCACTGAACTCAGGGTCCTATTGAACCCCAGTTTGAAAACCAGAAGTCTAAAGTCTGTGCAGACATTTATCCAGGGGGAGGAACTGAGTCACAACCTCCTTACTTGGCTCTCCCTATATTTCCATTCCTTAATCCTAGAGTGGAGTAAACAGAACCCCTTGCTCTCTCTCAGGCCTGACAATTTTCCAAACCGCAGTGGAGATGGGGTTGAACTGGGGCTGAGCCTATGACATGTTCCGGAAAGTGCCCTTCAGAGTAAATCCCCAATCTTAAGTTGTTTATTCATTGTTTTCTTTCATAAATATTCTACATGAAAAAATTAGCCTTAGCTTGCCGGTTGTTTGGATTTGTGAATAAACATGACTTTGGGCCTAAATATATATCAACTTAAAAAAAAACAGAACAAACATCTAAAGAATATCTCACCATCCACGATGGGCCAGGACTGGAGCCCTAAAAAAGTTGAGAAAGTCTTTCTTTGAAGCAGAACAGAAATAGAAAACTTGTGAGGGACCATTCTGTAGGCCTCATAGGAAAAAAAGCCATGAGGCACTTTAACTGAATGTTGCCTGCATCTGAGTGGTACCCAGGGACAAGTGCTTTGGTGCCTTTTAGACTTAAACAATAATCAACTTGTTATGTTTTCCCTGAGACTCCAAACTTACTTCTGATTTTGTCTCCCTCTCAGAGATAAACAATCCTGAATTCAATAACTAGAAATTCTTAAAGGGGAATTTTTTTTTTCATGCGCCGATGGATTGTTGAGTCAGGTTAGATGTAAGAATTTTGAGTCAAGCATTTTTAATTTTTGTAGCACCAAATTGGATTGAATTCACATGAATATAGAGATATTGGTTACTACCATACAAATAAGGTTATCCAACTTCTAGACTGTTCTATACAGTGGCTAAGAGAAGCGTTGTCTACCCTCTGGGGGACTCTGTTTCAAAATATACCATATTGTTTGCATTCTAAATTTTATTTTGTTGCCAGGAAGCAAATATCCTGAGGAAATTACTTATCATACACTAAGCCATTGCCTCCTGGGAGTCTTTGTGAAAAATTCCAAATCTGTCCTGAGTATGGACTCAGAATGAAAGCTAGATGTGTGGAAGAAGGCACTCCCCTCCATTCTTCAAGATGCACTATAATAAAAGGCACCAAGACAGTCTCTCTCTCTCTTTTTTTTTTTTTTCTTTCTGAGACAAGGTTTTGCCTTCTCGCTCTGGCAGAAGTGCAGGGGCACGATCATGGCTCACTGCTGCTTCCACCTCCTGGGCTTAAGTGATCCTCCTGCCTCAGCCTCCTGAATAGCTGGGACCACAGGTACATGCCACCTGGTGCCCGGCTAAAGGAAAGTCCCTTCTGAAGAACCATCTCAGTATTTGTTTTGCTTCAAATTGCCCTGAATGCCATAACATTTTGTTTCTGTTTTTGCATACAGCTTTGAGATCTAATTCACATACCATACAATTCACCCATTTAAAATGTACAATTCCATGTTTTAAGTGTATTCACAAGGTTGTGCAACTGTTACCACATCTGTAATGTTTTCGTCCTTCAGAACAGAACCCTGTCCCCCTTTTCCCCTCCACGACCCCCTGCAGCCCTACATCCACTTTCTGTCTCCGTAGAGTTGCCTATTCTGGGTATTTCATATAAACGGAATCATACAATGTGGGGTTTTGTGGCTGGCTTCTTTCACTTAGCCTCATGTATTCAAGGTTCGTTCGTGTTGTAGCAGGTATTTCTCTCTATTGCCAAGTAATATTCCACTGCATGGATATACTACATTTTTTTAATCCATTAGTAAGTTGATAGACATTTGGGTTGTCCCTACTTTTTGGCTGTTGTGACTAATGGTGCTGTGAACATTTTTGTACAGGTTTTTGTGTGGACATATGTTTTTATTTCTCCTGGGTTTATACCTGGGAGTGGAATTGCTGGATCTGGGATGGCAACTCTATGTCTGAGCTTTTGAGGAACTTCTAGACCATTTTCCAAAGTGATTGCAACATTGTACATTCCCACCCAGCAGTGATAGATGGAGCTTTTTTTTTTTTTTTTTTTGACGGAGTTTTCCTCTTGTTGCCCAGGCTGGAGTGCAATGGCACAATCTCGGCTCACTGCAACCTCTGCATCCCGGGTTCAAGCAATTCTTCTGCCTCAGTCTCCCTAGTAGCTGGGATTATAGGCACCTGCCAGCACACCCAGCTACTTTTTGCATTTTTAGTAGAGACAGGATTTCACCCTGTTGGTCAAGGCTGGTCTCAAACTCCTGACCTCAGGTGATCTGCCCATCTTGGCCTCCCAAAGTACTGGGATTACAGGCGTGAGCCACCATGCCCAGCCGAGATCCATTTTTTCCCCACTTGTTATTGTTCACCTTTTGAATACAGCCATCCTGGTGGGTATGAAGTGGTGCCTCCTTATGGTTTTGATTTGCATTCCTCTGATGACAAATGATGTAGAGCATCTTCTCATGTTTTTATTGGCTGTATGTTTTTGGAGAAATGTCACATCAGGTCACTAGCCCATTTTTAAAAATTGGGTGATTTATCTTTTTATTGTTGAGTTATAAGAATTATGTATATATTCTAGATACAAGTGCCTTCTCAGGCATATTATTTGCAAATACTTTTCCCCGTAGTGGGTTGTATTTTCATTTTCTTGATGGTATTGTTTACAGCAAAAATGCCATAACTTCTGTGTTAACCATATTATTCCACCATAATTTGCAGTCGCTTTGAAAGGCCTACACAACGCTGCTTAGATATTCACATTTCCAATAGGGAGTTGTATTCAGGATATATTTTTGCAGAATTAAATTCACCATGCCAGGTGCTTTTTGCTTTTGCTTTTCTTGTGTAATCGAGCAAGGAAGGCAAGAGGGCTATTCAGCTTTGGGTCTCTCATGGTGCACAGGTGAGCGTGTTTCCAGGGAAATCATTTTACCTCTCGTGCAAGCACTCCGACCTTGTGGGTCTCAAAAGAAGTGGGGTGCAGATGGCTGAAGTCTGGTCTATTTAAATAGTCTTGTATGGTGTGCACCATTTTATTTTCATAAGGGCAGGAGTTGGAACTGCATCCTTGGGCTGTAGCTGTAATAAAAGCGTCAAAGAGCCTAATGTGTGCAGCCCCGCAGTCCTACCATGGGCGGCATTATGCTGCCTTTGCCCTCTTGTAGACACTCATCAAGGTGCTTTGCTGGCAGAAGGAAATCAGGACCCAAGGACCGTGATCTGATAACAGGTGCTGATTTAGTGCCTTAGGCTAAATCACATCAACCTGCAAAGTAAAGAGCTTTCTATTTTGGTTGCTGCGCCTCTGGGCAGCGTAATGCCTTTATGTCTCCACCACTGGTCATGTGTTTTCATTTCAGGTCTTATCACTACAGAAAACAATCTTTTGATTTGCTCTTTTCCATAAAATTTGTGTGCTATTTTTATTTTGATGTCACCTTTGAAAGATCTCAGTTGAATGTGTGGAGGGAGGTGTATCTGTGCTTGTGTGTGTGCGTGAGTGCATTTCTATCTAAAATGCCACCTCACGTGGCCCTTTCACATTAAATCATACTCTACATGTTAATTTATTGTTCTAATATCATATTTCACATGCTAATCATTCTACATGCTAATTTTTTGTTCTAATGTCACATGGCATTTTACGTGCCTAGATAGGAAGCATGATATTTTAAAACTTAAATAGGAATGTCTATTAGAGACTTATAGATATCAATCCCGATAACATAATTGGATTAAGTCTTAATAAGCACATTTAAGCATCAAGCAGAACTTTCACATCCCTATATTTAGTCTCATTCGTATTTTAGGCTACGTGACCACCCAAGGGATGCCTTTTAAGGAGCTCGTAATCTAATTAAGGAGATAAGAGTCATTGTCTTGAAATTATTGTAAATGCTGTAAGACTTGATGTCATCTACCTGTTGTAGATTGCAAACACAATGTGGCTTTAGAGGGGTAGAATGTCGTTGATAAAATGAACATGGATCTACTGGCAACACCCAAGGCCCTTGGGGGCCAGGGCCCCTGTGCAGGTGACTTGGTTGCAGGTTGCATCATCTCCCGCCAGAATCTGGTTGGAGGCAGTTCTAGGAGAGGCAAGAGGGATATTCCCAGTGAAGAGTGCCACGTGGTCGCAGTGAAGCCCTGGAACGGGAGGGCCTGAGGGGCCAGCTGTGGGAAGCATGATATTTTAAAACTTAAATAGGAATGTCTATTAGAGACTTATAGATATCAATCCCGATAATATAATTGGATTAAGTCTTAATAAGCACATTTAAGTGTCAAGCAGAACTTTCACATCCCTATATTTAGTCTCATTCGTATTTTAGGCTACGTGACCACCCAAGGGATGCCTGTGGCACTGGCGCACAGAGCCCTGGTAGGTCTGCGTTGGGTGAGGAAGGCTCGTAGTCTTCTCCTTCTTTACCTCCATTAGTGTGGATCATTATTTTGCTGTGGAAATATGAGTGTTTGATCACAGTTTGCTGCTCCAGACATCAGGCGCCCCATGTTCTGAGCACTGTCCATATTTATGTTGACTTCTTACAGCAAGCCCATGACAGAAGGACTTTTAAAAACTCTGATGCTCAGGTAAGGCCCGAGGCACGGCATATGAGGTGCCTGGATGCCACCTCCCCCAGCTGGGGATGGCCCCGCCCGGGAAGCTCCCTTACGATCCCCAGTGAACCCAGCTCCGGCAACTTCAGTTACCCCAGCGGGGAAGCACGCACCACTCTGGGCATTATAAAACATGGAGTTTATGTCTTTATTAATTTCTGAATTTTTTTTTTTTCAGTTTTCCACATACTCATTCCAAACCCCCAAATAGATCATATAAGCAAACCTATTTGGGGAAACGTTTTTTAAAAAAAGTAAGACATTCCTCATTTTTTATTAGTGAGCTGTTATGTTCCCATTCAAGTAAACTCTGAAACTTACAAACACTGATACGAAAACAATGATTTCCCAGATCATTTGTCCCCGTCACATCTCCATGCAGAGCTGTCCACAGGGGAATGTGCTGGTCCAGATGCATTTTACGTAGAGTTGCTCACAGTGAAAAACTTTCAATTGGCAGAGGCACCTTCTCTGGAGCTTTTCCATGGAGGGTTAATCAGGATGGAACTCTTCTTAATTTTATTTTTACTTCTTTCCACCTTTACACACTTTGTTTCATAGTCTCGCCCTTTTCTCTTCGTGACTTCTAGGAGGGACACGTTAGGACGAGTTGGAGAAGTTCTTAGCTCTCATCTCACCCCTTCCAACATGTCAGCTTTGCGGCAATCCAGTTTCTGCCTAAAACAACCTCGATTGCCCGTTTGGTGGGTGCTGAGGGGGTCTTTGGCTCCTCTAACACCCCTGACTTGTTATCGCAAACAACAGTACGGGGGCATTTATTTGATACACCTGGGCCACAGCCATTCCCTGGCCTCCCTTCTGCAACCTCGCAATATTCAGTATCCTTCCTGTGCCTGTTAACTTTGTCTAACTTGAGCCTTAGATCACCCGGAATGTGCCAGCCATGTTCACGATGCCCTCCCAATGACAGGTGTTGCCCAGGTGGAAGCATCTTCTGTCATGTCCCCTCCCATGACTCCTTCAGCAACCTGCACTTCCATGCCAAAGCCCTTTACCTGGGCGCCCTCGACTCCAGAAGGTGACTGGTCGGTAGCTGCCCCCATGCTAATCCCATTTATGAGGCCAAATGAAGCCTTTCAGATCCCACATCCCACACCATCTCCCGTGTGGCTGGTGGATGCTGGACTGGAGGAAGTCACCACTCGGCCTCCCAGAGCTCTGCCCCACCCCACGCACTCTGAGGCTGCGCTGAGTTCCTGGTTTAATTATGCTAAGCAGCACGATCTTTTTTGAAAGAGCCATGGCCCACACAAGCCGAGAGCAGGTGCAGTGATCTCAGCCAAGCTTCCCTGTCCCTTAGAAACCATAACTTGTGTCACGCAGAGACCGCAGACAGGGAAGTAGCAGAGGGAAGGCTCTTTCTGGATCTGTGATGTTTGGTTCTTGATATCCCGCCCAGATCCCTTTTAGACTAAGCTCATGTCAGAACTTAACACTTAACAGATGCAGATGTAAGTGAATGTTTACATTTCCAAATGTTTAGGTCTCTTAGTCTTTGAATGAACTCATCCAGAGGGTGAAAGCAGAATGGGTTCCTAGGTGCCCCTGACCAACACCTCTCTCTCTCTCCAGATTCTCACTGTGGATAGACCATTGGCTTGCAGAAAACTTCCTCTACTCAGTGAACAGAAATATTGACTTGAGCCCTTTTCAAATTTGTCTTAGGAAATATTTCAGACATATTTAGGAATCAAAATACTGTTAAGAAACACCTTTGCACCCATAAATTCAGCTTAAGAAATCAAGAAGTTATCGATACAGTTGAACACCATTTATGGTCCCCCAGTCTCATCCTTCTCCCTCCCACCTGGAGGCTACGATTTCCCTGGATTTGAGGTCTACCACTCCTGTATATTTCTTCCTGTTTTATTGTGTGTATCCTAAACACTGTATTGTTTTTTGCAGTTTACGTGTCATATAAATGGAGTCATCTCGTGTATGCATGAATGCGTCTTGTTCCAGGTTGCATTCATGAGCTGTATCCATGCTGATGGGTAGCGCTTGGTTCCTATGTTTGCTTCTGCGTGGTATTTCATCTGACTGTGCCAACAGTCCTGTGTCAGTTGCCCTGGGGCTGGATGCTTGTTGTTTCCTTCTGGTGTTTCTGAGAGCAGTGCTGCCATGAATGATCTTGTGCATCCATCCCTTGAGCACCGTAGGGGCAGGTGTTGGGGGAGGTTCTCTCGGGTATATACCTGGGAGTGAGATTGCTGGGTCATGGAGCACACGATCTTCAACTATAGTAAATGTTACCAAATTTCCTCCAAAGTCGTCGTATAAGATGCATTCCCACCAACAGTAGATGTGAGTTCTCATTCTCTCCCTCCTTGCTGTTGGTAGGACATCAGGCACTGAGTCGCAGCCCATCGGCTGTGTGTGAGATGGTGTCCCACCGTGGCCGGAACACGCACTGCCCGATGGCCAGTGTGGTCAGACTCCCTTCACATGTCAGGGGCATTGATAGTTCTCTTTGCGTTCCCCATCTATACAGTGTTCCTGTTCTCCTTTTCTCTGCCTCTTTTAGTTAATTTATAAGAGTTCTTTACATATTCTGTATAATAACTCTTCATCAGTTACATGCATTGTAAATGCTATCAAGTTTGTGGCCAATCTTTTAAACTTTTTTATACAGAAGTTTTAAATTTTTATGCAGCTGAATTGATTCATCCTTTTCTTTACATTATATGCTTTCTGTGTCTTAATTAAGAAGTCTATCCTCACTCTGAAGTTGTAAAAGTGATCTGTTATCTAAAATTTTTAAAGTTTTAATTTTAACGCTTTGGTCTTTAATGACTTGCATTCTTTGTGTAGTGTAAAGAATGGAACTAGTTTTGTTTTCTGCTTTTTAAATAAGATAACCAATTTTTTTAGTGCCCCTTATTGTGTTGTTCATCCTTTCTCCATTTACCTGCAAGCACTTCTGAATTCACACAATTCCCTATAAGGATGGAGTATTTCTGGCTCTATTCTGTTTCATGTGTCTAACCTATGTCAAAACCACACTGTCCTATTAACCATCAGTTTAAAAGAAGTCTTGATAGCTAATACAGCAAGTCTCTCCTACCTTTATCTTATCGGGTTTTCTCAATATTGTCGTAGCTCTTCTTGGTTCTTTATGCTCCAGGTAGCTTTTGGAGACAACTTGCGATTGACACAACTCTTTAACCTAACTAGATTAACTTACTTTCAAATTAAATAAGATGTTTTAGGTAGAAGTGCTTTGTAACCAATGGAGTGCTATGTCGATTTAAGCTGTCAGTATTTGCATCATGAAAATGTGATTTATTTGGATTTAAGAGCATTTTGTGTATTGTATGTATCTGCTAGTATATAACTTGCTTGCAAGTAGAGAAATATGGCTTGATTTCTATCATTTTCTCTATCTAATGTCATGTGGCTTGTGGCCTGTGGGTGCCCAAGAAATATTATCTGAATGGAATCATCAGTCAGGTTCTAAGATAGGCCACGTGGTTAGTTGTTTTTTCTTTTTCTTCTTTTTTTAACACTTCTAATTCTTCCTTCATCTGTCACCATCTTTTTGAGCTGAGTATAAGAGATTTTGTTTGTTTGTTTAAGAAATATTGGATATGCAGAGTATTTTAATAAATTGCTCCCTGCCTACAGGCAAAAGCAAGATGAATTTCAATAGGGATAATATAATAAGAATGACTGAGTTTAAAATTTAATTTCCTACTGATTTTGATAAGACCAATTTCAAAATGCATGCATATTCCATTTTCCATTTCTATTCACTTTGTGCAATGAGCTTCTTTCACTGATTTCTACACATCTGAAATTTCATTTTACTTCAAATACGCTACATGCAGCTATATTATTTAGTCCTGAAAATAGGGCAAGTGCAACAACTTGTATGTTAAAAGAATTAGTGTTTTCTTCTCCCATTTGTTTATGCAACCAGTTTTTAGACTCTCGTAGGTTCTTATTCAAAGATAATCAGGTGGACTTCCTGCACTAAAGGATCTCAAAACCCATCAGGAATAAGGGATATTTCCAAATTCCCAAGACAGTGTGTCAAACAGGGAAACCAGGTGAATTTAGATCGGAAGAAAATCACATCTGATGGTGGTGACTCATTCATTTATCTTCACTGAGCAAGCCTTGATTGAGTTTCTACAAGGTGCCAGGCATTGCCTGGCTAAACATCTGAGAATAAGACAGACATCGTCTCTGCCCTTGGAGCCCATGGTCCACTTGGGAAGCCAGATGCCAAACAGTAACCTTGGCCAGGCATGATGGCTCGTGCCTGTCATCCCAGCATGTTGGGAGGCTGAGGCCAGAAGATCACGTGAGCTCCTGAGACTGGTCTGGGAAACATAGTGAGACCTTGTCTGTACTAAAAACAAAAATAAATTAGCCAGGCGTGGTGGTGCACCTATAGTAGGTGCACCTATTTGGGAAGCTGAGGCAGGAGGATTGTTTGGGCCCAAGAGTTCGAGGCTGCAGTGAGCTATGATGGCACCACTGCACTCCAGCCTCAGCTATGGAGCAAGACTCTGTCTCAAAACAAACAAACAAACAAACAAACAAACTTACCACCCTCACCCATATACGGAGGAGGGGAGGCTGGGTGTCCCTTGGATCATGACGGAAGGAGCTACTCTAGGGAGGTGATCAGGCAGGGCTCAGGGAGATGGTGGCTTCTGCTCTAGGCCTTGAGAGTGACGCATGGAGGATGGAGATGGAGTGGGAAGGAGACCTGCCTTGGGAAGATGCACACAGAAGCCTGTGTCGTTTCTCCCAGCACTTAACACGATCCTCACATTACTGAGCGCATATTGGGCTAACACTCCTGCTAATCTGGCCCCTCCCCCTACAGCTTATTTGTTTTTTGTTTAATAAGAGTAAGATGTTGCATTTATGTCTCTTATTTTGTTCTTAAATTCATGCGTCTGTTGGTTGGTATTTTTAGAGATACATATCCCATCATCCTGCAAGTGACCTGCTGTCTTCCCCGTGTCATGAAGCTTCGTGCTTCCCCTGGCGCTAATGAGAAGGCTGAATGGAGCTAGCCAGGAGGGTGCCCTCAGAACTGCCTTCTTGGTTGACATGGATTGCTTAATTACTTCCCTTTGGTTGAGGCAGCTATTAATCTGCCAGTCATCATTTCTTCATTTTATTCGGTGTATATAATGAGAAAACCTTGTTAAATTCTTCCTGAAAACCAGAGACACTGTTTACCATTTTCCCCACACCTACCCATCTGGTAACCTCATCAGAGGAGAGAAGGAAATCAGCACATATTTCATATGACTCTCCTGATTATTGTTGATCACTGCTTCCTCCCTAAGACGTTGTCAAGCTAATTTCCAATCTCCCTGTCTGTAGTTAGCAGAATTTACCTTTCTAAAAACCTCTACCTGCTTTCAGTCCTTGATACCAATCCAGTGCTTCTTCAAACATCCTCAAGAGTGGTTGTTTACATATGGCACGCACCAGGTGACTCCTGCTCTGGATTCTTTAATTATTTCTTAGGATGAAATTTATCTGGAGAGATTTTGATCACCGAACCTGGGACAATAGTTACAGACCTGGACAAGCAGCAGTAACCCCTGAGACAGGCCGGGCTGGGCCCTGCCTGGGCATCGGACACCCCACTGTTTCAACCCCACCTGGAGGACCACTTGAGAGTGAGCCGTGTCTGATGGGGATGAGCTGAGTCCTGATCAGCTGTGGAATACAAGGATGGAGGCAGGAAAGAAGGGAGGTAGGAAAGAGCGGTGCTGTGTGCTTATACAAAGAAAAGCCTTGTTGTTTCCTGGACTGCCACAAAATCTACCAGAGTTGGGACATGATTTCTCTTCCTGACTCCATTATCTCAGAGAAAACAGGCTTCCTATTCCTGACGCAACGGGAAAGAATGTTGTATAAACAGAGGCGCTTAGAGCCAAAATGTTTAGAGCGTCTACCCACACCAACCACCCGTGACTCAGTGCATGATGGGCAGACTCCAGGCTGTTTCACCAAATGTCTTCAAGTTCAGAGGGTCATCTGATTCCAACTTCTCCATCCAGAATTGGTTTTGCAATGCCATTAGCTCCAAATGTGGCTTTTTATTCCTTTATTGTCCCTGCCTATCTACTTGGTAGAGAATCCAGTCTTAATTTTGCAAACCATTTAATTCATCCATAAGCCTCTCTAAACCATTCCTGTAAGAACATAAATGCCTATAAGAAAATAAAAGCGTGGTCTGTCTGCCCCCATTGCCTTTTGGAGGGATTCCTTCCACACCAAGTTAGGGAGGAGAACAAGGCATTATCCTGAACAGCAGGGAGGGAAAGCATCAAAGGAAATCAGAACGGTTCAACAAATGCCGTCCTGTGCTCCAATTTGGCCCCACAATGTCTTCTCTTCCTTTCTCCCCGCTCTCTCCTGAGAAGTGTTTTGTTTACTTTCTGCCTGAGAGGTGAAATAGTAAGGAAAATAATAGCAACAATTATGGTCATCAGGAGCATGTGAAATCAAACCATGCCTCTGTGCAATTTGCAGGTGTCTCTGGGACTGCTCCTGGACCCATTTAGATGGGAACAGAGTAGAACATTTTAATAGGGAAGAAAATACCATTTGCACAAAAGCTCTGTCTGTGGCATGACTGCAGTGGTTCTGACAGGAACTGGGTGATGAAAACCAACAATAGCACGGTGCCCGGCTGGGGCTGGCACACCAGAGAGCAGAGTCCTGCTCTCTAGAGCATCTCACCAGCCCGTGGACTCCGGAAATCTGTTTCTATTCTCTTCTCGATGATGCCGTCACCCATTGGATATTTCTTGTCTCTTGATGTTTAATAATATGAAATGGTCATTTTGAGGCTACTAGTTAAATCCATGAAAAATTCATGAAAATTTTGGCTTGCCTACAGTGTCTATTAGAGCTGCAATCTTGCATGTTATCAGCTCCATGATCATTGCATTCCAGAACGATTGTTTCCAAAATGGCTTACGTTTTCTTTATGTGTTAAATGTCTCCTCTATCTTTATTCCAATCCTCCTACCTTTTTTCCCAGAAGAAGAGATGCTCTTCCTCCTTCTGAAGCCAGTTCCTCCTCCACCCTGCAGCCCAGCACCCGCTCCACTGCCGTCCTTTTCCCCAGCTCTGTGTCCTGTAGAGATGCTCAAATGGCCCCCATGGCCTGGCTGCCAGGTGTTGGCTTCACATTTGTCTCTTGTCCTTTTTTTCTCCCTTCAGTGACTGCCACCTCCTCAGAGATGAGCTGTCTCCACCTGTTGAGTCCCATTCGTCCTCGGGGGCTGTGTCCTTTGGGGCCTCACGGGGTGCCTCGCCACCAGCTCTGCCCTCTAGAGACTCCATTCTTTCGACTTATCCCGTAGCCTATGTCCCCAGCCACCTGTGCCCCTCTCTTGCCTCCCATGGCGTGCACTATCTTGTTTCTTTTCCTTTCTCTCCATCTCACTTGGTCTCGTTTTCGTGGGTGAACACCATGGGCTGGTTCTCAGCATCTGTGGCCCCTCCCCGTGTCCTTTCTCCATCTGTTCCCATGACTGTGCCTGACATCACATGTGCCCATCACCCAGGCCTCTCTCTGCAGCTCCCAACTGGCGCATCTGTGGTGAATCACCACAGTCCCCTCGAAATCCCCCTCACCCCTACATAGCTTGTCCATCCACGGTGGGACAGCTCTGCTGGTCCCACAGTAAAGATTTCAGTGGTGGAAACCCCCCACCCTGTTTGTCTCCCATATTCAGGCCCAGTGTTTCCTCACAGAGTGTATTAGTCAGGGTTCTGTAGAGGGACAGGACTAATAGGATAGATGTATATGTGAAAGGGAGTTTATTAAGGAGAATTGACTCACACCATCACAAGGTAAAGTCCCACTATAGGCCATCTGCAAGTTGAGGAGCAAGGAAGCCAGTGGTGGATCAGTCTGAGTCCCAAAACCTCAAAATTAGGGAAGACTACAGTGCAGCCTTCAGTCTGTGAGCGAAGGCCCGAGAGCCCCTGGCAAACCACTGGTGTAAGTCTTAGATTCCAAAGACTGAAGAACTTGGAGTCTGATGATCGAGGGTAGGAGGCATCTAGTACAGGAGAAAGATGAAGACCAGAAGACTCAGCAAGTCTGCTCTTCCATCTTCTCCTGCCTGCTTTATTCTAGCTTCACTGGCAGCTGATGAGATGGTGCCCACCCAGATTGAGGGTGGGTCTGCCTCTCCCAGTTCACCGAGTTGAATGTTAACCTCCTTCGGCAGCACCCTCACAGACACACCCAGGAACAATACTTTGCATCCTTCAATCCAGTAAAGTTGACAGTCAGTATTAATCATCACACAGAGTATTATTGACCATAAACTCAAACCGACCTCCTTCCTTGATCATCACGTGGACCTTACCGCCTATCTTCCCCATGGCCTGTGACCCCTGTCTGGAGGCCGCCCCGCCTTCCAAACCTCCTGCACATCAACTCTAGTGAGTGCAGTTTGCCTGGCATCACAGTGCAAGTCACATATTTTAAACCCATTGAAAGCCTTTCCCTTTCTGTGAGATAAGATACCAATGACTCTTCAAAGATTTCCATATCCAAACCTTGTGTATCTTATTTTAAGCTTTAAAAAACTGGTTGGATACTATTACAATAAGTTCTAAAAGCCATTCTCTTTCAGAGGTCTTGGCCTCTGACCAGGCTTGGATTTGCTTGGCTCAGGACTGACTGATGAGGGAACCCCATTCCTTTATTGGTAATACATTGAAGGGAGTTTTCCTCCAAGTAGTTTTATGTGTACCCATCCTTATTCTTTTATATCTTTCTGCCTGTCTTCCTTGACTGGTAGATCATGTAAGGACAGAATGACTTCCTTAAGATCATTTAACATTAGACTGGATTCTCTCCTTAGAAACATGAAATGTGTTTGTTTGACTCACATCACTGAGGGGCTGAGATTCCTAAGGTTACTAATGCATAAAAATATGTGTCTGCCTGTCAGTGGCAAAATAGAACCAGCTGTGACTGCAGCACCTTTTGAAATTTCAGAGAGGAAAAAGGGCTTCCAATCACAAGCATATCTGGGGATTGAAGTCCCAGTGGACAGCCGCAGTCTGTGCGGGTGGAGGATACAACCGCTTCCCTGGGCAGCTTTGCTGTCGTTGAACTTGGCTTTTTGGGAATTATGAAATAGCATCATAGAGCTTTAGGGTACAAAATTGCATTCAAAGTTTATTCGTTTTGGCTGGGCACGGTGGCTCATGCCTGTAATCCCAACACTTTGGGAGGCCGAGGCAGGCAGATCACTTGAGGTCAGGAGTTCGAGACCAGCGTGGCCAGCATGACGAAACCCAGTCTCTACTAAAATACAAAACATTAGCCGGACGTGGTGGTATGTGCCTGTAATCCCAGCTACTCAGGAGGCTGAAACATGAAAATCGCTTGAACTTGGGAGGTAGAGGTTGCAGTGAGCTGAGATCCTGCCATCACACTCCAGCCTGGATGACAGAATGAGACTCTGTCTCAAAAAAAAACAAAAAAAAATTATTCATTTCAACTTCTTTGTTTATTTGGGTGAGAAAACCAAGACCAAGAACTTTGGCTTAGGTCACAGAACCAGTTAATTTCAAGACTAATGTTAGAATCCCAGACCCAGTTTCCAGATCTCCTTCCATTATGTTATTTTGCCTCTTTTATCTTTTTACTTCTTTTGTTTCTTTGCATCTCAGTAAATACTGGATGGAAAGAACTTTGGTGTTCTGAGAACCTTATAGCAGAAAAGCACTATGAAAGTGATAGTTTAGGACAGATCTTTGAAAAATCTGTGTGTTTGGGCTGGGCGCAGTGGCTCACGCCTGTAATCCCAGCACTTTGGGAGGCCGAGGCGGGCGGATCACGAGGTCAGGAGATCGAGACCATCCTGGCTAACACAGTGAAGCTCCGTCTCTACTAAAAATACAAAAAATTAGCTGGGCATCGTGGCAGGCGCCTGTAGTCCCAGCTACTGGGGAGGCTGAGGCAGGAGAATGGCGTGAACCCGGGAGGCAGAGCTTGCAGTGAGCCGAGATTGCGCCACTGCACTCCAGCCTGGGCGACAGAGCGAGACTCCGTCTCAAAAAAGAAAAAAAAAAGAAAATGTGTTTGGACAGACAAGTTTTTTGTTTTGTTTTTTCACGTGACAATTTTTTTAATAAGATATTTGATCTGCTTACTAAAATAACACATTTTATTGTGAAAATTATGAGGGAAATAAATTTTTAAAAACTCAAATTATTTAACATTTTCTACTTTAGAATGACCCTTGTTAAATTTTTGATTTCCTCTGATTCTTTCTTCATGTATACATATGTGCAGTTCTTTAAAAATTTGAATCACCTTCTAGAAACTGTTTCATATCACTTACCAAGACATTTTCAGAATTTTACCGCCACCATTAAATATTCCACACATACAAGTATAATGGTCACACATCAAATAAAGTAAGCTGTATTTAGTTAATCATATATTTTAATATTAAATTCATTTCGATTTTTATATTACTAAAACCCCTATGATGAACGGTCTTGAACACAGAATTGTCCGTGCACTTTTATTCTCTTAGGGTAAATTGTCGGGAATGGAATTGTTAGGTCAATGGCATGAACAGAATAGTTCTGTGCATTTACATTTGTGATAGTGTTACCTGAGTTATCTGAGATTTTTACTCTCCTATATTCTCAGAATTTTTGATATCATTTTATCATTTATAGAAGTTTGACACATTAAAAATATACATTTTAAGTATTAGTGAGTTTGAAGTTTGTTCATATGTTTATTGATTGTGTTAATCACCTGTTTAGATCTTTTGCCATTTTAATTGAACTATTTGTCTTCCTTACTGATTCGTAAGAGCTCTTTATATATTAAGAGCTCTTGCCTTTTGCAAGTTTTTTTTTTCCGAAAACCAGTTTGTGTTTACATTTTTTAATGGAATGTTTTGACGCACGTCAATTTTAATGTAACCAAATCTATAAATTATTTCCTTTATAAATTATCTCTTTGCTGTTGTACCTGCATAAGAAAAATCGATACCATTCTGAGATTTGTGGACCTGGTTGCCTGTACTGTGCTGGCTATATTATAATTTTACTCTGTTAACACTTGATCACAATAATTCCAGTTGACTGTAGTGTGAGCCAGCATATGGTTTTAGAACTAGCTATTTACCCACAATCTGAAATACTACTTTTGTCAAATGTTCTGTTTTTATATAGTCTTCTTTTCTGTTTTATTCTATTCCATTCCATTCCATTCTCTTCTATTTCATTCTATTCTATTTTGTTCTGTTGTATTCTGTTCTGTTTCTCTTTTAGCTCTGGTATTACCTATAAAGAATTTTTCTTCCAAACGCTTAGAATCCAAAAGTATATGTTGGGGATTTGATTGGGATTTAAGGGCCCCTGAATTCTCCTTTGACTTCATGCCGCCTTCTTTGGTGCTCACACTGCATCGGAAAGCTTCTTTCTGCTGTGTCCTGCGCCTTTCTCCTGAACTGCTCTTTTGCTCACTGGTGTCTGTCGAGGTTGCATCAGTGGTGAGCTCTGAGGTCTTGAGTGACTAACACGTCTGTTTGTCCTGTTCCTGTGAGAACTGTCTCAGCTTGATGTTGAATTCGAGTTTCAAACATACTTTCCTTCAACCTTTTGTGCTGATGTTTTTGGTCTCCGATGTCTAATGATCCTTTTGTTATTGATTCATAAGGAATATAATTAGGAATATAATTAGGATAGATCGCTGGCATGATCTGTTTCCCCGAAGGCCTGTTCTTTGAGTCACAGTAGACATAGCCAAGAGCCGTTGCCCTGTAGAATGTAAGGGCAGACCGCAGGTGGGCAGGTAGGAGTGCTCTCCTGGAAGTGAAGCGCTGTAGTACAGTTCTGTGCGGTGGCTGCCCTGCCTGCCCTCCCCCGTCCCTTTCTGTGCTTCTGTCCCTCTCATCAATCCGGGCCTGATATAAGGACAGGCGCTGATTCACATTCTGATTTCTTCCCCTCACGTATCAGGCATTACAGCAGAATGGTCACCAACACTGACTCTGGGCTTCTGGGTTCACATTCCAGCTCCTCACTTATTAGTTATAAGAATAACTAGTAAGTTCTCACCTCCTAGTTCCCTTATGTAAAGTGAGATTCACAGATTCTGCCTAGCCCATAGATTGGGTGAATAAGTAGTCCCCTGTAAATCCAGAGGACAGGCCGGGCTTGTCAGCCCCTCACAGCACCACACCGGGGCCCTCTTCCCCGCAGGTGAGTTCCCTGGTTTTAATCTGAGGTGCACCCATCAGAAGCTCTCAGCAGGCCAGGACTCCACATAGAGCAGAGAATTCATTATCCTGTTGATTTCTCCATGACCCTCGCTACTATTTATAATATGTGACTCTCTAGTTCCCTCGAGAAGTCTTTCTCTTTCTGCTGGTATTTGGTGAAGTCACTTTCTCTACAAGCCAGGCCCATCTCTTGCCCACTTTTCAGGACTTCTGAGAACTTTCTGGTTCACTGCTGCGCCCTGGCTGGTGATTATTTTTTAAACAGAACGTCCATCATTTTCTCATTGTCTAAGCTCTGAGTGATTTCTGTATTGCAGATGCTTCTGTCTTCTGCAGGTACAGTGGGCCCAGCCAGTGCCATCAGTGTGGGCCGGCTTGGGTTTGGGGGCTGTTGTCCACAGCCTTCTGTCTTGTGGAACTCAGTGTGTAATACACACAGGCTTGAAGGTGGCCATGGTGGGTACACTGATGAGATTTTAGTAAAAACTAAATGCTGGGTTAGTTTTCTGGGGCTACTGTAAGAAACTACCTCGAACAGGTGGGATTAACCGACAGGAGTTTATGCTCTCACAGTCCTGGAGGGTGGATTTCCGAGACTATACCTGGGCAAGACCAAGCTCTCTCCAACGCCCTGGGAGGATCCTTCCTTGCCCCTTCTGGTTTCTGGTGGCCCCAGGCACTCCTTGGCTGCCTCCATCATCTCAGGGCCGCCTTCTTGGTGTGTGTCTGCTTTCCAGTGGCCTTTTTAGAAGTCATCTTGGATTAGGTGGTCATCCAGTCATCTTGGATTAGGGCCACTCGCCTCCTCTGTGATCTCGTTTTAACTAATCACATTTGCAGTGATCCTGTTTCCAAGTCAAGTCACATGTTTCCAAGTCAAGACATGCAACACGTCTTTTTTCAGGGGTGGGGGGCACACATCAAACCATGCCCATGCCGAGCGCCATTTGGACGGAAGCAGCCACACTGTGACTGGTCTAAAGGCATTCTGCTCATCCCAGAAGGCACTCCAGTGTGGCACTGTTGGTCGCGTTGAATGATGGTAACATCTTTCCGAGGTGCCCCCAGGGCCTCCCGTGGAGGGTGTGTTTGCTGAGTCCTTGCACGCTGGCCTTTTCCATCACCTGCATCTATGAAGAGTGCCTGGGCGACTGTGAAATGCCTGGGCTGCAACCTTTTTGTACCTGATGCTCAGTGAACATTGCTCTCTGGCATCTTCTGGCATTTAATATGTAGAAGAGAATTCTAAAGTCAGACCGAGACAACCTGTTTTTCTGCTTTTGTGATGCTTGTAATTAAATAATGCTCAGATTTGACTCTTCATTGACTGTGACATGGCAGGCAGATCCATTTTACTTGCAAAGGTTTGTGTGGGTTGGTTTTAATCTGTTTTTAAATCCAGCAAGGCCTTACTCTAAGTCGTGTCTTTGATGATCTCTTCCGTTCCCTTATTTATGCTCTTTGCCTGGGGCCATCACTTATCCGTTAGTGTTGATTATACTCACTGCCTCAATGAGGTTTTTTTTTTAATTTTTTAAAATGAGTTTTATTGTGTATGTTTAAGGTATACATGATGCAACGGGAAATGAGTAGAGATAGTAAGAAGGTTACTGCAGGAAAGCCCATTAACATAGACGTGCTTTCAGTTATGCACGTGCGTGTGTGTGTTGTGGGGCAAGAGCAGCAGCAATCAACTCATTCCACACGAATCCCCTGTATAGTACAGTGCAACGACCTGAAGTCCTCAATGAGGATTTCAATTGTGCTGCTGCATGTCTGGATTCTTCTGGGGCAGGCTGATGGCATGGTTCTCACCCTAAGTCATGCTCCTCGCCAGGCTCCATCTTTAGGTGTGCCCAGCCCTGAAATAGGATCTGTCTCCTCCTAAAGCAGAGTCTGACACGGAGTTCACACTGGGAATCTGTGAACTTAATCTTACGTGGATGCTGTATCTGCCAGACCCTAATGACTGATTCTTATCAGCGTTTAGTAGGTTCTTGCTCCTCAAAGCCTACTGATGTAGGAACTAGTAATTTACTGTTCTGATTCTATTTCCCACTATGTCCAAGTTTTAAGCAAAAAGTATAAGCAAAACAACAAAAGAAGCAAAACCAGAAGGCTGCTCTAATCAAATAGATTTAGTCTTTATCATCCCGATGATGCTTGCCAATTCCAGCCCCTGTGTCTTTGCTTGAGCTGTTTTATTTCACCTTGAATGCCCTCTCCACAGCACCGTCTGTATTCCCCCCAGTTCCCTTGCCTCCTCCTCTGAGCACCCCAATCAAGCTGCCCAGGGGCCCTTCTTCCTCTGGCCCTTCCTGTTCTTGTTTTCTGTGTATCTCACTTGCATGCCTGTGGCCTCATTTGTTGGGTTGGTGGGTATGATCTTGTCTCCCGGTAAGATCCCAAGTCTCTCTCCATTCTGTTCATGCCACAGTTTAGTTTATGTTGTATATCAAATCTAGGAGTTAGAAATTTTGAAAATGTTTCCAACAAATCTGATTTGTTTGGGCCAAAGCACTGGGTGAGAGTCTTCTGTAAGACTGATAGACCACGCTCTGTTTTTCATGCAGAGATGCTGGAGACACAGGTGATGTGCGCCCATTTCTACCAACAGTCTCTATTGGAGCTGATAGTAAAAGCTGAAAGTTCAATTTCCCAGTTTCCCTTTAGGCTCTTATTTTCTGCGACTTAATGAGGGTAAAATACCTAAGGGTAGAATGACATTGTTTATGCAGCCTTCCATGAAGCATGACTGATTTCAACTGATTTCAATTCTAAGGGTACAGTCCCTCCTGTCGGGCATAGAAGATACTCTGACCATGGAGGCTGGGTGTCTTTGGCCGATGAATTGAGCTGGGTTATTTTTCAATTCCAGTGTGGATATGTAATGGCAATAATTTAGAACAAGTGCTCACAAAAGTGCATACTTAGTGCTGCAGATTAATACTTCCCATCCTTTTTCTTTCTTTATGTGAAAATGAGCAAAGGAACCCCAGGAGGGGCCCTGGAATGCACCGTGGTTTCCTGTTGAGCTGTTGAGCAGACGCTTTCTCCACACTGGCTGTGAAACATAAATTCACTTTTGGCTTTTGCTGGTGGTAGGAGGAGACTGGCCCCATAGCCATCATTTTTATTTCAATCTGACCACCTGTTTCCAGAAAGCCTGGGGCTCTTTTATAAAAGACTTAAATTTTGAAAGAGTAGTGGCAACCCCAATGTTACTAATTTCAGCTCTGACTCATCAAGGGCTTAGAGCTTCTTCCTCCTTTTCTGCGGGGGCACTCCCTTGCCACCCACCTCCTAGATGCCCTTAACCACCCACTCCTCCTCCCCCCAATTTGGAAGTCAGCCCTGAGAAAGCGACAGTGTTCCTTTTCCATCTACTTGCTGGAACACAGGTAGTCGCACCTGGCCACCTATGCATGGCCTCTGCTGGCCGGGTTGACAGTGAGCACGGAGGGCCATTGGCTGCCGCACCCTGTCTGTCATGTGCGACTGCCCAGCTGGACTCTCTTCGGGCCCTGAGCTTCCGGGAACCCTGTGTCCATCATCAGGGCAGAGTAGCAGCCCCAGGTTACAGGGCAGCAATAAAGCCCACATTCTGGAGTTGAGATCAGACGATCTAGTTCCACCTTTGATTGTTTTTCTGTACAAATAGGAATTATGTACATGCAAGGCTACAAATTAGATGGCAAAATCAGCCAGAGCGAGAGGTTGGGGACAGGCAGAATTTCCCCAGATTCTGGTGTCTCAGCGACGTGCTGCAAGTTCCCAGCGCAGGGTCCCTGTGGAAAGGAGGCAGCAAAGGGATGTCGTGTGCCCAAGAGGAGTCCCCTAAGACCCCCAGTTCAGGTGCATGATGCTCTGTGTGGCTAGGGCCTGTGGAATCCAGTTCAGCCACCCCTCATTTTTTCTGCAGAAAGCCACCCCTGCAGCAACTCGCTGGCCCCACCTGGAAATTATAATTTAGGCCTGTGAGCAGCTGCACACACTCATAGGCTGTTTCTTTGCAGAGATTTGATTCTGCTGTCCACCTGCTGAATGTGAAGCTGACTTTGTGGAGGTCCTTGTTCCTCTTTTTAAACCACACTCAGGGAGCAGTGGAGGGTGAGGGCCCTGGGATGGAGCTGAGCTCCTGCCTTGTTTACTTCAGACCCCAGCACAGTGTGTACATTGGGGAGCAAAACGAAGGTCCCCTGTTTCTTGGAAAGAAGTTCACTTTTAGTTCATGATACGAGAATTCTCTAACCATCACTGGGGTCTCAATTTTCATTCATTTTATGCTGCATATTTTGCATTCAGATGTGATAAGCCAAACAGATAAAAAACAAAATAAATTCACTGTTGTGGCTGGAACCTGAGTGAGTGAGGAGGGCGCAGGGTCTCACTCTCACCTCCTCGGGGTTCTTCCCCACAGGGCAGAGAGCGCACAGTCCCGGAAAGTCCTGCCATGAATGACAGCAGCCAGCAGGAAGTCAGACTCTACCCACTGTGCTAGTGAGGCCAGACGGCTAGTTTCAGCGCCTTCAGCTGTGGCTTTTCAGAGACGTGGGCCCTTCATCTTCTACTTCTGAATCCACTTATATATTTTACATTTTTGTGTGTGTATATATATATATAATATTTATTTTATGCTGGTTTGCTTTTTTTTTTCCAATGGCAGACTTCAAAAAGGGCAGACTCGTTCAAGAAAGATGTTATATCACTGCATGAGATATTCAGGAAGAACTAAAGTGTTATTTTTGAGAACCCACTCTATGCCAGGTACTGTTCTGGGAGTTTTACATGCGTGGGTTCATTTATTTCTCACAACCACTAATCCAGGTAGGACCCCCTCATTCTACATAGGAGGGAACTGAGGCCAAGGACGGGTGAGGAGCTTGTCTGATGCCACACAATTAGAGTGACGGTGATTAGAACTGATTTTGATGGTACATTTCTCTTGTACTTATGAAAAGCAGATACGAATCTCTAGTCTGTGCTTATCTCATCTTTCTTGCCTCCCTCTGTCCCATGCCAGTGTCCAACCAAGCCTTTCTTGGGCCTGTAGGGCTCTGACCCAGGGTCTCTGGACTGTGCACTCTTGTGTTTCAGGAAAATATTTCCCTGAGTTCATAAAAGAAAAATTATTTCTTCCTTATGTGTTAGTCTAATGTCAGGGTTCCTGATGACTGGCCACTTTGCTTCCACATGGGGATTTGGGGGACCCAGGCTTCTTCTTTGTAGCTCCACCAGCCCTAAGGGCCTGCAGTTAGCTGTGGGGGGAAAGAGACTATGAAAGAAGCACCTGCTTCTTTAAGGTACACCATCCAGACACACTCCATTGGCCAGGGCTAGTCACATGACCACACCTGCCTGCAAGGAGGGCTGGGTAATGTAGTCCCCACTGGGAGGCAGCTGAGGGGAGCCCCAGTCTATGGCAGGAGCAGAGATTTCTGAAAGCTGTTGGCTCCCTCTGCCCTGGAGGTAATGCTGAAATTTGACTTTGTGTATAACTGATGTGTGTTACCTTTGTCATGTCTTCAGAATAAACTGTGGTCATTCTTTTTCTTTCCTCCTCTGGTATATATATGGACTAGTTCATGGGCCTTATTAAAAGACTTGTTTGGAGAGGAAGGCGCTCGGTTACATTGGAGAACTGGAGTGGTCTGGAGTTCCACGGTGTAGTGGACCAGAGGCCACCTCTCCTGGGCTTCTCAGTGTCTCGCCGGCGGGGTTCGGCCTGAGCTGGATAGACATAGCCCTTGGCGGATTTAAACAACCTAAACATTAAGCAATACAGCTGCCTCAAACCTTTGGGATTTTCAGAATGACTGACACTGCCGAAGCTGTTCCAAATTTTGAAGAGATGTTTGCTAGTAGATTCACAGAAAATGACAAGGAGTATCAGGAATACCTGAAACGCCCTCCTGAGTCTCCTCCAATTGTTGAGGAATGGAATAGCAGAGCTGGTGGGAACCAAAGAAACAGAGGCAATCGGTTGCAAGACAACAGACAGTTCAGAGGCAGGGACAACAGATGGGGGTGGCCAAGTGACAATCGATCCAATCAGTGGCATGGACGATCCTGGGGTAACAACTACCCGCAACACAGACAAGAACCTTACTATCCCCAGCAATATGGACATTATGGTTACAACCAGCGGCCTCCTTACGGTTACTACTGATAGAAATGTTGGCAGCTTTTAGTAAAAGCATTTACTCTGTTACCATGAGAAAAGTTTGGGTGTCTTCTGTTGGTCATAGTTTTACATCTGATTTTACAGAATGGATTATTGATTTTTTGGAAGTTGAGACTTTAAAAAAAATAGATCTTACTTGCGAAATGCGATGGTTGCTGGGAATACCTGAAACTGTGGATTATATTGCTTGACTTCTACCTCAGAATCTTCTTTGTTTCATGACTTAATAGTGCTTTAAGTTTGGTATATTATTTGACCTCTAGGAATTCTTTGTTTTACACAGAAATAAAAATTTTAAAATAGAAAATGCTTTTACTTTGTAAGGTAAGAGAGTATCCATATGCTTAGATGTGCTCGTTTCTAAAATTCTAGAGGTTGATATAATCAGCTCATGAATGCACAGCTATGCTTTTTGTGATAGATTGTACATAACATCAGCAGTTGAAAGGTAAAACAATTGCTTTTTTTTTTTTTTGCATTTGTTAAGTGACTATGGTACTTTGTGATTCCTTAATCTATAGATGAGTCAGCTCCACACTTGAGTCTCTTTTTAGAGGGAAATCAGTAATAAAGCTGTAAAATAAGGAAAAAAAAAAAAAAAAAAAAAGACTTGTTTGATGTCATGTTTGAGATTTTCTCTTTAACCTTAAAAGATCAGCCTGGACAATTGCACACAATTATAAGTAAATGTGAAAATTAGGTTCTGTAATTAGGATGGCAGTAAACATAGTGGAGAACCATAACTAATCAATACAGACATGTCAGCAATCCTCGATTCCTTAATCTTCAAGAGAAAAAAAGTCATAATGAAGAAGCTAAAGTTGCTGAAGATGTGAGACTGAAAGTCCATCCCAGCGAGGACGGCTTCGTTTCCCAGCCCCGAGTCACTCACTACCTCTTTTTCACGTAGCCAGAGCTGCATCTTTTTTCATGTATTTCAGGGCATTCTGGCTAGAAGGAAAAATGTGTTACTTATGATCTTCTTTTGAAACTCGAGCTTCCTGCACCCCACATCGTTGTAGCAACATCGTCACCACACGTGTGCTCAGCACTCAGAGGTGCAAAGATGACCAAGAAGCTCTCGGGTTTTCTCACACTAGTTGCTACAGCAGAAATCTGCTGTGTGTTTTGAGACATCTTGGGAATGACACACCAATGTGCCACCCCCTCGGGATCTTAAAATAGGTCCAGATTGAATCTTTAGCTAATGTTGTTATTGTAAACCCTGAGTTCCACCAAATGTTTCTGAGTTTCTGGACCAATATTGCATTTCAAATAGATCAATCATGGTCTCTCCATGAGAAATGAATTCTATTGGAACGCTTTCTGAGCTCACAGCTCCTCAACGTATTTACTGAAAACTTGGCATGACAGCGTAGCTCCTTTGTTTCCGTTAAAAATTTCAGTTAAAATTACTATAAAATAAAGTGCAAAAGATCACAATCACAGATAGAAATGACCAGATTGGGGTATACTGAGTTTCCTTAACATCTGGAGAGCTGCTGAGTATCCCCAGAATGCCCAGGCATTTTTCATTTATTAATTGTGATGTCATGACATAACTGGCCTAATAGAGCTATAAAAAGTGTTGTAAGATGTAAATGTTGACATTTAGAGTGTCCCTGTCATCACTGAGTATGGTCATGCTGTTACTACAAATAAGGGATGGAATGTTAATGGACTCAATTGTATCCCTCCATGTTCACATTTGGAAGCTCCAACCCCCAGTGTGATTCTATGTGGAGAAAGGGCCTGTAAGGAAGTAATGAAGGTGAAGTGAGGTCCTAAGCCTGGGGCCCTGATTCGATGGGAGTAGTGTCCTCAGAGGAAGAGGAAGAGAGACCAGAGCTCTTGCTCCACCACGAAAGGGCGCTGCAAGAAGCAGCTGCCTGTGAGCCAGGAATTGGGCCCTCACCAGGACCAAATGGCTGGCACCTTGGTCTTGGACTTCCAGCTTCCAGAACTATGGGAAATAAATGTCTGTTTTGTAAGCCACCCAATCCATAGTACTTTGTTATGGCAGCTCAGGCAGACTAAGAAAGGAGCAAAACACACCAAGGCATTTTAAATTTATTAACCTTGTTTCGTTGCACACCTGGCCTACCAGAGCTATAAAATACATTTTAAGATGCGCCTTTTTGTTGACCCTTAGAGGGTCACTATCACTATGGGGTAAGGTGATGAAATTACTTGAGCTAAAGCAACTGTGTTGACTGTGTTTTGCTCTAACCTATGTTACCATTAGATAGAACCCATGGAAGTAAAATGCTGTAGAAAAACGTGAGAACCAGCCAGTTTGCACATTTCTTCCTGTGGCATAGTACTTCCTTTGGCGTGATGCCTCCTGGACTGAAACAAGCCAAGTGAGATACGTCTTCTGCCATCCAGAGGAGAAAGCCACAGTCTTGTGAGTCTTGTCTCTTTTGGCCATTGGCGCTTTAATAAGCACTCAGGAATTCAGTGGGCTTAGCTTCGGTTTTTAATGACAAACTGTCACGTGAAGACATTTATCAGGAGCGTCTCTCCTTTGTCACCTCTGGACAGTGGGTGGGGAACCCTGGTGTAGACATGACTTCCGCAGTGTTTCAGCACGGCCTGGCCAGAGCTCAGAGAAGGTGCGCAGGATGCTTAAGCTCTCCACCACCAGCTGCTTCTTCCCATTGGTTTTCGCCTCTGTGCTTTGAAGTTGCTCAACAATTTAATCACCAAGACTCACAGGAGGCAAAGTGGAGGGAGCCGTTTCCGCAGATCACAGCGACAGTGCTGTGGTTTGCCCCAAGAAGGCCGTGATCTCTGGTGCAAGTCCTACAGGGTGCAGAGTGCTAGACCCTAGGGTGAGCTGGACATCAGGGCCTTGGATGAGGCAGTGTGCTTTCTAAACAAGCAAGAATTCAGCACTTTTAGCTCACAAGTAGCAATTTGGTTGTTTCTAGGATCTAATTATGTGTAATATGATACCTTGAAAAGTATGCGAATGCGAGTAAAACTTACCAAACTGCTTTGTCTTTATTAGAATTGATATTGAAATAATTATCGTGTATATGCTTCAAGTCTGTTTATCCCAAGTGAATTATGAATAAAAGCAGTCAACGACCAAGTCAAGACAAAGTGAGTGAATTTTAAAGTAGGAGAAAATGTGGAAGGTAAAAAATATAGTGAGTTATTTTTCTTAAATCTTCAAATTATTATCCACATCAAGTTACCAAAAATATTTAAGTTTTAAAACCAACCTATTATACTGCTTTATTCCATAGCTTTTATTATTCAAGAGGTTTTTTTGTGTTTTGTTTTTTCTTCCTCTGCACATTGGATGCATAATAGCAATTCTTACATAAGAACCCCTAAAAGAAGTTCTTTCAAAGCGTTCTGGCTTTTTCAGTCAAGATGGAAATCATATCTAACCTCTTGAATAATGGAAATTTTATTACTGCCCATTTTTTGGCACTTTTTCTGTGGAGAAAATAAATGCCATTTCATTTTCCAAAATAAGATGTATGCATCTATGTTATGAATTTGATAAAAATTCATTGCATACTATAAAACTTGTGATTTATGAAAAATCTCTCAGAGCTCCATGCTACATTTCAGTTGTGGAATGTAATTTGTGATCGTAAAATGGCTGCATATTCATCTCCGCCCAACTAATGAGGTCATGGTGGTGAGCAGCTGTGAACAGTCAGCGTGATGGGTTAGTATATGGTCATTTAACACATGTTCACTCTCCCAAGAAGTTTGGTTTTGTTGAACACATTCATGGTCAAATGAAAAGGCTTTATTTCAAAAAGTGCATGCCACCGGAAGCCAGCTCAACAGTTCAGATCTCCATGGACGGCTCAGCGGCTTTCAGTGGCCACTGTGCTCACCCTCTCTGTGCCCTCCTGCTCACCCCACCTGCCCATGGGCATCTCACCCCATCTCACCTCTCCCTGTGCCCTCCTGCCCAGCCCACCTGCCCAGTGGGCGTCCCACCCCATCTCACCTCTCCCTGGGCCCTCCTGCCCAGCCCACCTGCCCAGTGGGCGTCCCACCCCATCTCATCTCTCCCTGGGCCCTCCTGCCCAGCCCACCTGCCCAGTGGACGTCCCACCCCATCTCACCTCTCCCTGTGCCCTCCTGCCCAGCCCACCTGCCCAGTGGGCGTCCCACCCTATCTCACCCTCTCCCTGTGCCCTCCTGCCCAGCCCACCTGCCCAGTGGGCATTCCACCCCATCCCGCCCTCTCCCCGTGCCCTCCTGCCCAGCCCACCTGCCGAGTGGGCGTCCCACCCCATCTCACCCTCTTCCTGTGCCCTCCTGCCCAGCCCACCTGCCCAGTGGGCATTCCACCCCATCCGGCCCTCTCCCCGTGCCCTCCTGCCCAGCGGGTGTTCCCTCCCCATCTCGCCCAGGGTGGGTCTTCATTTGAAGTGGTGATTTCCAAGGGCTTTCAAATCTAAACTAGTCTGTTTCTGGGTATAATTCTCTGTCATTCAAATAGAAAGTGAATATAAGGAAAATGGACACAGCGAAATACCCACCCACTGCCCCGCATACTCGAAGCCGGCCTCTCGGTGGCCTCAACAGGCTGCCATGCCTGGTCCTTGGGTTTGTGGAAAATGCCGAACCCACCTGAGCACTTGGACATCAAGTCCCTCAGGACAGTGGAGCGTAGGAGAAGGAAGGGCTGAGCGGGGCGTCAGTTCCCTCCCTGAGAAGCAAAGCACTTTGACCTGCGCATCCAGGTGGGTGTAGAGAGGCCTAGGCCCCAGAAGGCGCTGGAGCCCAGGTGCTGTCGGCATTCTCCGCATAGGCCCTGAGGGGAAGGTTTTGTCATGAGAAAGGCTGATGCTGTCAAAAGCAGAGTGGATGTTTGAGTGGATTTTCACATAAAGAATCATAGACAATATGTATGTGCAATATTAAATTCCTCAGCCCTGGCCAGACACAGTGGCTCAAGCCTATAAACCCAGCCCTTTGGGAGGCCGAGGCGGGCAGATCATCTGAGGTCAGGAGTTCGAGACCAGCCTGGCAAAACCCCTATCTACTAAAAATTACAAAAATTAGCTGGGCGTGGTGGTGTGTCTGTAGTCCCAGCTACTTGGGAAGCTGAGGCAGGAGAATCGCTTGAACCTGGGAGGCAGAGGTTGCAGTGAGCCGAGATTGCGCCACTGCATTCCAGCCTGGGCAACAGAATGAGACTTCGTCTCAAAAAAAGAAAAGAAAAGAAAAGAAAAATTCCTCAGCCCTTTTTCTGTTCATTAGAAATCATTCCTGTGGGTTTTGTGTCTTTAACCACTTAAAGATTTAATGTCCTCCCTTTCCTCCGCCCCCTACGCATGAAAATCCAGTCCGTGTCCAATCGGGTCTGGTTCCCCCAGGGACACAAGGCACACTGGGCTCATTGGGACTTCTGGTCTCATCCGTCCTCACTGGGGACCCACTGAGGGGGTCAGGGGTTGGGGGTGGGGTAGACTGAAAATCAGGTCTTTTTGCTTAGTTTGATCACATACAATGACAGGCATGGACTGGGTACAATCCAGAGCAAGCTTGTCCAACCCGTGGCCCAGGGGCTTTGAATGTCGCCCAACACAAATTTGTAAACTTTCTTAAAACATTATGAGGTTTATGCACTCACCTTTCTTTTCTTAAAGCTCATCAGCTATCATGAGTGTTAGCGGATTTTATGTGTGGCCCAAGACAATGCTGCTTCTTCCAGGGTGGCCCAGGGAAGCCAAAAGACTGGACACCTCTGAAGTTTCCTTCAGACCTTTGGATATGCACGGGACTATGGCTGAAGTCAGGGTGTGTTGGCACAGTGGGTTTGAGGCTACGCTCCAGGCTTAGTGGACACCTGTTCTACCTTTGCCGGCCCTCAGGTCCCTGAGAGCCATCGGGTGACTGTGTCACTTGGGCCCTTTCCTCTCCAGCTTTTCACAGTGTGTCCTGTGTGAGTCAGCCTGAGACTGGAAGTTCAGTGGGCACATAAGGGAGGACCTCCCTGATCATTAGAACCAAGGGGCAGGCCCGGGGGCCCAAAGCCCACTGTGATGGGGGCAACAACTCCAGAACCTCCGGGCTGAGTCATAGAAAGACGGCCCTTTAAGCATGTTCAATGCTGAACTTGATGAAGTGCCGTGATTCTAAAGGTCGCAGTTAGGAAGGTGTTGTCACTATGCATTCCCTATTCTTTTTGGCTGGGATAACAGAGGAACTATCCTCAGATTATTTAGTTGTCTTTTTTTTCTTCTCAAAACAGTATGTGAGTTATTTGCATAATCATAAAAGAGGACTATTTAAGAGGTCCATTCTTTAGAGATAAAATTTCAATAATGTGATCTTTAGATCTTAGAAAAAGGAAAATGTAGAAAATGTCAAATCGTGAAATTTAGCGACATTAAATACCACAACACTGGTCTTCTTCTGCCAAAGGAGCGGTTGACACTTTTCACAGGCTGCTTCCTTCTTGTAACATGACACATGGCGTTTCCTAATGGCCTGAATCTTGAATACACCAGTTTCATGGTGACGTAGGATGTTCATCTTCTCCAAAAACAATTTTGTGCTTGGAAACATTTTTTATTTAACATTTTTCTCCAAATTTTGTTTAAATATAACCCACTTGTAACTAGCCAGTGTAACAATGTATCTTTAATAATTGCAGTAGAATTGCCACCACCGAAACCTCTGGAAGCATGACATTCTTGCATACATTTCTTCCTCCCCAGATGGCCTGTGGGCGACAGGCCAGCACCACTCCAGGAAGGGCCCGAGCAGCCAAGAATTCTGTAGCATTCTGTACAGAATGCAGGTCGCACCTGTTGGGCCCATCTCAACCTGGATTTTATTATAACTTCAAATTTTATAATAACATGACATTTTATCATAATGGCACTCAAAAAAAGCTGAATGCAGAAAATAGAATACAACTATAGATTGTTTTCTAAACAGCATAAACGGATACTTGTCTAAGATCACAAACCCCTTTGGCAGATACGGCCAGGCGGTGGCTCGGGGCTGTCTTGACTGACACGCCTTCTCATTCCGGCTTGTTTTTCATGATCCACTGATCCTCCGTTTTCCATGCTGCTCGACATCAGACTTACTGTTTCCTTCTAACCTGGGCCTTCTCACTAAATGTGAAATATAGAATGCAGAGGCTTTTTGGTCTCTCTGAGTGCAGTTGAGTCAAGGTGGGTTTTAAATGCAGAATCTCATAAACTGCGTTTCTAAGCTGTGACGTTCCTGTCCCTCACATATCTCTGCACAGATCCCATCAATATCCTGGGCCAATTGACACTTTTCTCTGTGTAGAAAATGCACGAGGCGCATGGTGGAAGACCTCGGAGCTGAGCCCAGACACTCTGATTGAGTAGGCCTGCTCCAGCACAGTGATCCTGGCACGGTGACTCCTGTGAGCAGCCCTGCTGGTCCAGACACTGCTGTCACCTGAGGATCAGGTTTACAAAACCTCGCTCTCTAGATTGGAGCATGCTGGCCAGGATTAGTTTTTAAGCCATCATTTGTTAAAGAAAGAGCTGTGTTATTGTCATCAGTAGTATCTGTGGGATGCTTGCTTTCTTCTGCATTATTTAACACTGTTAAACTTCACAGCCCTAAGGCCAAAGCACTCATCTCTGCTTTGCAAAAGTGAACAGCAAAGTGCCGGAGGGCTAAGGTGCTTGCCCCTGGTCACCCAGCTCCTACATAATGATGCCCGGACCCAAATCCCACCTGTTCACCTCCAGCATTGAGGCCTCTTAACTGCTCCTACTATCCCACTACTTCCTAGGGCCACCCAATTATAAGCTCAAGGACAGTACATGTAGGTGTGCAGCAGCAGGACAGCCCCCAGTCCAGGGCACAGATGGAGGAGTCTACGGCACGTGGCTTCTGAGGGAAGGAACACGTTGCCCAGCATCTTGAGGGTCAGGAAACCTGGGTTCCAATCCTGTTGTATTAGTCTGTTTTCATGCTCCTGATAAAGACATCCCCAAGACTGGGAAGAAAAAGAGGTTTAATTGGACTTACAGTTCCTCATGGCTGGGGAGGCCTCAGAATCATGGCAGGAGGCAAAAAACATTTCTTATATGGTGGCAGCAAGAGAAAATGAGAAAGAAGCAAAAGCGGAAACCCCTGATAAACCCATCAGATCTCCTGAGACATATTCACTATCATGAGAACAGTATGTGGGAAACTGCCCCCATGATTCAAATTATCTCCCATCAGGTCCCTCTCCCAACACAAGGGAATTATGGCAGTACAATTCAAGATGAGATTTGGATGGAGATGCAGAACCAAACTATATCATTCCGCCCAGGCCCCTCCAAATTTCATGTCCTCACATTTCAAAACCAATCATGCCTTCACAGCAGTCCCCCAAAGTCTTAACTTATTTCAGCATTAACCCAAAAGTCCACAGTTCAAAGTCTCATCTGAGACAAGGCAAGTCCCTTCCATCTATGAGCCTGAAAAATGAAAAGCAAGCTAGTTACTTCCTAGATACAATGGGGGTACAGTTATTGTTCCAAAGGGGAGAAATTGGCCAAAACAAAGGGGTTATAGGGCCCATGCAAGTCCAAAATCCAGTGGGGCAGTCAAACTTTAGAGCTCCAAAATGATCTCCATTGACTCCACATCTCACTTCCGGGTCATGCTGATGCAAGAGGTGGGTTCCCATGGTCTTGGGCAGCTCCACCCCTGTGGCTTTGCAGGGTACAGCCTCCTTCTCAGCTGCTTTCATGGGCTGGTGTTGAGTGTCTGAGGCTTTTCCAGGCACACAGTGCAAGCTGTCGTTGGATCTACCATTCTGGGGTCTGGAGGATGGTGGCCTTCTTCTCACAGCTCCACCAGGCAGTGCCACAGTAAGGACTCTGTGTGGGGGTTCCAACCCCACATTTCCCTTCTGCACTGCCCTGGCAGAGGTTCTCCATGAGGGCCCCGCCCCTGCAGCAAACTTTTGCCTGGGCATCCAGGCGTTTTCCATACATCTTCTGCAATCTAGGTGGTTTCAGAACCCCCAGTTCTTGACTTCTGTGCACTCACAGGCTCAACACCACATGGAAGCTGCCAAGGCTTAGGGCTTCCACCCTCTGAAGCAACAGCCCGAGCTGTACCTTGGCCCCTTTTAGTCACAGCTGGAGTGGCTGAGATGCAGGGCACCAAGTCCCTAGGCTGCACACAGCTCTGGGACCCTGGACCCAGCCCAGGAAACCATTTTCTCCTAGGCCTCCAGGCCTGCAATGGGAGGGGATGCCATGAAGACCTCTGACATGCCCTGGAGACATTTTCCCCATTGTCTCGGGGATTAACATTCAACTTCTCATTACTTATGCAAATTTCCTCAACCGGCTTGAATTTCCCCTCAGAAAATGGGTTTTTCTTTCCTATCACATTGTCAGGCTGCAAATTTTCTGAACCTTTATGCTTTGCTTCCTTTATAAAACTGAATGCCTTCAACAGCACCCAAGTCACCTCTTGAATGCTTTGTTGCTTAGAAAGTTCTTCCGCCAGATACCTGAACTCATCTCTCTTAAGTTCACACTTCCACAAATCTCTAGGGCAGGGGCAAAATGCTGCCCAGTCTCTGTGCTAAAACATAGTAAGAGTCACCTTTGCTCCAGTTCCCAACAAGTTCCTCATCTCCATCTGAGACCACCTCAGTCTGAACTTTATTGTCTACGTCATTATCAGCATTTTGGTCAAAGCCATTCAGCAAGTCTCTAGGAAGTTCCAAACTTTCCCACGTTTTCCTGTCTTCTTCTGAGCCCTTCAGACTGTTCCAGCCTCTGCCTGTTACCAAGTTCCAAAGTCACTTCCACATTTTCGTGTATGTTTTCAGCAATGCCTTACTCTACTGGTACCAATTTACTGTATTAGTCCATTTTCATGCTGCTGATAAAGACATATCCAAGACTGGGAAGAAAGGGAGGTTTAATTGGACTTACAGTTCCACATGGCTGGGGAGGCCTCAGAATCATGGCAGGAGGTGTAAGGTACTTCTTACATGGTGGTGGCAAGAGATAATGAGAAAGAAGCAAAGGCAGAAGCCCCTGATAAACCCATCACATCTCCTGAGACTTACTCACTATCACGAGAATAGCAAGGGGGAAACCACCTCTATGATTCAAATTATCTCCCACCAGGTCCCTCCTACAACACATGGGAATTATGGGAGTACAATTCAAGATGAGATTTGGGTGGGGACACAGAACCAAACCATATCACCTATTTTGCTTTATTTGGGACCTCAAGTCATTCATTCTCATCTTTGGAATTTTTTTTTCATGTGAAATGAATAGATTGCTATCTTGGTGAGCTCCTTTACACCTGAAAATTTTATTCTTCCAAACCAATCCATGGAGGAAATTCTGTGTTTAGAGAGATGGTTCCCATTGATAAAGAGGCAGTGGACCCATTAGTGTCCTTCCATTCAGCTCAGTGGGAGGTGTTGTTCTGAGGTCTTAACTCTCCTGAGGTAAAACGTTTAATAATGAAAGCATGTAAAAAAGGAAAGAAAAATCATTATACTTCTGTGAAGTTAAAATGTTGAAATATTTTCAGATGTAGAGAGAATAAACAAAAAGCAACACCAAACCCATCTGCTCATCAGTGGATCGTCATTTAAAATAGAAGCTGGCTTTTTTCCCTTCTGGAAAGCCTCACACGATAAACACAATGAACCGGAAATGAGCAACCTTGGATTTCATAGTGCTTCCATCTTGGCAAAAGGTGCCCTCTCGTGCTCGATTTGGCAGGTCTGGACTCCAGCAAAAGCCAGCGCTGAAAATAGTTCTCCGTACACTTCTGAGCGCTCCCCCGTACTCCCTGAGCCCGGATCACACATAGCCTCGTGTTATGCTTCTGACTTTTGAATGCAAAGACAAAAAAATCACATGAATCATTGTAGTTATTCAAAGTTTTTATGTGTTGAAAATCTTTCCTCCAATGTGCTCTGAGAAGTTGTATGGCGTTCGTAAACAAAAGCTGTGTTAAAAGAGCCAGGCGTTTTGCATGTCTAGTTTTGTTGGTGGCTGTGCCTATCATGGTTGGGGCAGTCAGTTTCTTCTGCCAGATACCTGAAATTATCTGGGAGCAGTGGGGCAGACCAGGGAAATTTTTAAATTATTTGTTCCATCTTTCTCGATTTGTTCATTTAAAATCATTCTTATCTGTTGACAAAAGTAGATCCTTGGTAGCTCTTCCTGGTGGTTCTTGGTGTCTTACTAAGTCTACTCTATTTGTAGGTAATACAAGTTTCATTTATATAGAACCTAGTCAGATATTTTACTGCTTCAGAAAGTCCCGCTTTTCAAGCTACCTGATGAATTAACCTGGTTTTTCTGCAATCATTTGTATGTTTCCTGTTTCCATCTTACTCCTATCTTTATATAACTTTTTATTTAAAATACTCTTGCAGAACTTAAAATAGAACTACCACACCAATTCCATTACTGGGTATATATCCAAAGGAAAATAAATCATTCTACCAAAAAGACACATGCACTTGTATTTTCACTGCAACAACGTTCACAATAGCACAGACGTGGAATCAACTTAGGTGCTCATTAATGGTGGATTGGACAAAGAAAATGTGGTACATATACGTGATAGAATACTACACAGCCATAAAAAGAATGAAATCATGTCCTTTGCAGCCACATCTGTGCAGCTGGAGGTCATTATCCCAAGCAAATTAATTCAGGGACAGAAAACCAAATGCATGTTCTCACTTAAAACTGGAAGCTCAGCATTGAATACACATGGACATAAAGATGGGAACAACAGACGCTGGGGGCTGCTGGGGAGGAGGGAAGGAGGGGCATGTGAACTTAAAAACTACCTACTGGGTACTGTGCTCAGTACCCGGGTGACGGGGCCACCCATACCCCAGGCCACAGCGTCATGCAATAGACCCACGTAACAAACCTGCACATGGACCTCCTGAATCCAGAATGTTTTTTTAAAGAATTTAAAAAATTAAAAAACCCTCTTGCACCTGGCCTCGGTCAGCACGCCAGGACTCAGGATAAGAGCAAGGAGTGGTGCCATTGCCCTCTGTGTGCTGTAGAGAGAGAATGACCACGGCAGGGCCTGAGTGTGTCTTGAGTGGACCGCGTAGAGATGGTTTATTGTGAGCTGTTAGGACTGAGAGTCCTTTTAAAGATCCTGCGTGGCTGCTCTTTGTGGGTCGGCGTTCCCTTTGAAATGGATTTGCTGCATCTGACACACCTTCACATGCGTGAGGAGCTCTTTCTTCTCTCTGAATGCTCTATTAACTATTTAAAAGTTCTCTCTAACTTTTTTCAAAACTGGGAAGTTCCATCTCTAACTTTTTTCAAAACTGGGAAGTTCCCAGACTGTTTCACCACGCAGCCAATGGACTCGAGGCTGCAAGCTTATGCCACCAGGCTCTGGAAGAGAACCTCGGTGTTTACGGTCACGACCCTGGCAGTCAATGGGAGTAAGTGCAGCAAAGGCCGGTGAGGCCGGAGCCACAGAGTCAGTGTGACAAAACCCATGGGGCTTTGCAGTGGCGAGCTCACTTTGTAAAAAGTCAGCTGCAGCCTGACCCAGGGGCACATTCTGCAGGGAGGCACCTGGATGCCTTCCTCAGCAGGAATTTATTCCTGGGTTTGCTGTTGATCTGTACTTTACATAGACAGCAGTACGTCTTCCTGCATCAGAACACGTGCGCTGGGTCTTCTGTCCTTTACGTAGAAAAAGATAAAAATCCCCCTGCAGACCCTGCCATCCTCTTCAACCTAGGTGCAGCAGTGGACCCTCTGTTTTCCCTGAGTTTGCACGAGGGTGCTGCCCGTCCCTGAATGTGCTTCATAACACGAGGTTCTGGAAGCTCTAACCAGAGGTGGTGAGCGCCTGCCCTGATGGAGTGCCCTTCTCGTGACAGGGCAGAGGAGCTGGATTTGTGCAGGGTCAGTGTTGTCTTTGAAATGGACTTTCTGCATCTGATGTGGCTTCCCACAGACCAAAGATCTCACCCTCCTGCCCTCCCTGCACCGGGCCATCCCTCCTGTCAGTGAAGGAGGGCTCCCGAGAGCTTCTGGGCACCCCGGGAACCCCAGGCACACTGTCCTCATGGTGTGGGGTGGGGCTGGGCATGCAGAGGAGCCTCTCCTTTCTCTTCCTTTCCTGTGCTCCGCTCCCTCTGACCACGCAGGGGCTCCCTGGGCCCAACCTCATGAGCTGCATTCCTGCATTTCCCCTGTTTTCTTCTTCAGCAGGCAGGGGTAGACCCGAACGTGCAGATTCAAGGGGAGCAGAGGACGTGGGAGCTGCTCTGTCTCACACCCTGCATGAGGGTAGAGACACGTGTGCCGTTGCTAGTGACGCGGGCTCCGTGTGGGCTATGTTCCTCTTTGCTTGTGTCCCCCAAGGACCCTCAGTGAGGGGTCACAGGCAGGAGGAAAGGGGGCCTTGCTGGTCCAGGTTCAGCCACCCTGGTCCCCTATCCCCAGGCCATATGACCAGTGGAGCGTGGAGGAGCTGTAAGCCCATAACTAGGGCTCTGCCACAGGGCAACAGGCAGGGAAAGCAGCCGGCAATGAGAGCTATGTGAGAACATCATCCTAGAGTCCTCAGGAGGGTTACTGTGAGGAAAGAGCTAAATACGTCACCAGCCACTTGTGTGGTTTCTGCAGAAATTGACAAAAGTAAACATCCCTTGGCTTAGCCAGCCTGAGAGGCCACCAGCCACCTTCCTAAACCAATATCTGTTTATTAGTGTTTGTTTTATAACATGCTTTCACTCTTTTCTTAGAATTAGTAATCGTTCATGTTTATGTTGGAAGTTTGAAATCGTTTCATTCTTCTTCTCAATATTTATTGGGTAGCTAATATATGGAAGACATTGTATCAGATATTCCAATTAGAGAACTGGAAAGAAAATTAGAATCCCTAATCAATCCCACCACTCAGATACACATATTTAATATCTGGGGACATTTTGGTTCTTTCTTGAATTTATATCTATGTAGGAGTTTTGCTATAAAATTAATAAAATTCTGAACATAGAATTTTGTGTTTAAAATGAAACTGAGTATTATAGTGTATGTTCTCGTGTTATTAAATATTATGAATGCATTTTATTTTATATATAATATTCTGTTGTTTGCCTTTATTAAGACAATATAGAAGATGTAAGGGTTTTATTCCCCCCACTGTTCTTCACTATAAATAATGCCAACATGGCACGTTTACACAGAAGTATTTGTCCCTGGCTCTGATTTTTTTCCAAAAATTCTAAAAAGGAAGTCAGTTGTTTCAAGATTATGATTTTTGATACAAATGCACCAGATTGCTTTCCAGAGGCCGTTCAAGCTGCGCTCACACTGGCATTTGTCAGCAAGTCGTCACCACGCTCAACGTGGCAAATGTTAGATATTTTTATTCTCAACATTTTAATTAACTAGATAGGCAAAAAAAAAAAAAAGTCTCTCACCTATCTAATTTTATTTCTTTGATTACTAATGAGACTACTTTAAAGAATATATTTCTTGGATTTTAAATTTCCCCCCATGTAACTGTGCATTTCATTCCTTTGACCACTGTTTATTTTGGAGTGCTAGAACGCGCATGTGCGTGCATTCATGCACACACACGCCCAAGCACACACTATTTTGTGGTTCTCAATATTTTCTGTTTGTCATTGGCTTTTTCATTTTGCTTACGAGCTTTTAAAGTTCAGACGTTTTTGTGTAGCTAAATCATTGTCTTTCTGCTGTTGCTTTTAGGGTGAGTTCTTTGCTGTTCGGGAAGCAGCAACCTCTTTGCTGGTCTTTCTTCTAGTTCTCTGTGTTGTGTGTGTCAGCGTTTAACCTTAAGCCGATAGAAGATGTTTTGGTATCTGATGGCAACTGGAGAAGGACTCGATTTTTCACCTGATGAATTTCATGGCAGTTTCCCCGGTATCCCTTATGGGTTGGTCCCGCGCTTACTGTTTCCTGTGTGGAGTGCTTCGGTCTCCCAGGCCTGCTGGGCATGCGGGGCCGGCCTCATCGGTCCTGGGGTGCGTCCTCACCGCACTGTTGTGACAGTGCAGATTCACAGCATGGTTTAGCATCTGGCAGTGCGACTTCTCTCTCACGCCTTTATTTTCCCAGAATTCCTATGCTATTCTTTATTATTTCGTGTAAAGTTTAGAAAAAGTTTGCCATTTTTAAATTCCTAAAAAGGCCTCTTAAAATTTGGATTTAAACTGGGTTAAACACTATTACAGTGAAGAGAATTAACATACTCAGTCTTCCCAGCCTACCTGTCTACTTATTCAGATCTACCTTTGTGTCTCTGTAATGTTTCCCTTTGCTTTTCTGTATACCCTTTAGTTGTTATTTTTAATATTTTAATATTCACTATTAAATATTTAGGAGTAAATCTTTGAATGTTGTCTGGTTTCCCTGTGGCACTCACTGTCATGCTAATTTTGATTTATAAGCATGGAATTTATGTGTGTATTTCTTTTTGTATCTAAACCCTGTATTATTAGATCTGCTGTATTTATTTTAGTTTATGCTGAATATACAAGCATACTGCCTTAGAGCTATATTTGTAGTTCTTATTTCTATTTCTGTGCTTACTTCATTTGCTGAAATGTCCAAGAGTTTTAAGTATTGGTGGCAATTTCTTATATCCTAAGTTTAAGGGTTTTTGTTTTTGCAGGTGAAACACATGAAACAGAAATCAATGCGTTGTCATTGGTGACCCTAACATCTGACTGTGGGGAGTGGGTGCAGCTGTCAGAAACAGCTTCGGGGCATGCAGGACAGTGGAAGGGGAGCCAGGGCCCATTGCTGACCCATCTTGTGCCTCTCTTTGAGGAGGCGGTGACTGCCCATGTTTCTCCATACCGGGGTGCTGCCATTTTTCAGTGCTGCTCCCCGAGGGTCTGGAGCTATGGCAGGAAGCTCCTGGGTCTGAGACCACGTAGTTGCTGTTACACCCTTGGGGTTGCTGCAAGAGGTGACAGGTACTCAGTAGGCTTCTTTTGTGGGAACGTGTCCCTTTGTCACCCTCATACTGGACAGCCTCTCCCTTGGATTTATATGTGTGACTTGCTGAACTTTCTTTCAAGTGATAATTGTCTAGACAGTACTTTAGTTCAGAGTTTTAAGACCTGCAAAGTGAAAATAAGACATCTCTTCTGTGAATCTTGTGATCCTCAGCGCAATGGCAGGGGTTGAAAGTACAGAGTGAGGCTTTTCTCCTGGGACTGTAGAATTGGGATGTAAGTTTCAGTGCTGGCCAGCAGTCCTGAAGGACGAGGGGAAGACGCTTTGCAAGGAATCGGCACCAAGTCAGTACAGGGAGATGTCCTATTCCCGAGGGGGGTGTCCTTTGAGAAGTGTTCTGCCATCCTTGCTGTCCCGAATCACCGTGCAGAGTAAGTATAGTTCCCAGAGGGATCACAAGGACACAGAAGTCCACAGCTCCCAAGGTGACCTTGTCTGTGGTCCGTGCAGCAGCCTACGATGTGGCCCCTGCCCATAGAGGAGTCCTGGGAGTGACCAGAAAGACCCCTCATGAGAGCAGGTCCAGGGAGAAGGCAAGAGGGTGGTGAGAATGCCTGGCCTGGAGATTTCCAGGGCGGCCCCAGCAGGGACCCAGCGAGGGCAGAGGCATCCGATGACAGGCCAGGGCCTTTCCCAAACCACCCAGAAGGTTCTTCTACAGAAAGAGACACATACCATGCAAACATCTGAGATGCTGCAAGGGAGCCGAATGAAATGGGAGTAAACATCACTTGGAAAGCGGCCAGGGCAGGAACAGCGCTAACCTCACGTGACGCCCAGCCCTCGGTGCCTCCCTGTGGAGAGGTCGCTCAGAAGAAAACCCGCCATGGAAGACGGGAGGAGCAGAATGGGCCAAACCAGGGCCAGTCTCAAGGCCCCTGCGGGGTCTCAGCCCCTGTGGGTTGAAGATTGTGCCAGTCCTTGGGGAGGAATCCAATGGAAAGGGAATAATTATACGGGACATGCTTGTGTCTGTACCCATTAACTTAGAGTAAACTTGCATTTTTTTACTTACAGACTTGTTTTTTTCCCAATACCCTTCTTTGTTATTAAATCCAGAATATAATCTTTTGTATACGTTTATTAATGTAAGCTTAATTTTTAATACACTTTCAACTACAGTATTTGGTAAAAGAGGAAAAAAAAGTACTTGTTCAAAATCATGAAATCAGGAAGAAGCAGAGTCTAGATTGATACCCAGATTTTCTGATTTAAAATATCACATTATTTGCACAAAACGCACTTGTGATTTGCATGTTTGTTTTCTAGTTTCAGTAATTATGCCACATACATTCAGAGATGGCTTTGGGCCTGTGCTGGTCACTAGCTATGCAGGGACAAGCACAGTCACCTCCAGGGCAGGGCTCTGCCTGGTTAGTGGGGTCTCCGAAGTCTTATGTGTTTCAGCCCCAAAACATGGTAGCCAGTAAAAAATTTTGCTTTTTTTTTTTTTTTTTTTTTTTTTTTTTTTTTTTTTTTTCTGAGATGGAGTTTTGCTCTTGTTGTGCAGGCTTAGAGTGCGATGGCGCAATCTCGGCTCTCCGCAACCTCTGCCTCCCAGGTTCAAGCAATTCTCCTGCCTCAAGCCTCCTGAGTAGCTGGGACTACAGGTGCCTGCCACCACGACCGGCTAATTTTTTTTGTATCTTTAGTAGAGACAGAGTTTTGCCATGTTGGCCAGGCTGGTCTCGAATTCCTGATCTCAGGTGATCCGCCTGCCTAAGCCTCCCAAAGTGCTGGGATAATAGGCGTGAGTCACCGCGCCTGGCCAAGTAATAGATTTTGGATTCAATTTTCTTTTAATGCAGTCCTCTGAGAACAGGCTTTCTTAACATGGCTTCTGTGGATGGGTCTCAGGAATTCCAGACAGTCTGTGACAGATTTTATGTGGATGTGCATGTGTGTGTTTTTCCAGGAAGAAAATGCCAAGATTTCATGAAATTCTTAAAGATTCCTGTCACCCCAAGAAAGCTGAGGCCTGTGGTGGGCATCCAGTGTCCCCTTTTCTCTTGGTTACGAGAGCAGGATGTCCAAGGGCCGATTCTGGGGCTGGCGGTGGAGGTATTTCCTCTTCCATCCTAGACCTGAGACAGGATGTTTCCCAGGAGGAGGAGCTGCCAGGCGCAGAGGCTGCACTGGCGTGCCCTTGGACTTTGGTGGTGTGCTCTTTCCCCAGGTGAGCTGGCTTTTAGATTCAGAGGGAAATAGGTTTCTCTAATCCATTTTTCTGACAGGCCCTTGGGAAACGTAAGCTTAGCACGGATCGCTGGGGAGAGATGGAACCTCTTGTCTCCTGCTGGTCTAGGTAATTCAGCTCGTTCCATGGGAAGGGCATGGGTTTCCTCCGAACAGGTTTTCCAGTTTAGACTGAGGGCCGAGCATGTGCTGTGATTTATCTCAATCCCAGCTCTGTTCGAAACCCCAGCTCAGTTCAGTGATACAGTGAAATGCACATTGGGCTATAAGCAAACCAGTCCGCTGCCGATTTACTACTCTCTGTTTTAAGCTAGTCCCCTGGGCAAACATTTTTCTTAGAAACCTGGTACCGTGATGTGTTGTCATGTGCCCATAGTTAATCTGTCCATGTCTACTTCTTATGTTAAATTAGATCCCTGGGAAATTAATCAAAACTTTGGGTGTTTGCTCCTCCCTGACAGCTGCTCTCACGTGGCCACTCATTTTTCCTTCTGGTTTTTTAGTGACTCACGTGAACCTCTGGGTTACTGTCTCCCTATTAACCATGGGTGTGTAGGGATGTGTGGAAAGTGAATCACAAGGTTGAGTCGAAGTATGTGGTCTGCATGGGAGGACAGGCAGGGCTGCAGGCTCACGGCCAAGCACATGTCAAGGATTTGGATTTCTCAAATCCCACTTAGGAAAGAACATCCGATTTGCCACCATGGATGTGACTCATGGCCGATTAAAGGGTGCTTTTGTGGGTAGCAAGCAGGGTGTTCTGCGGAAGGGCAGCGAAGGCCTCTGTGTTTGTGATGTCTTCCTGGGTTACCTCAGTGGCTCATCATGGATTGTTTTTTGCCATTAATTCATGTGACCCATTCTGGAAGCTGTTTTCAGCGTATTTGCAACTCTTTGGGCTAAGAAGCTCCTTTAGTTCACATTTGCACCTGCGACGATGTAATGTAGGGTTTATGGAAGTCACTGTGTCCGAGGGAAAATCCCTGTTGCCAGCTCTGCTTTCTGTGATCCTGCCACAGGCACAGAACAGTGTGGGAGATGAGACCTTCAGCTTTGCGTGGGCTGTGTGATCTCCAGCCAATCACCCAGCTTCCCTGAGCCTGTCAGGTGCAGGAGTGGGGCTGTCAGGGACTGGCTCAGAGCTCATCCCCGCCCCTCTAGCAAGGGTAGCTCCTGGCTGAGAGACCTCAGGGCCAGGAGTGGACAGAATTGCTTCCCTTAAGAGGCTTGGGGAGATTCCAGGCAAGGGTGGGGAGGTGTGAGAGACCCATGGGCCTGTGCAAGACAGGCTCCGCAGACCCAGCATGGACTTCCAGGGACCATAGCATCGCATGGAGCTTGGGAGAGGGCCACCCCCTGCACCTGTGCAGAGCTCTGCTGCCTGGAAGCCTGAGCCTGGTGCTTCAGAATCATCTGGAGACAGAACCTCTGGTGATGTGGTGGATGGGCAGACCTGTGGCACCAACAGTGAGGTTATTGAGGTGACTGAGGTGGTAGCCATCCATCCCTCATTCAGACATGGCTGGCAGGGCTCAGGTGTCCCTGCCTGATACACTGCCTACGCCTGTGAAGGGGCCCTTTGGAGATGCCAAGGAGCAGCCTGGGATTTCCAGGCATGTTCTGGCATATTCTGGCAAGGACACCGATGTAGGCTCTTCCCCATGTGGTACAATCATGAAGAGGAACATGGCCTCCCCTGCAGTAGCAGCCTGCGCCCAGCCAAGGCCATCACGTCCCAGGAGCCCGGGAGTAGGTCTGTTCCCTTTCTGTACACCCTAGGATGTTCCCTGCTGTCACACACCTCACACTGAACTTTGAAGATTAATTCCTACATTTTCATCTAGGTTTCCATGACACTCTTCCCATTCTTTATTTCTATCCCAAGTTTCATGTGTCTCTTCTCCTGAAAAGTGGTTATCAGAACCACATGGCAGTTGTCCACGAAGATGGGAAGATGCTTTTTGTTTTGTTAGAAATGTCCTCCTGTGATGTCGCTGCCTGGCAGTGCTGGCTGCAGTAGCTCCTAGGCGTAGTGTCTCCTGAAATGGCCAGCGGTGACCTCTGCATCCATGTGGAGTCCCGAGTGCTAGCTGATAGCTCGGTCACACTGTCTTCCAGGCCATCGGCCGTCCTGTTGGCCCACACAGGAGCACCCCTCCCCAGCCACAGGCCCCAGGTCCAGGCTCTGTCCAGTATCAGGCTGAGCCCCACTGGCCCAACAGCTAGCTCACTGGCCCCCGGTGTCCAAGACCGAGTCAAGTCCACACTGGGATTGGCTGAGTCTGCCACAGGACCTCGGCACCACTGAAGAGTGTGGGGTTGGCTGCAAGTGAGGCGGTCACTGCCCAGACATGGACCACATGGTTCTTGTGGGGACAGCTGTTCCCTAGCGTGGATGGCACTGTAGGCAGAGGCAGCCGGGGCCCAGGCCAGCCACACCAGCAAAGCCTGCAGCCAGGTGCCAGGGAGGGCGGACCCCTGCATCCCAGCACAGGCTTTGGATCCCGGGGTCTGATGAGCTCAGTCAGTCCCGAGGGAAGCTGGAGAAATGGCTGAAGCACACCGCAGAAGAACAAGCTCAGGGCTTCGTTAAAGCCAGCCCCCACCGCCTCGCTGTCAGCACCATCTCAGCTTAAACAACGGGCCTCTCTCCAGTGTGAGTTTAATGGTTTGGAATTGGCGGTGACTTAAATCACTTGGGATGGGGAAAAGTTGGAGAGCCTCTGGTTGCATAGCAGAGGCCGAGCACTGGCCCCAGCCTGCTCTTTTCTCCCAGGAATTTCAAGCCAGACTCAACAGGAAGATGCAGGAGTGACTTTCAGCCCAGCCATCTCCACTTCGCCAAGTGGCTCTTGGTGTCTGCCTTATTCCCTCCTGGCTGTAGACTCTGAATGGGGAACCACGTGAACACCTCATAAGGGTAATTAAAATGACCATTTTAAAAACACATTCATGGCCCACAGATGACGGCTCAGACATATAAGGGATCACATGTCCTAAAGCTCCTGCCCGCTCCCTGAAGCACAGGGCCCTTGAAATGGGATCTGGCCACTGAGGATGCTTCCTGAGGACTCTCAGAAAGGTGATGCTGCCGCAGGGACACGCTGCAGCCCTCGACCTTGATCCGTGGCTCGGGAGGATGAGCAAGGACTTTCCCCCATAGAAAGTTCCCAGTTTTTCTAGACTGCGTTATTTGTGTATTTGGAAAACAGCTGTTTTTACAGCGTCTGAATGAGAGCTCCTACAACAGAAATAGTCAAAAAGCTTCACATTAAAGAGCAAGTGCAAGATAGATGCCTAGAAGAGGGCCCTAGAAAAGGGAAATTCAGACTGAAATCTGTCAACTGTCATTGTCATTTGCTTCAGAAACTCTTTAACATTGGAGATGAGAAAGAGAATAAAGGGGAGGCGTGGGGCGGACAGGGAATGTCTTCAGGGTAATTTGGAAGAGCGGCACAGAAGCTGCTTGTGAGTGGCAGGCCCTCTGCAGTGCAGAATGTTTAGGCTGAGGGGGAATCTGCCCCAGAGACTGGTGGGGAGAGGGAGGCCCCTCCAGTGTCCGACTGACACTGGGAACCCTGGAAACAGGTGGGCCGAGGCTGTAACTGCCAATTAGGCAGAAACGGTAAGGATTTGACACATGCGATGTTCTGGGCACTCTTGATCGAATGATGCGGGTGACAAGCTTGGAGTGAAGACACCTGGAGGAGGAAAGAACTATGAAAACTCAGCCTCACTGCTTCACAAAATGGATTTTGCATTTTCCCGGGAAATGTTAATAGGCCGCTTCTCTAAGTAAATATATTCCTGAGGAAACACAGAGCCTGGGACATAGTTTATTATCCACAGCAGGTTGTCCAGTATTTCTGCAAACTGTTCCTACTCAGTGAGCAAGGAACCGCAGTGCTGAAACATTGGCAGCGCTGACATCTGACATCTGCCATTTCTTCATGCTGAGACACGGAGTAATCGTCTCCTCTTTCCTGCCACGTCCAGCTGCGTGTTGAAAGCCCGTAATTTACAAATAGGTAAAGCTCATTTGTAAATGGATGGCAAACATGAGAAACTTTTTTTTCATGCAAACAATATTATAAGCACTGATATAGATATGAAAATCATATACATCTTACAAACAATACCCTAAAGGTCCAGCCCATAAAAGCTGAGTTACTTATCAATTGCTGAAATATTTAAATTGGCTTAAATATTTTCTTCATAAAATCCATCAATGTCTTTAAGCAGATACCTTGCCCACAAGATCTGCCTGGGGTGGGAGGTCTTGGCTCCCTCTGGCTGGAGTTGGGGGCTACCCTGTGTGGAGGGGAGAGGGCGGGTGGGGGTGAGTCTGGTGACTGGTCAGCCGCTCAGATGGAGTGGGGGCAGGCACAGCACTCAGGAGGCTGAGGCTGGGCATCTGGGGGAGCCGCAGCCCCTGGGGGTGGCAGGGGGCATCTGTCACCAGGAGGAAGGAAGAGGCGGTTCTGTGCAGGAAGAGGGATCCCACCGCTGGCGGCGAGCCCAGGAGACTGGGAGGAAAAGCCGGGAACAGGTGAGCTGCGGAAAAGAAGGAACAGAGGCTGATTCCGGGTTGGCCCCCGCTCCTCCGAGTGCTTCCCGCTGGGGCCTCTCCCAGCTCCACCCCATCCCACCGGAGGATGCCTTCTCCATCTTCCTTCTCCAGAGACACAGACGTGGCGGTGTCTCCACTACCCCGGAAAAGCCACCAGGACCCCTTGTTGTCTCCAGAATAAACTTCGTCCACTCCCACCCTCCAGTCATTGCAGGCTGGATCTCTTCCACACACTGGAAGGGACTCCAAGGACTAAAAGCTAGAAGAGCTTGTGTTTCCCACACTCAGGACCCTCTGGACTCCTGTTGTGACTTGGATGTTACCTTTTGCGCTGTTCCTCGGTCTGGCTCGGCCGCCTTCTCAGTCTGTCCCGCCGGGGCGCCTGTCCTTGTACCCCTGCTTCTGCCCCAGTCATCCTGCCCACACATCCCAGGCCCCCTGCACCCCCAACTTCTGGAAGTCCAAGTAGCCTTCAGGGCTCAACTAAGACACCTCGTCTGCAAAGCCCCCAGCCCCCATCGTGGCCATGCTGTCCCATCCACCAGCTCAGCATCTTGGATTAACTTGGTGTGTCCCACCTGGAGACTTCCAGCACCTGGGATAAACCTCTTCTGAGGCTGTTTCTTGGAATGTTGGAAGGTTATGGGTAACGGGTTTGTCTTTCCCGCCAGGTTGAGCCTGAGGCAGAGAAAGGGTCATACTTTGACATACTCAAGGCTTAGTAGCAGCCGGGCTCTTAGTAGGTGCTTAGGACCAGTTTGGGAATGAATTTTATTGTGCTTGGCAGTCTACCTATTTAGTTTATTCCTTTGTCACCAGAGTCTGAACTCCTTGAGGGCAGGGATTATAAATTTTCATGTTTCTCTCAACAGAGAGCCAGAGATGGTCATTACATTCATTGATTCTACGTGTGCTATGTATGTATGCACATAGAAATGCATACTTAGAGACTTGTATGTATACATGGGTGATACTAACAATAATATAAATAATAGGTAGTGTCTGATCACCAACACTGGTTAATGCCATCTCTGCATTAACTCCACGAGGTAGGTACTGTGATCACGCCATTTTACAGAGGCCCAGGAGACTAAGCAGCTCTCCTAGAGATGCAAAGTGAGTAAGTGGTGCTGCTTGGAGTGTGCCTCTCAGATGGTGGATTTTGCTTTGAAATCTATTTGCCTCAAGCTGCGTGTCCTGTATCCTGTAGGAAGTCTAATTCCTTCTCTAAGGACTCTGAAAATATCCAGGGCTTATAGTTTCGGGTGACTGTGTTCCTCCCTCCCCAGATCTCTAAACATGAGCCAGCAATGCCTCCCTCTCCGCCTGCTTTGAAGATTGAATGACATAATGTTTGCAAAATGCTTTGCACAGTGCCTGACATATGCGTGCTCAGTACGCCCTCACTTTTATGACCTTGGCTTCTGGTGGCCGCTCTCTCCTCCCTCATGCTGTTTGGTATGAAAGCCAGTTGCTTCTCTGTGATTGCTCCAGAGCCTCCCTCTCAAAAATCTCTGTGTAAACCAGGCTTGTCCAACCCGCAGCCCATCGTCTTCTTCTTCTTCCAATTCTTCTTCTTCCAGTGTGGCCCAGGAAAGCCAAAAGATTGGACACTCCTGGTGTAAACAGACTTTTCCAAGGCTTTGGGGCAGGGTACATGTCAACTGTGACTACAACTTGAAAGCAAGAGTCAAGCAGCCTAGTTCCTAATACCCCTTCAGCCGTCTTGCCTGCTAGAAACTGTCACAGGTAAGCACTGACCCAGGACTCCCCCCACAGAGTCAAGCAGATGAGAGAGTCGAGGGTGACTCCCAGAGTGGGCTCAGCAATGGGGAGGGGGTGGCAGTAGGGGCACAGAGCAGCAGTCAACGATGAACCATGCTCAACAGATTTTCTTCTTTATAGGAGGGAGGGAACCCATTGGCGGGGAACGAGCAGGCCTGGGAAGGGGGACAAGCTGAAGAATGGTGGAGGGGAGGAAGGAGCAAGACCAAGTGTTCAGGGTATCGGGGACAAAGCAGGGACCTTGAGCTGGGCACAGGGTCTCATCCTCCAAGGATGGAGGGAAGGTCTTGAAATGGGTGGAGATGACAACACATTTGCAGGTCAGGGCTCCTGCCCGCTGGCCTTCCAGGGTCTCCTGAATGAGGTGTGTAGGGCTCCAGGGGGAGTGTGTGTGCACAAGTGCACCCAGGAAACACACCTCCAACATGGAGGAAGGTCGTTTATATGATTGTTCTTGCTACTGGAAACAGCCCTGAGTTTTTTGTTTTAATGGTGGATAAGTTGAACGCTTTTCTCTGATCAATACTTGCAAAAAGCTTGCTTTATTTAGTAGGGGTGTGGATTACCAATGCACATATGAGTGAATGGGATTAGTCTCAGGGAAAAAAAAAAACACCATGTTGGGCTAAGAAATACGCCCCAAAAGGACCGTGGAATGAGCCACTTGCATGAGAATAAGTGACCATTGATAGCATTTCTTTTGGTGTATGCTTGGGGAAGCGTTAGGGAAGAATAAAAGAAAAAGCAAGAGTGTTGTAAGAGGGGTGCAGATTCAGGGGTAGGAAGCCAGTCCTCCTGTTCACTTGGTCACGTTGCACCTGCATCCTCTGCCCAGGCCACCCCCTCCACCTGCTGGTGCCTGCCCTCCCTCCCCTCCCACCAAGCGGGGCCTTGGAGTTTCGCGACCACCCCATTTCTCTTTTTTCTGCTGTGATTTCCCGTCACAATGGGTGTGTGTTTTGTGATTTTCCTTCCTCAGAAGCCCCCTAAGCATATTAAGACCCTGGTCTCCTCTGAATTCTGATCACATATCTTAAGCGAAATGTATGGAATGTGTCATTGTTCTTTATGCTGCATTCTGGCACTGTGCTTGAGAACATTCACTGTCAGGAAAACAATTGTAAGCCTCATTGGAATGATAATTTATCTTCATGTCTGCCTTCATTGTGTTTGGTTATTATTTATTGTATTGCAAGGTACTTGTTAAGACCTTAAAAGAAATATGAAGACTAGTTGTTCTTTGAAATAAAAACCAGTATTTCATGTAAGCGCATTGAAATATGTGCTTGGAATCCCAGGAACTGGGCCCATTGGTGATAGAACCCTTCCCCTGCAGAACACAGAGGGCCAGAAATGCATGCCCAGCTTATTCATTGGTGGCTTCTTTCCATGGCCTATGAGCAGTAGGTGTGGTCTGGTGTGTCTGCTGTGTCTGGTACTGTCCTGACAGTGTGTGGTATGAGATGCCCACTAGACTCACATCTCAGTCTAAATCATGCTGATTTTGATGTCATAGTGCTAGTGTCAGGGAAGGTCATGCGGTTTGCATCTTTGTAAGTTCACATGTGTATGTTTTCCTGGTTTCTTCTTAAATGCCATTAGAAGAAAGGTGCTGAGAGTTCTTGTAAAAATGTGGATCTTTAGTTGTGGCATAGATTTTTCTCTTTTTGGTAACATTTTAAGAGGCCTCTTGATATTTGTCTGGGGATAACTTGACTTTCTTGTAATATATCTCTATTATTTCCTTAGGTTGCCTAGACTTTTCTGTACATCTAATATATGGTATAACATGTTATTAAAACTTTTTTTTAATAACACAGACATAAAAACACAAAAGCTGATTTTTCTTTCATTCAACAAAGGTGACAGTGAAACTCTAAGGCCAGACCATATTACTCAATTCGGATTCTGGATAGGGGAGAGTTTAGGAGGCCCTGCTTATCGTTTTTACTCATACAAGTTACTGAAACTTACTCACCAGTCCACTGGGGATGTCTTTGGACATATGATACAGTAATTTACAGCATGGTCATTATTAACTAATCCTTAATAAGAGAAGCATTCATCACTTAGCATGGTGGTTTCTGCCTCATTTGGCTTGGCTCTGATGTGATGATTTTGGCATTCAGGAAGTGTCGGAAGGTTTGCGTGTTTGGCTGGTGCACACTTGAAGGATGAGGCAACACTGACAAAATTCGTATGTCATGCATCCTACCCATGTATTTTCTCCTGTTACATGCCTCTATCCCTGTGCATTGAGAAAGAAAATGCAGAACTCTTTTCCTCTACTGAATCCCTTCCCACACTGCCCACTACAGAATGATACGGTAGTTCTGGTGTGTCATATTCCATGTCTCTTTTCCTCTACTGAATCCTTGCCCACACTGCCCACTACAGAATGATACAGTAGTTCCGGTGTGTCATATTCCAGGTCCAAAGCCTCCTTCTTAACCCAGATCTAATCCTCATGAAGAGATGGAGCATAGCAAGTTTATGAATATCAGGAGCCCACATGCCTTTATTTTAAATGGCAAAAAATTACATTTTCCTAGCTCAACCCACTCAAAAGCACAAAACCACAAAATACACAAATACACAAAAACTCTGAAACTCCAATATAATCTTTCAAGAATTTCTGCCTCACATAAAGCACTTGAAACACCAAATGTTTCCTCAAGACTGAATTTACCTTCATAGCAAGGATGTCAGAGCTTGTGTGTCATCATGGGTTCACGTGTCCAGCCAGCACTTGTGATGCTCCGTGACTGTAGACTTTCTCCACGGTGTGGGCTTTATTAGGCCTCTCGGATCCCTCACTACTTCTCACGGTTTGCCACTTTCCTGGAAAACCTTTTCCGTTAACAGCATGGGGCCACCAACAGTGATGTTATAAGCACATTTACCGCCCCACTTATGGTCGCCATCCTGTTGGAGAATGGCTGAGACACCGCTTGCCTCTCACCCTCCCCCTGCCCCAGCCCAGCCTTGAGTGTTGCCCTGGGCACACACTGCTTGGGATGCAGATTAATGTCATGTGTCAACTTGGCCACACATGCACAGATATTTAGTTAACCCTTATTCTGGGTATGTCTGTGAGGGTGTTTGTGGATGGTTTTAACATCTGAGTCACTGGACTGAGTGAGGCAGTTGCCCCCTAGATACGGGTAGGCCTCCTCCACCAGCCAAAGTCTGAACAGAGCAAAGGGGCTGGCCCTGTCCCAAGGAAGAGGGACGCCTCCTGCCTGACAGCTTGAGCTGTGACATTGGTGTTTTCCTGCCTTTGGACTTGAACTAAAACATCAGTTCTTCCTGGGTCTCTAGCCTGCTAACTGGAGACCTTGGGACTCGTCAGCTTCTATATGTGTGGGGGCTGATTCATTCTCTCTCTCTCTCTCTCTCTCCCCACATACATAGATGTAATACACACATACACATCTTTATATATACATACATATATATGTACACACCCCTATATATATACACATACAAATCTATAGACACATACATACACACCTATATATACACATACATACACACCTATATATACACATACATATATACACACACACACACACCCCTCTGTATATACATATACATCTCTATACACACCCACACCCACACACATACACACATATCACCTACTGGTTTTGTTTTTCTGAAGAACCCTGACATACACTGGTGTAACAGGCTTTCTATTTGGATGGTGAACTGGGGCTAAAATGTTTTGCAAGTTGTTATGGAAAATATTAGGATAGTGAGGGTTCACAGAGTGAGGAAAGTCTGTATATAGAGACTAGAAGGATTTCGAGTTTCATTTTGAACTCTGGATATTTGCCTGGGAATAACAACTTTCTTGTAATTTATCTGTATTATTTCTGTAAGTTGCCTGGACTTTTCTATATATCTATTATGTGGTATAATACTTCATTAAAACATTTTTTAATAACAGACACAAAAACACAAAAGCTGATTTTTCTGTCATTTGACAAAGGTGCCAGAGAAACTCTAAGGCCAGACCATATCACTCAATTAGGATTATGGGAAGGGAAGATATTAGCATAATTCAATCCATTCATTTCTCTCAATCCCTGTAAACAGAACTTCAGGTTAATTTGGGTTGAGGCACAGCTCAGTGGGAGAACAGTTCATTTTCAGAGTGACCCCGGCCACCTGACCATTGAGTCTGTGGGGGACGTGGTGGCCAGGACCGTGTTTATGTCGATTTAGGTTTTGGGCGTCTTCCCTGCGGGCTGTTCTTGGGAAGCATGCTCCGCGCCCACGGTCCTCACCCCGGCAGGAGCTACCCTCTGCGCACTCAGGCTGCAGCTGCCTCTGCCTGTTGGCTGGGTGGGAACTGCCTGCCGTAGATCAGGGAGGAACTTAGCAGAGAGGGGGAGGGCATGTTCTACTTTGTGCCCTCTTGTTCAGCACAGCCACTTGGCACTGGGTAACAGGAAGAGAAAACGTGTTTGGCGAGGCGGGATGTGATGAGTCAGCCCCGGCTAATGCCCCGTGGTCTGGTTGCTGGCATGCAGGTTTCTTGGCACTTGCCTGAGAACTCGTGGACTTGGCCAGAACACTGGACACCAGCTACACACTGAGTCCACGCCCAGCATACCAGCCTCTAGCGGGCTTCTAAATCTGCCTGGGTGAAACAATAGAAAATGTTCATTAGGGGATTGTACTTTTACAAAGACTGCCCTGACAAGTTTTTTTTGTTGTGTTTTGTTTGGGTTTCTGGTGGAGCTTACTGGAAGGCTGTGGGTGGCCTACCTAGAATAACGACGCCCGATTCAGACAGCTGGACTCAGAGGGATTCTGCTCCACAGAGAAACAGTAACATTACATTCTCTTTGGGGTTTTATTATTGTGGTGGGAAAGGAAGGTTTGTATTATGTCCTGTGTTCCTTTGGGTGTGCCAGTTGCCCACCTCTGTACTCTTGAGTCTATTCCAGCATGACTTGGTCATCTTCATTCCTATAGGTTAGTGGTGGGATTCTGCTGTCTTCTCAGGAGTAAGTGGTTCCCAACCACAACCCACTCACATAATTCACTTTCTTCTGTGATGAAGGGTTAGTGTGCTTACAAGGCCAGTTGACTCAGAGGTGGAGATTAACATGGGTATCTTTCAGTGGCTATGGGAATGACCATTTCTAACATGTCAGGTAGTAGGGGGAAAAGTCATTAGGGACTTACAAGCCAAGAAAAATGAAAATGTAGTAACATCTACAGTCAGTCGCCTGTGGAGCTGAGGAGTTGGTGTGAGTGAATTTGCACCCAGTGGGTGAGGCTCTGTCTGAACCCGAGCAGAGAACCCCAACAGGTAGGGCCTGGAACAAGGACTCTTGCACAGGAGAGAGCCACCTGATTTCCTGCCCATCCAGGACTTTGCAGAAGAGAGAAAGAGGGTCCAGGAACAGGCTATTCACTGCTCCCCAAAGACCAGCTCCAGATAAGTGCATATGGATAACCCCTGGATTACAGGAGAAATAATCAGAAATTGCATCTTCTTACCCCAGGGCTTCTAGCCGTGGCCCTTTCACTCCAGTCCTGAGCTCACTGCCCCAACTGTTTTCCCCCAGATACCCCACTTAGCAACTGTCACTCTAGGATTCCCCATCACCTCCACCCTGGGCCATCCTTCCTAGAGCAGCATCCTCTAGTCTCCTTCCTTTTCCCCACAGTCTGCCTAAAGTATATTTTTACCTATAAGTGAGGTGACAGCAGCCCACCTCTCTGATGACGCCCAGATGAAGGACCTATCTGGGTAGGGAGAAGGATGCTCTTGTTCCATGATGATTCTGTGTCACCTTTCAGAATGATGAAACCTCAAACATGAAAGGTGACTGGGAAATGTAAGCGTAATAGGTTCTTTGCCCGATGCACACAGGAGTCAGTACACCGAGATACTGGGTTGCAGCAGAGAAAGAGGCTCAATCGTAGCATCCCTGAACGAGGCGATGGGAGAAAACCTCAAATCCACCTCCCCGAGGAATTTGGGCTCAGGATTGTGGCTTTTGGAGTGGCTGCAGCGTGGAGATTGTTGATTTGTGGAAGAGTACAGGGTGACTTCGTGGGACAGGGAGAGGAAGAAGCTATATTCTACACCAATGCCATTCCTCTGTGGGGGTCTTCAAACTGGTTGCTGGAATTCAGGGTCTGAAAAACATCTTAAGTGATCCTTAAACAAAAGCTTTATGGCTCCAAGGTCGGAGAGCCCAGAACAATAGGGGTGCAGGTGGTCAGTGTCTAGAGCTATGTGACTTTTCACAACAAGGAAGTGGGCCAGAGTGCGGCCTGATGAATGCTGCTTAGAACTGTATTCCTGTCCAGAAGCCAGCGTGCAATTCTTCTCACCCCTGTCACTTATGAAGAGATGCACAAATAACCGTGACTTGGAGGAGTCCCTTTCCCATTGTAAAACCTACCACGTACCTGGGAAGAAAACAGATTTACCTGCTTAGGATGTATGTTCCTGGTTCAAGCTATTGCAGTGTCTTTGAGCCCAAATTGCTAGAGAAATCATCAATTTTTACATTGGGTTTAGGGAACTGATGTTTTCTGCTGTCGCTTGAACAGTATTCTAGCTCTGTAGAGAAAAAGTATAGAAGCAACAATTTCCTAAAGTCATCTCAAAATCAGGTTTTGTAAATTACCAATTGACCTTTGTAAAACTGGAGACATTTTTCATGCGGTGGGCAATCTCTGTATTTCTGACTTGCTGTGGAGTTGCTGGTCTGGGCAGTGTCTCCTCACATTGACATCAGAATTCTCATCATAAGTAGGCCTTTCCTAGGGATGGAAGGTCAGACTTGTTTGCTTAGAAAAAAACAAAAAAACAAAACCCTTTCAGACAGCAGGTTGGTTTTGCCCCCTGCTTTCAGGCTGCAGTGGAGGAGGATGGAGTCCTGTGCTGGAGTGGGACCCCCACCCCCCCATGGCCACCCGCGTGCCAGCCGCGAGTTCTCACATCGCATCAGACCTCGTGACTTAGGTTTTGTCCCTGAATGTTTCTCTCTGTCCCCACACAGGATGCACATCCGGAGCTGGGAAGAGGAATAGAAAGGGAACAGAAATTCCCGTGGGATTTTTATTCAGCCAGCAGCTTCTAGTTCCATGGTTAATTCTTCTTTGCATCCAATGTTTACAACAAAAGGAGGCAGGTTAAGCTTTATATCACATTCAGCTTCATAAAACTGGCCTGACAGTCTGGGAATATGTTAGTCTTAAGACTTGAAACAGAAGCTAAAATGCTCACGAACGAGCAAAATTTTGCAGATCTCTTACTTCTGGGAAAGGGGTAGCAGTCGCTTCTCAGGTCATCATTATTTGAAAAGCTCTAAGTCTAATAAGAAAAATATGTCACTCTGTGGGAAGAAGTAGCAGAAAGCTGAACTTACGAACTGCATCAGTTGCTTCAGTGATGGCAGCACCAAGAACTGCACTAGAAAATTCCAAATGTTCTTGCCTGGACAGACAGATAGACAGATACACACACAGGGTTTGGTGCAGTTTCCAGCCACTGCCTCGGGGTAGCCTGTAGGTGAGAGCTCCTTCTGAAATACGCATACTAGTTTCCCATGAACAGACTTTGACCTAACTGTGTATTTTTCAGCAGGGCTAAGTTCTGAATAAGATCCAAGAATACGGATGCAAATCTCGGTGGGGATTTGCGCTAATGTTCCAAAGCTGTCATTCTGAGAAAGAAGAGCAATTTGGAAACATTTGAAAACAGATGATAGTAGGCTGGCTTTCTTTTTTTAACGTATCAGCTTGTAATGGGTGCAGAAATTAGCCAAGTCTGTTTAAAGCAGTGCCCTGTGTTTGGCTCAGCAATGGTATCCTCTAACAATGGGATGAGCCGCACGTGTGATAATATGTGAGCATTGAGTCAGGGCTGACTGGCCCACGTCAGAGCCAGCAGAGAAAGAGGGCTGGCGGGGCGGGTCAGTGAGTTGTCTCTGAGTCCTTCCCACTCTGCCCAGTCAGTTTGCTACTTGGGAACACCACGAGTGGGTGCCTTTTTTTTTTTTTTTAAATGACTCCTGTTTCTTTCCCAAGCATTTTCTTGCATTAAGGAGTTTAAGGAAAAAAAAAAAAAAGTGGGACTAAACATGAGTAAGTGGAGGCTGGGCATGGTGGCTCACACCTATAACCCCAGCATTTTGGGAGTCCGTGGTGGGCAGACTGCTTGAGCTCAGGAGTTTGAGACCTGCCTGGGCAACATAGTGAGACCACCATCTCTACAAAAAAATACAAAGAAAATTAGCCGGGCATGGTGTCACTTACCTGTTGCCCCAGCTACTCGGGAGGCTGTGGTGGGGGATCTCTTGAGCCCAGGGAGGTCAAAGATGCAGCGAGGGGTGTTTGCACCACTGCACTCCAGCCCAGGCAACAGAGTGAGACCCTGTTTCAAAAATAAAAACAAAAACCAAAAATGAGTAAGTGGCTAAGACACATGCTGCCTCCAGGGTTTGAGTTGAGCCTACCTTGAGAATTTTACATTCAGCAATATTATATAAGTGTGTGTTCATATGCTAATGATAATAAACCATTCAGATGTCAAGCTGTTACTAAAACCTAGTAGATCAATGTCAAAGCTAGACTGCAGAATCCGTAGAGAGCCATTGCACACCTGTGGCCATTGCCAGGATACAGCCCACATTAGCCTCCAGGGACCAGCGTGGTTATCGGCCCATCCCTGCTATGCCACTGAAAAAGAGCTGGTCGTTTTTGTGCATAGGAAATGATAAACTTTTTACTTAGCAATTCGGAAATAGCATCCTCGATGCATGGGTTTCCTAACCAAGTTTCCAAATCCTTTTTTCTAAAATAAATAGTGGACTTTTTGGCATGTGACTGTGAGAGCTTCAGAAACCTTTTGGGATTGTCTCCTCCATCACTGAAGTCTCTCCCAGGCAAGGCGTGTGGTCCAGATGCAGAACAGGACACCTGCAGTTGGGGGATGTGGCCAAGGCATTTTACCAAACCTCAAGCTAGGGTAGATTTAAAAAAAAAACTTTTATAATACAATTTCTTTTGATCTTGAACACTTATATATTGTGCCAGTAATGGCTTCTGGAGTGTAGAAAGTTCTCAAGCCCACATCTTTCGCCACACAGAGGGATTGGCTGTCATCATGTGGGTGAGGCCATGCCACTGGGTGATTCTGCAGCCTGGCATTTGAGCAGGGCCTCCTGGGGACCGCCAAGCACCGCTCTAAACCATTTCACAAGTTTTCATCGATTCCTTGAACAAAGACTGAGGAAGGATGGTGCCAGACGCTTTGCGAGGTAGGAGGGGATAAGCAGGCATTAGTACAAAATGTGGCCTGTCCTGTGGGGGGTCAAAGACCTGTGAAATTGAGAATTGAGACTGTATTTAATCCATGCACAGCCCCTGAGTTCCCCTGTAAGTGTTCATGGGGTCAGGGAGCTGCTTTGGAGCAGCACTGGGTAACAAGGATCTCTAGGCGGGTGAAATCCACTAGGTGTGGGTCTTCAGCCTGTCAGTCTGTGCTGCTTGCGAATGACAATGGAAACGCTGATAGAATTAAGCTGTGTCGGAAGGCGGTCTGCAAGGGCATTGTGCTGTGTCAACGACTTCAGTTTGTCGCCTCACTTGAAATACCCTATCTGTGCCCAAGACTGTTCGGAAATCCGTAATTTGTAGCTCATATTGGCAAAGCCTACCGCATGTTTGCATTTCAGCAGTCAGCTTAATTCCATTCAAGTTATTGTTCTGTGCCAAGTCCTTCTTGCTCTCACCATTCTGCAGGCTCAGGGATGGAGGGTGATCAGGTGCCTGGTGGGCTGGTGAGGCCGTTTCTAAACTTTGCACCATATCTAATTTTTTTTTTAACAAAATGCTTCATAATCTTTTAGAATGCAATAACTAGGTTAGTTTAAAAAGAAAAGAAAGAAGGATGGCTATTTAATGAACTCCTTTGAATGAGGTTTTTGTCCAAAAGTTTCATCTTTTCAACAGTTTTGGAAACTGCTAAATGATGATCTGCACGTTACCTCTGACATCATTGAAACCTAATTCTGGAGTGTTGATTGTTTTTCGTAGGGCTTCCATTCGTAAGAATCGTCAGGATAGGAAATAGCACACAGAGCAGGGGCTGCCACATGCCACATGTCTTCTGAAACTCCACTGGCCACATTGGAAATCCTCTCTCAAGGAGATCCGGAATGATCTACTTTTAGCAGGAAACTGAAAAAGTAGTTAGGACCAGAGAGTATTGCAGAAGTAGTTCTCTTCCATTGCCCCAATTATCTCATTTATGCATTGGAGAATACCATTCACATTGAACCTTCCTTCAAAGATTAGGGGAGCATCAGTCCAACACACACATACATTACAAAAGAGATGGTCGCTGGTTTTGCTTGAGTTAATCCTAAGGACTTTGAAAGAAAAAAAAATTGAACCCTTCATATTTATGTCTAGAAAACTACTTAATGTAAAAGAAATAAATGTATCACACTTAACTCAGTTATCTAATTAGTGTTACAGAGAGTAGTACCTAATTTCACGTTCTTTTTTTTTTTTTTTTTGAGATAGAGTCCGGCTCTGTTGCCAGGCTGGAGTGTCGTGATCTCGGCTCACTGCAACCTCCGCCTCCCAGGTTCAAGCGATTCCGCTGCCTCAGCCTCCCGAGTAGCTGGGACTACAGGCGCCCGCCACCACGCCTGGCTAATTTTTTGTATTTTAGTAGAGACGGGGTTTCACCGTGTTAGCCAGGATGGTGTCGATCTCCTGACCTTGTGATCTGACCGCCTTGGCCTCCCAAAGTGCTGGGATTACAGGCGTGAGCCATCGCGCCCAACCCTAATTTCACTTTAAAACAAGTTCTTTTGTTTGTCAGTTTCCAGTAAATTGTTGCCACCCACCCCTAGAGACACCCACCTCCCAGGAAAAAATCTGTGAACTGCCTCCCTGACTGCCCGCAGTGCTGGGAAGTGCATGTTGCCGTCCATATTGCAGGCGTCCATGTTCGCCATCTGTACCCTGATTGGACATTCCATGTTCATGCACGGGAGGAATCTGTGTGTTGAGTATAAAAAATGTTAATAGCTTTAAAAATATTGAGTCCTTCTTTTTTTTTACCAATTAATAGGTTTATTCTTTGATCCAGAAATGATATCCAAATTGTTTTCCATTGGCTTCCATTTTTTTTTCCCTTGCAGCAAGTTGTTTGATCTTATTTGCTTTTGAAAACTCACAGTTAATTTTGCCTGAACTTTCCATTATAGTTCAGTGCAGCTGAATAGGATAGCAGTGAGTAAACAGAGGGAATGTCGCATAGTTTATCATTTTAAATGTCCTTGTATAGAAACTTGGCCAGTTTTCTATTTCTGTATAGGAAATTCAGAAAACAAAGGGGAGAAAATTAATCATTTATATTTTCTAATACTATCACTTCTAATATCTTGACGTATTTTCCATAAATATTTTTCCTACCTTGTAAAAATGTCACGGTAATCATCATATACATGACGTTTATTTTTCTGCTTTCTTTAAATCTTATAACAAAGCTCTTTCAATATTGGCAAATAGACTTAAAAATCACTTTTTACCATTTTTAAAATTTTTAAATGATTATAGAGTCACAGGAAGCTGCAAAACACGTGGCAGAGGTCCTTTGTGCTTCAGCCGGGCTCCACCTTGTACAACCACAGGGCAGTATGAAAACGAGGAATTTCACATTTGGTACAATCAACAGACCTTATTCGTATTTTACCAGTTTTACGTGTACTCGTGTGTGTGTATATGAGTTCTCTGCAAATATATCACATGTGTAATCTGTGGCAATACCATCCTGATGAAGATACAGAACTGTCCCATCGCCACAGATATCCCCCATGGTACCCTTTTATGGACACACACACCCCCCCAACACCAACCATCCCTCACCTCTGGCAACCACTAAACTGTTCACCTCTATAATTTTGCATTTCAAAAAATATGTAAATGGAATCATACATTGTATAATCCTTTGAGATTTGCTTTTTTTCACTGAGCGTAATTTTCTGGAGATCCATACAACTTGTGACTAACAGTAGTTTGTTCCTTTGCATTTGTGTATAGTATTCCATGATGTGATGTACTGCAGCTTGTTGAACCATTCATTCATTGAAGACCATTTGGGCTGTTCGAGTTTTTGCATCACAAATAAAGCTGCTATGAACATTTGAGTACAGGTTTTTGTGTGAGCTTAGTTTTCATTTCTCTGAGATAAATGCCCTGGAATACGTTTGCTGGGATGTTTTGTTTTGTAAGACACTGGCCAGACTGTTTTCTACAATGGCTGGAACATTTTATATTTACACCAGCAACGTACAAGGTCCAGTTTCTCTGCATCCTCACCGATGTTTGATGTTTATCACTATTTTTTTATTTTAGCAATTCTGATGGGTATGTACTGATACTTTATTGCGGCTCTCCACTTCTCTGATGACTAATGATATTGAGTATATTCTCATGTGCTTATTTGTCATCTGTGTATCTTCAGTGGTGAAATATCTGCTTGTCTCCCCCATTTTCTAATGGATTGTTTTGTTTTACTATTGACTTTGGAGAATTCCTTATACATTATGGATGCAGAACCTTTGTTGGATGTGTGGTTTAAACATTTTCTCCCACTCTATAGCTTGTCTTTTCATCTCCTTCACAGAGTCTTTGCAAAGCAAAAGCTTTAAATTTTGATGAAGTTTGATTTATCACTTTTTTCTTTGATGAATCATGGTTTGGGTGTCATGTCTAAGAATTTTTCCCTAGCCCTAAGTTTGGACAATTTTCCCCTATGTTTTCTTCTAGAAGTTTTGTAGTTTATGTTTTATATTTATGTCTGTGATCCATTTTCAGTTAATTATTGTATAAGAGATGGAATTTAGGTTAAATGTCTTTTTTTCTTTGCCTATGAAAGTCCAGTGCTCCAGCATCATTCGTCAAAAAGGCTGCCTTTCCTCTATTGAATTGCTTTTCCAAAAGCAGCTGGGTGTATTTGAATGCTTCTATTCCTGGGTCCTCTATTCCATTCCATTGATCTGTGTGTCTACCCCTTCACCAATAGCACACCATCTTGATTACTGTAGCTATGTAGCAAACCTTACCATCTGTAGAGTGATTCCTCCCACTTTAGTGTTTTTTCAAAATTGGGTATTACAGGTCTTTTGCTTTTCCATGAAATTTTAGAATAAACTTCTCTATACTTAAAAAAATGCTTGCTCAGATTTTGATGGGAGATTATACCTACAGGTGCATTTGTGAACACTTAACATCTTTACCATGTTGGCTCTTCTGAGCTGTCAACATGACATGTCTCTCCATTTATTTAGATCTTTGATTTCTTCCAATAATATGTTCCGTAATTTTTGACACACAGATACTATACTTGTTTTGTTACTTTATATGTAAGTATTTCATCTTTTTGGAGTAATGGGAAAAAGCGCAATCACTCTGAAAGCCTACGTAAACTTTCATTTGGTGGATAGATCATCATTTTCCTTATTCTTCCCCACTTGCTGGACGTTTCAATTGTTTCTTATTTCTTCACTGTTATAAATAATGTTACAGCTTTCTATGTGTAAATGTTTTTGATGAATTCTGAGGAGTGAGGTCCCTGGGTCAGAAGGTGTGCACGTTATGCCTATTGGTCGACCATGGAATTTGTACAGAATAGAAGCAGGCTTTCTGTTCAGGGCCCGCCAGTCTGCCCCATAGGGCAGGTGCGTTTCCACTCACAGTGGTATTTCTTTTTCTAAAACACGGACTCAGTTACTCTTTCCATCCTTTCCTGCATTGCAGCTGACTACTCTCTATCACAATTAATATAAAGTTCCATATAAGGCACAATTACTGTTTTTTTGAAAACATGACCTCGTGCTGCACACGTGCCATGGGTTAAGCGGCTGCCGCCATCACTCTGCCTGCCGGAATGGCCTCTTCTGATCTTCTAGCACATCCTCTCCATTTGCTAAGATGTTATCAATTTGAATAATTCATCCTGATCTGCAGCCTAACAGTTTTGCTCTGCCAGCTCTCATCCAGATCACAAACACCGTGCATGACCAGTTGGGCACCAGCACCACTGCCGGAGAGCGGGCACTCAGCTGCCAACTCAGCTGCCGACCTTTCAGAACCATTTTGGGGATGAGACTTTCCCCATCACCCCATCAGCTGTGATACTGATTGCCATGGATTTGGTGGACCATTTTTTAAAAATCCATTACTTAAGCAGCCTTTCCTTGCAGAGCCCAAACTGCCTTCCTTCCTCTAAGTCGGTGGTGTTGCAGCATTGTAGAGTGAGTTGGCCCCGTGCACACTCCCATTTCAGCTGCTGGAGAGGAGGACGCACGTCACCGGCCTCTCTTACCCCAGCAAGCGTCCCTCTGCTGGGTATCTGAACGGTCTGATCAATATAGCCTTGCGATTTTGCTCAGTACACTTGAAATAGAAACTAATTTTGTCTACTTGCAGGGCTGAGGTGGAAGGATCGCTTGAGCCCAGGAGGTCGAGGCTGCAGTGAGCCAAGATCATGCCACTGCACTCCAGTCTGGGTGACAAAGTAAGACCCTGTCTCAAAGAAAAAAAAGAAAAGAAACTAACTTTGTGTGAGAAGAGCCCACCAGCTCAGCGTTCCCAACAGCTGGGCACTCTTGGGATGTGCGTTTTCTTTACATCCTAGTTGACTCAGCATTTTTTATTCTTCTTAATGGAAACATCGCAGCCATCAACTTATTCTGGTAGAGGTATTGACCAAACATTCACCAATATGTTGCTTTTGAAAAAGAATGAGGAGATCACATTGGACACATCGATAATTGAGTCTGGGAGAAGATGATAGTTGTAGAATTTCTATTTTCCCTTTTCTGCTAAAGAAATAGGAAATTTATCCCAATAGGTCTCACTGGGATATGACTGTAGTTTTCTTGGTTATACTGATGATGTAGTTTATGATGATGTAGGTTTTTCCACTTGTGATTTTAAATCCCGTGTTATCAGTTTTCTCTCATCTCTTAGTGCAGTTTCATACTATATATCTCAGAGACAAAAAAAAAAAAAAAGTTTTCCCAGTCAGGGTGACACACTAGCATAAATAATGTCCCATTGGGTGCACACCAGGCATGCGTCCTGGTATCACTGTCACCGGGTTTTTACCTGGCGTTATTTTAAAGTTGTGCTAAATAATACAGATGTATTCAGCCCCTTTGGGCACTCATCCCACTGCCCAGACCGGAAATGGTCCCATCTAAAGCTGTTCCACGAGGAAACACTGTGGCTTGACCTAATCTGCATTCGTGTTCCACCTGCCCCGAGTGTGAGGCTTCTCGGAGATCGTTCCTGTGCATCTTAATACACTCATGTCAGTCAGTAGCTACCGTCTCATTCCCCGATGCTAGTAATGAGTCTTTATAAAGCAAATCATTGAAGATAATTTTCAAGATGAAGTGGAAGGGGTCACGGAGCCATACCTAAAACACCGTGTCAGACACCAACACCCCAGGCTTCCGTGAGGACTTCACACTGACGTTTCCCAGGGAGGTTAAGGATTGGAGGATTTATCAGAATGAGCACACCGACAGAATGGCCGATGTCAGGACTGGGAGCCCATGTGTGTGCAGGAAGCCCTGGCTCTCCACTCTTTGCACGTCTTTTCTGTGGGAAGGAGGCCCCTGCAAAAGTGGCGGCGCTCCATCTGTCAGTCACCGTTTATAAGCACAACTTTCAGAGTCCAATTTGCCTTGACTGTGATTTATAAAAATACCAGCAGACTGAGGGCTGAGAAGAAGGGAAGAGAAAATAATCCACGGGAACAACAGGCAATGAAGGCGAAGGCAGAAACAGTGGCGAAGTGGCAGGGCTTAATTAAAACCAGAGAGGAAACATCCTTGGGAGGTTCCTCTCTCCTCAGTCACTAAAATGAACAGGGACGGGGTGGGGAGGCAGAAAGGCAAGTTTGGATAGAAAGAGAAAAAAAAGGAGAGAAATGCCAAGGCTGGTTTTGCTGCTTCTCCTCCTTTCTTCCCATAGTCTCTGTCCACTCAGTGCTGCTGTGTTCTAGGAACCTTACATTAGCCCAGCCTCAGTTCCGAGGAGCTTCAGTGAGTAGCTTAACGGAGACTTCTCCCCAAAGAGGAAAGGAGCCCGAGCAGCCAGCCCACTCCTAGATTGTCACTGTGCATGCGGTGACTGCAGTGACCACTCTTGGAAGCTAAATCACTTTCATTGGTCAGAAAAAGAAAAAGTGATATTCTAGGATGGATGAGAAAACAGAGCCCAGCCCTGTTCCTGCACATTGCTTTCCCTCCGCGGATTCTGCGGCATCCATTTGAGCATTGTATCGAATAGATGCAGTTCAAACTCTGAAAATGACCAGGGTTGAAATGGAGACCTTGTCTCGCTGAGCAGCCCTCTATCAAGTAGATAGGCTCACACTCCTGAAATTTCAGAGCTTCTATCTGCGATCTTGACATGGCACCCGGTATTTTCCTTTCTCTTTCCTTCTCCTGCTTCCCTTCCTCCTATGATTTTGTAGCAGATTTATTCATCTTAAATTAAGCCATCTTTGTTTCACCTAGATTCCAGCAAGCGCCCATGTCACCAGCCTGATTTCCATTCTTGAGGGTACTCGTTCTGCTGTACTAAATGGCTCACTTATATTTAGCTTTTTAGAAATGGAAGGGAAACTTGTTGTAGAAATGGTTTCCTAAGGAATTGATTGGACAAATGCAGCTGGTCCCATCATTTCATTTCACATTTGCTCACACCAGCAAAAGCAGACACATTTGCGGAGATGCAGAAAGGGCAGTTTAAAGGGCAGAGAAGGCCCCAGAGTTCGCGAGCCGTTACCACTCTAAACGTCCTAGGCCCTGGTTGGAATGGAAGCAGCTTTGCCAGGAGCATGGGTCCTGGGCCTCAGATGATCTGAATTCTCGTCCCTTGAATAGTAAGATGCCCAACCTGCTACATGGGAGGTTCCTTCTGGTTCTTAAGAGTCTTTGGTTCAAATGTCTAGTTATTTTTATTTCGTTTTAGTAATTACAAAAACGGCCTACTGGAGGATTTTTGTCATGGGTGGCATGTGTTCACTGGTGCAGCCAGCTTTCCTGGTAACCAAAGGCCGAGGACCCACGAGCTATCAGGAGTCGTGCCGCAGATGGAGCTCGCTCTCCGGGGGCTGTTCCTGCACAGACTCCCCTCTACTCTTCTCAGCAAGTCTGCGGCTGTCTTTCTTTTCCGGAAGAGGCTAAAAAGCCATTTAGTGAATCTTCTCTCCCTTTAAAAGCATTCCTGAGCTTCCATTCTAGCGGCGTGGTAGACTACATGTGGCTAGCCCTCATGTGAAATACAACCGAAAGTCCTGGATCAAGTATCCCTTTAAGAATGTTTAAAAGTGTGAGTGAGCTGGGGAGTAAGGAATACGCAGAGGCCAAACCCTGTGTTAGAGCAGGGAACCCAAGGAAGGAGACAGTTAAAGCCAGCTTTCTCCTGGAGGCCAGGTGACAACCTGGTGAATTTGAGCTTGGCTGTTTACAGCCTCACAGGGCAGGGGAACTGGTGACAAATCCCAGGGCTGGCCCCAGGCAGACCTCTTGCCCCACTTCCTGCATAAAGCTGGGACTTTAAGGAGCTCCATCCCAATGTGAGAAAAAGCCAGAACAAGACCTGTCTCACACACACTCACGTATGTGCATTCCACATGTACACATGCGCACACACACGTGCACACACTCAGGACAGTTGCCTGTGATGGATGGGCCTCTAGAACTGGACCTCTGGGAGCAGCCCCTGCTGGAGATTGAGATTTGAGAGTTGTCAGTGTTTATTCACATGGTTTATAAAGCCCGGAGACAGGACGAGGTTCCAAGGGGGTAACTACATGGAGACAAAAGGCCAGGGACTGTGCCCAGGGGAAAGGTGACCTTGGCAGACACAGAAAGAGGGGGAGGTGGGAGCGAACCCAGGGGAGTAGGATGTACTGGAATCCAGGTGAAGAGAGTGTTTCAAGTGAGAGGGAGTGAATAGCCATGCCCAGTGCTATGGAGGATGGAAATTTAGCCACTCGATTTAGCAATGGGTAAGATTTGGATGGCTTGAGAAGGGCACCTTTGGTGAGATAATGAAAGTCAGATTCTAGACGAAGCCAAGTTTAGAGATTCCAGACCAAGAAGGCCTTGCCCAGGGCCTGGAATCTGCATTTTAACAAGTTCCTTGGGGTGATTCTGAAGCAGGTGGGCAACATAGAACATTCATACGTTCAGAACCTCCAGGACACGATACTGTTCCTGGGCAGGTGTGTCCGGGTTCTGTGCCTTGAGAGAATGACTTGCGATGTGGTACTCTGTCATTAAGCGTTTATATGATGCCAGCCTCTTTGTCACCTGGGATTCAGGAGGGACTCCACCAAAGCTGCCCTCAAAGCCAGGCTCTTGTCCACCTGCTCATGAGTTCATGCCGTCAGCAGCAGAACAGTGCTGGCTTGATGGGACCTGTGAGTTGGAGATACGTTCTTTTCCACATTTTCATAAACCACCTGTGTAATAATATATTCTGTTATTATTCTGGAAATTAATATCCTACATGTGAATCTGCGATTTATAGAATGACCTCTCTCCTTTTTTGGAAATGAGGTGAACCCTTGCCTATTTTGTTTCCTATGTCCTTATCATTAATATTCCACAACTTTTAATTTGCACTTTTTATAAATATTATCCCTTTAATGACATGAAGAGCAGGTGATTCAGAGCAGAGGAAATGACCTAAGAAGGCGACTTTGGCCCAGAGAGAGGCATGCAGAGCCAGTGGCCAACCGCCCTCATCTTTCTCCCTGTCACTCCCACTTCCCAGCCGCTCCCAGCAGCTGCTGAAATACCTGCCCGGGACTTCCTGCAGTCATTGGAATTTTGAGTGCAGTTCTGCAGGAATTTTAAAAATTCCTTGTCACAATTTGTCACATTCAAACATCATTTAAACAGTTTATACCTCTAGTTTTTCTTTCTTACGTTACAAAATGTTTGGAATTGTTGCTTATGGAGCTAGCACCTGATCACCGTCCCAGCTCCTCCTCCCAAAGCTCTCAAGTTAGCTTTAAAAATACTGTTTACAGTAGCTGTGCTGGAAACCACATGCTCCTGCCATGGATGCAGCCGATTCAGGAACAGACTTGATCTTCCTAAGGCATTGCATGCAAATCCTCATCAAGCTCTAGATAAAATTACCTGCTTCATAAAACAGAAAAGGCACATATTTCAAAATGAAATGTGAGTAACATTTTCATGCTAGTTGCCCCTTAGGGTGGTTGTCATGAAGGGATCCAGAAACCAGGGCTGTCCAGAGAGGGTCGTTATCAGCAGTGCCCGGGAGTATGGTGCTGGGGCTTCATCTGGCTGTTTCCTATTCACACAGACCCCAGAGTGCGCGCCGAGTCCATGGAACACCAGATCTTTGTTTGTTTTGTTTTGTTTTCGTTTTGGGGAAAGTGAAAAAGAAAGTTAAGCATCCTCCAGCAAGTTCAAGCTAAAATGTCACTGTGAAGGCAGAACTCTGAAGTCTGAAAGGTGATGCTCTTGGGGATTTTTTTCCATTGACGCCTCAGATGCTTTGCGGTTAAAAACCTTACTGATTTGAAATGAGAAGTGAACTCTATCGCAATATTATTAGGGAAGAAAGCTGGCGTTTTTCATGTCATTTTAGGAGATGAAATTATGTGTGTACTTCAGGTACATTTGCTCTCAATACTTTGACAGAAAGAATCTGCACAAAATTTGAAATGTTATGAGATATCTGCGTCGAAGGCTTTGATTCGAAACGTTACAGAAATGACTAAAGAAGGTGAACTTCTGCAACGGAGGTGGGGGTGTGGCATGGACCGGGGAGGCGGGAGGCAACAGGGGATGGCAATTTGGAAGTGCTGAGGAAGGCGTGAAGCCAGCCTAAAAAACGGGCTGACTGGGAGCAGGGGAACACCCATGGGAATTCTGAGGTGCCAGCGTCCATGGCCAGGTGGCATCCAAGTAGCCCGGATGCTGTCACTCTCGCTTCAGAGCCTAGTCCCACAAAGGCATGTCCCACAAAGGCAGTGAAGGGGACCAGGACCCATGGGACTGCATGAGCTCATTCACCACAGCTGTGGGTCTCAGACCCTCCACAAAGAGCTGCTGAAGAAAAAGGAAGGAACTGGAAATCTTTAGGAAACATACACAAGGGCTGGGAAACGTGCCCCAGGAAAGGGTGGTGGCTGCAGTGTGAAGCCTCCCTGGCCAGCTCGTGCCTCGCCTGCCCCACACCTCTGGGCGGTGTTGAATTTTACTTTCTGTTCTGCAGTGTGGCCGTTGCCATGCTCTCGTTACCAAAATGAAGTCACAGAAGGGTGTGCTTTGGTGGTGATTCCTTTTTTCATAGTGTGGGCGTCGCATTAACACAGCTGCATGATGGGAGCTATTTTGGGAGGGAGGCTGGGGTTTGGATGACTCATGCGCGTGCTAGTCCTGTAGGTAGAGGATGTTAATGGACCCATTGCGAGGACAGTGTTTTAGTAACAGAAGAGGAGTATTTTGTTGTTCTTTAAATGACAAATCGTCTGCAATTTCTTTCTTCCTTTCGTAGGTCAATGACGGGAAAAGATAGCATACATGTTTCCATGATGAATTTTTTTGAACTTGGGCTCCTGCCTTTGTTTTTTGTGCAGGAAGCCACCTCCAGCAGCCGCGTGGAAGGTAGTGGTTCTCACAGGCAGTGACACACGTGGATCCCTGAGGGCCTCATTTTTTTCTGTCCCTTTCCATAAACCAGGAGATTTCACCACAAAAGCTGCACAGTCTCGGGTGGCTAGCATGGTCCTGCAATTCTAGTAAGCCTGTGCTGTGAAGGGAGGAAGGGCTTAAAATGTGATGTCCCCTCACAAATTAGCATCTAAATATAATGCCCATTGGCTGGGCTGTGCCTCTAGCATTTTTACTTACTCATTCAAGAAGTAATTATGAAGCAACAAAATTGTAATTCTGTATCTTCCAACTGCACTCATATGAACTTCAGGATGGATTAAACAGAGTCAATTTTGGCTATACTCATTGTTTTCCCAAACAAACAAAAAAAAACCACTGTTTTTACAAAAATAGCAAATCATCCTTGAAGATATGGAGACGAAAGTGTTTCCTTTAACTGAGAATGGAAAAGCCATGGATAACTGCATAGGCCTCTAATCCGCTGTGAGTTTCCACGGCTCAGACACCTTATCTGCTTTTACATGTGCCTCTATTTGTGACATGGAGGTAAAATAGCAAGATTTATAAGTAACCGTTTTGAGAAACTGAATTTTTCAAACATCGTCATGTACGTTATTGCTATTGTGATTTCATTTGGAAGTCTTCACTCTTAGAGTAAAACAGAGGGTGGAAGTACTTGGCTTCGAAGTCAGTCCTTGATGAGAAGCCCACCTCTATCACTTCCAGCTATTAATGTGTAATCTGAGTCTCAGGAGAAAATCTCCACTTCACAGTTTCTTCATGAAAAGAAGCAATGAGGAATGAGAGGCCCCTGGTTCCCAGAGCACACTATGCATACAATTCCTGGTTGCTGTTTTTGGATGCGCATTTTAGCCAGCAGTTTCTGAAGTTTTTCAGCCCCTCACCCCGAGCTAAAACTGTAGAAAGGGGTGTACGAATGTATAGATAGTGGAACAGAAATCTCAGAGAAATGCAGAGATAAATTCAAGGAACAGTTGGGCTCGAATGTCTCATGTTGGGAGAAACACCTCCTTTCCAGTGTTCCATTTCCAGGGCCTGGCACTTGGGCAGATGGCCTACCCCTTTACAAGGGAAGTCATGTGACTCTGGGGACAGGAAGCTCTGGGATGAAAATTTGTAGTGTTTTCTGTCAGTGTTTTCACTTATAGACTCTTTCTCCTACAGGGAAATCTTGCTTTCTGGGCTGGTGGCAAATCTTACCTGACTGCTTCTTCTGAAATATAATCTATAGGATGGCAATGACGTGTTCTTTACATTAGCTTTGACAAACATACCAGGGATAGCGTGAATCAGAAGGAGAAGGAGGACAAGCCGTCTGCATTTTCCAGACCACTTCTCCATCTAGGAACCCGTCAATATGCTTTTGCTGTCATTTTGTTCCATAGTTGCTATATTCATCGTACCAGAACTTCTGCCCAGACTGTTAAAGAGCAGAATGGATTTCATTGAGAGTACCCTTAGATTTTTCGGAGGCCTTGGTAAGACCAAATGACAAAAGTCCATGGAGAAAAGAAACCATGAAGGCCCACAGGGTGCACACAATAACCACACACATCACCAAGTTGATTCCATAAAACTAAATGGGCCGGGCGGGGTGGCTCACGCCTGTAACCCCAGCACTTTGGGAGGCCGAGGCAGGTGGATCGCGAGGTCAGGAGATCGAGACCATCCTGGCCAACATGGTGAAATCTCGTCTCTATTAAAAATACAAAAATACAAAAATTAGGTGGGCATGGTGGCAGGAGGCTGAGGCAAGAGAATCACTTGAACCTGGGAGGTGGAGGTTGCAGTGAGCCGAGATCCAGCCACTGCACTCCAGCCTGGGAGACAGAGTGAGACTCCGTCTTAAGAAAAAAAAAAGAAAAAAACACAACTAAATGGTGTCTCCACTTTCAAACTCCAGCGCTAAAATCTGTAACAGACCCAGCTCGTGGTAAACTCAGGGGAGGAGGAAGCTGTGAGCGGCTCTGAGGGACTCCTCGCGGTGTGTTTCTCACCCGTGCCGCTCTCTTGCAGGAAGAAGGCGTCGTGAAGGAGATAGACATCAGCCATCATGTGAAGGAGGGCTTTGAGAAGGCAGATCCTTCCCAGTTTGAGCTGCTGAAGGTTTTAGGACAAGGATCCTATGGAAAGGTAAGTTCAGCCCTGGCTGTCTCTTGAGTCTCATTCCTGAACACAAAGGACACCTGGACAGAGCCCCCCTGGATGAAAATTGCAGGCGGTCCTCACCTGCAGGGCTGCGATCACGGGAACCTGGACAGTTCAGAACCGGGGTCTCACTTTGCACAGCCAGAATTCCAGTGGCACAGGGCTGGGCTGTGCCAGGTGAGAACAAAATGCCGTTGGAGCCGTCACATGCACTTTTGCCTTCTCTCTAGAGCCTCCCTTGGCTCTTGGTAAATCATCACCAAGGTGAGGAAGGTTATTGACCTGAGCCAATGTATCTTTGAAAGTGCATTCTAGCAGCTGTTTTCCCCAAAGAAAGAAAAAAATAAGAGAACAAGGAAAAAAAGAATAAAGAAAAGAAAAGAATCCATTCCTCTGGATTGGGCACAGGAGCCAGGAAGGCTAGGGTCTGCAGCCGGCTCCCCTCCTCACCCTGCACGATTGCCTCATGAAGCCTCAGCTTCCCCACCCACTAAATGGAAAGGATAAAACCTACTTTATACAGTTGTTCCATGGAGTAAATAGGGCACGAATCCCACCCAGCAGGTGCCTAAGATGTATTTGTGCAGTGGAATTGTTCATTTCCCTTTTTTGTCACCTTCAAATTGCAGCAATAAAAGCTAATTTCTTTCAGGAAATGAGAAATAGTTGGCTCTTCATTTAATGCCACGTCCACATACAACAAGATGTCAATAACGCTTTTCAATTATGATGACACGTGACTTACTCCAGCACAATGCTGATTTCTCTGCCTCCTTGGGTTAGCTGTTAGAAATATATAGGCTCTGACAACTTGATTTCTAGAACATAAGGGCCTGAAATAAACCATGAAGCCAACCGTTCCTTACATGTAAGCAGAACAGCCTGGCTCTTTAAAGTAACTATTTTTGTGTGGTATGTAGACATTTACCAAATCTTTGCATTCTTCACATGACTTTGTGCCAAAATGCATGTGGCTGCTGTTAATTTAAGTGTAGAATGAATAGTACATTAGTGTTCTGGATAATCCTACAGTCCGCATGAACTGGATGGAATGAATAGTACATCGGTGTTCTGGATAATCCTACAGTCCGCATGAACTGGATTGTTTGTAAAATTTTTATACGTTAGATTAAACCATAGGAAATTACCAGCAATATTTTGGGCCTACAAAAATGTCTATTTAATATGGCTAGTTGATATGGTGTTTATGAAATAGGGGGATGAAGATTTCAGTTTCTCACGATGTTAATAGCCATTACCAAAAAGCACAAAATCACAGAAGGCAGAGCCTGCGTAATGTGACAGTGGAATGCCTCACTATTAATTAGAAATGTAGAGAAAAAAGAGAGAGGAGAATAATTTTCTCCATGATTTGAAAACAGAGACAAGCAAGCATTCTTTCCTTTTTCCACCTTTCAAGGGTGTTGCCCATGCATTGTTTCTTGAGAACAGATTCCACCTGTGGAAGCACAGAATCAGCCGAATCGTCTTTATCTGGAGGGAAGGAGCGCTGGAATACATCCCATGGCGGAGGCCCAGGAAGTGTCTGGAGGGCTTTGGTTGACCAATTCTGTTACAGAGTGAATCTTACCAATGTCCTCCTCACAGAACTGGGGTATTAAAGATGAAAGGAGAAAGGCTTTTCCAGCTCCCTCGTTCAGATTTCAAATTTTGAATTTTAATTTTGCTTTAAAAAAACATGTTTTGGAAAACAAGTGAAATCATGGTGTTTGGCAGAATCCCGTTGGAATGATAATGCTCATAACACTCTGTCCCTTTCCTTCCCAGCCTTTCACCACTTCTAATTTTATCTTTACTTGTGTCTTTATTATATGAGGAATTAAAACGTAAAGTTTCAAGAACAGTAGTAGGTAGGGGAAAGAGAAGGATGAGGCAGTGGCAGCGCCCATGGGTGTCTGACCTCCAGGGATTACGGAATGGGCCAGCTCCAGTAATGCCTGTCCAGAGCTGGTGTGAGGGGCGGGGCAGGAGGTCCAGGCTGGGGCTGGCGTGGGAAGGGAGGCTTAGGTCCGCTTCGTGGATTAATGCGAGCTGGACTCTGGAAAGAAGAGATACTATTCTCAAAAGCGTTGCTCAGACATTTCCAGGGAAGGTTGGAGCTAATATCGTCACTAGAGAGTCACAGATACAAATTGTATTTGTCCACATAGGTTTGTTTGTGGTGAGTTTTTTTAATTTAAGCAAAACTGATGACGAGGGGGAGAAGCCGTGTGTTCTAATGCCCCACGTTACTGTATTCCTCCTCTCTACATGCAAATAACACAACCTTATGCAAGAGTCATCTTCCCTTTTGCACCTACCAGGGACAGAAGGACAACACTGAATGTTCTCATTCTGCAGAAAGCACCTGTTCTTCAGGTTTCCACCTCCTGCCTCCGCTCCAAAGAGCAAAGACCTGGTGTGAATCTGGACGCAGTGTCCCGGGACAGGCCTTGCCTGGGAGCCGAGTCCTTCAACAGGGCTCATAGTTGCCTGTCACTGAGCCACTCCATTCTTTCTCTCTTATTTAATGATGACATTGGAGATGCAGAAATGGATGACATGCAGTTTCTTCCCTTTAGACTTTTTGCACTGGTGCCAGCTCCTGACCTCAGACTGCACCAGGAGCCATCCGAGTGACTTGTCCCATTGCCTGCCTGTGTGAGCCGCTTAGGCTCTCCGAAGCCGCTGCTCTTCACCTGGTCAGCCGGAATAAGCTTGTTCCTGTGGGAGAAGCTGCACTCACCACCAGCGGGAAGCGTCTATGAGCTCTGAGCTCAGTCCTGCAAGGCGAAGCCATCATGATTTCATCGCTATCTAGAGAGCAGGGCCATGGGTGGTGCTTGGGACCAGAGAAAAGCACAGAAAACAGCCTTATCCTCAAAATGAAAAGCAATTTAAAGCTTGAATCAGGAAAGCAATGAAAGATGGTGAAGCTTGTTCAGTGTTGAAAGGAGGGGTGCAGACCCAGTGTTCCCTGCGAGCTTAGAGGAGGGAGGTGTGGGAACCACCCCGGGGCTGGGAAAGTGGCTTTGCCCTGGTCCCACCTCCTCACCTGCTCCTGGAGCTCCCCTATTCGCATAAGTGCCAGGAGTAGGATAGGAAACCTCTTTTCCTTTAAAATATTCTGGAGAATGAACTGTAGGTTATGATTCCTGCATTCGAAAAAGGAACCAAACCAAAGTTTTTTAAAAATCCTTGCTTTCTCTGACTTTGCTGGTAGCATGATAAGAACATGTCTTTAAATGTCTTCCTTTTGGGGGTGGCTGTTACTCAAAAGTCCCTGGAAGTGCACATGGGCATTTAGCTCCTGCTTGAAGGATTTTGCAGCCCAATAGAAACCCTCCAGTTCTGAGAGAGAGCTGAGAATTCTGCTGAGAGAATCAGCAGATCACGGTGATCCATGACATCATGAGGCAGTTCAGAGTGACATCGCACCTGTTGCCAGGTCGCGGTTCTCACAGCATCTTTGCAATGCAGCACGCCAAGCTGCTGGAGAGGCAGTTCTAAAAATGAAATGAGGGGGCACACACAGCGCCCACTGGGTTGAGTATTAAAGACACAGTGCCTGCGTTAGCTCGAGGTTACAGTGTTGTTTTGGAGCTTATTCCACTACATTAAAATTGATCTTCAGTGACAAGAATGACAGCAGAGAGGGAGAGGGAACTGCACGGCACCCAAGGGTCAAGATCCCTGTCGCAGACCAGCAAGTTGCCACACTCGTTACCAAAATCATTTTTGCATTTTTGCTGTATTTTGCTGCTCGTCTCAAGGTGCCGTTCCCCTCCACTGGGTCCTGTGCTTGCGAGTCAGGCAGCACCTGCTGCAGGAATTCGCAGTACCTGGCCCCACAGAGAAGCTTGGCAGACATTGGTAGGATGGAGTTTTTTCCATTCTTTTAAAAAGCAAAAGTATGGTTCTCTCTTCAAAACAGATAAGTATGAACATTAGCCACGACCATCAGTCATCTCATCTTTAAGGCCTAACATACGAGAGAGAAAAGTTTCATGTGTCAAGACCTATGCAAAACTTGACATCATTTAAACCAAATCTTAACTGGCAGCTGCCCCATGTGGACTTGGTCTCCAGTTCAGACTTGAGTGGAATGGGGCTTCCTCTGCTCTTTGAGTTTATACGGTCGTACTTCTTATGGGTTAGGGGTTGAGTGCAGAGGTATTGAAAGTACGGACCCACTCAGGATATTGTGAAGGCTGCACCGTCCAAACACAAATCCGTCATGTACCTTGCTTCCTTTTTCTTCAGGGTCCTCCCATTTTGAAAGAGGGAGCTTGTTGTTTGCAAACTCCTGGGCTCAAGCGATCCTCCTGCCTCAGCCTCCCGGATAGCTGGGCCTACAGGCACGCACCACCAACCACCACACTCAACTAATTTTTGTTTTTTCTTTCTTTTTTTTTTTTTTTTTTTTTTTTTGAGACAGAGTCTCGCTGTTTCGCCCAGGCCGGACTGCAGTGGCTGAATCTCGGCTCACTGCAAGCTCCGCCTCCCGGGTTCACACCATTCTCCTGCCTCAGCCTCTCGAGTAGCTGAGACTACAGGCGCCTGCCACAGCGCCTGGCTAATTTTTTGTATTTTTAGTAGAGACGGAGTTTCACCATGTTAACCAGAATGGTCTCAATCTCCTGACCTCGTGATCCGCCCGCCTCGGCCTCCCAAAGTGCTGGGATTACAGGCGTGAGCCACCGCACCCAGCCCTAATTTTTATTTTTATTTTTACTAGACCTGGGGTTTTGCTATGCTGCCCAGGCTGGTTGCAAATTCTTGGCCTCAAGAGATCCTTCTGTCTCAGCCTCCCAATGTGCTGGATTACAGGTGTGAGCCACTGAACCTGGCCCTTTGTTTTCTGATTATAAGAATGCCTTATTTTGGGAGCTAACATGTCAGCTTCGCCGCAATGGAATGGATAGATTCATCTGTCACCCTACCAAAGTCCACCATGGGCTGGAGCAACCACCCAAGGCTTCCATCCTCCACACAGTGACTCAGTGACCAGGCTGCCCGGTTTGTCCTGCACCAGGTGTCCTCAGTTGCCACAGCAGGGAGTGGCAGCTGGAACGTTTTGCACCTGCTCTTCATTGCCTAGGCCAGGAAGGCACACCCCTGCCCTTGCTGGTGTCACTGCCCAACTTACCTGCAGGATGCCGGGGAAATGTGGCGTCCCTGCCACAAACACAACTGTCCCTTGTTCCACACCCCCTCCGACTTTTTTGGGACCCAGGTTCCTCTCTGCCAGTGCGGCCTCTCCGGCACCGGGACGCTCACGCAGCCTTGCCCAGCTCCTGGACTCCTGGGCTGCGCCTGCCTCCTCCCTGCACTGTCCTGGCTGGTCCTGATCTCCACAGCACCACTCATCAAGTCAACCTAGGGACATTAGGCACACGGACGGGCTGGAGAAATGAAAGGAGTTGCATCAGATGGAAGCTAAAACTGTGCATGGCATGTGACTTTCCCGTGATTCAAAGCAGAAGATCTCAAGAGTTAAGCACTAATGTTTTTCTCTCTGTAAAAATCCTGTCCTCAGACCACTGCCTTCACATCTCTACCTGCCTGTCAGGAAGCTCGCCCACTGCACAGAGGGAACACCCTGAGGCAGAGTCCTTCCATGTGCAGTAACTTCCAGGGCTACAGTGGGTCTGCCAGCAAGAGCCATGGGATCCTGAGCCCGGAGAAGGGCTTGTGCCTGTGTCTCCCACCACAGTGTGCGTAAGGGTGATGCCCCAGCTATCGCCCCAGGGCTTCACCACAAGCTTGTTTATCCAGCTTTGGGGACACACACACACACACACACACTCTCTCTCTCTCTCTCTCACACTCCACACATCTCCCAGAGATGAATATTAACTGTCGGTGATGGTATAGTCTATAACCCAGGGGAAGAGGGAAGCCTCTTTCTAATTGCCTGTGACTTCTTGGGACCTAATCGGGTCCGAGAGGCAGCATTTCATCACACAGGATGATGCTGTACCGTCCTGCACCCCGGGTAGGGGTGCTGGGGTGCTTTCCCATGGGCGTCATCTAGAAGAGTCCCCACCTGGGGAGGGGCTGTGATTCAATAATGACAGTGATCGGGACAGATGGCAGGGCAGCAGTGGGGTCCGGAATCACTTCAGGGGCACATGGTGAGAGCGTGACACTGATACAGCAACTCCGTGAATCCACATGCCTGTGCTGGGACCTTGCGTCTTCCCGGTCCCTCTTTATTTGTGCCTCTAGAATAGACGCTGGTTGGTCTCCCTCCAGTTGGGCTGCCCTAGCAGCCCCTGCTCCTAGAGCCCCTGCACTCGGTAAGTGTCTAGACGTTGCCCCTCCAGTCTTGGGGGGGAGCCAAGAGTGCAAAGGTCCCAGCCATGTCCCTCTGCCCATGGCAGGTGAGGCTGCTGCTCCACACGGATGCTCACTTGGGCCACCTGGAGTTTCCATGGAACTAGAACATCTATAGTGGCTGGTCTTTCTGGCTTTTTGAGGCTTAGTAAAGGAGACGTTTTGGGAAGGAGCCACCCTACCTCGGCCCTCCAGCCATACTGCATGGGCAGCCACACCAGTGCACCGTGTGCCTGTGTCATCTCCATCATGCAAGCAGATATTTGCATCTATTGGAAAACACTTTTAGGAAAATCAAGTACTATTTTCTTAATTTGCATGGAAGTTTTTTTTTTTATACAAAGGAACTCCAGTTTTGTTTACTAAGTTTGTTAAAAAATCACTAATACAAATTTAAACTCAAGCTCTCAATTACCTTTTTTTGTTGTTTTTCTCAGTGATACACATCAAAATGTATTTCAGAAAGCATTGCCAAATATCCGTAAGTGTATTTAAGATCCAGTTAGAAAGGAACTCTTAAGCTACTCACAGCTAAAATTTGGGTGAAGACAGTTGAAGTAAGAGAAAGTAGCTTTTCTTGAAAATCGGATAGAGCCTGTTTTGTGTGATTGGTAATACCTTTCAGCGTGGTCTCTCAGTAAGGATTTACAGAGGGATACTCAAACCAAAGGATCTCCCTTAAAACTCCTGTTTGTTTTTCTAAACAGCTGGTCTTCAAAACAAGGGGCGGTATTATTTCTGGCATAAAATGCAAAGTTAATGATACCAAAAACAAATGACGCTTCTTCATACAGGCACATAGTGATGTTCGCCGCAGAGCTATAGGAACTTAGAGCATTTTCCGGCAGCCTTGACGTTGGAGAAAATTTTAAATTCTCACCAGTGTACTTGTTTTATTGAAAATGCTCTAAACTTCCTTGTGTATCCCCTTGTCAAATCCAATATGGAAAGCGAGTTTGAAGTCTTACGGGTTTCTGATGTTCCGTTTTCTCTTGCTAAGGTGTTCCTGGTGAGGAAGGTGAAGGGGTCCGACGCTGGGCAGCTCTACGCCATGAAGGTCCTTAAGAAAGCCACCCTAAAAGGTAAGAGCTTCGGAAGGGCCGGCTGCTTCAGAGACAGGTAACTGCAATTTCTACTCCGTTATTTGAGGAAATATTCATTCCATTTAATGTTCACGATTTCTGAAAATGTCTCTAAATGAGCACATTACTCTCTGATTGATAATAAACAGTATAAACATTTCCATGAATATTTAAAATATCCCTGCAGAGTTTCCACAATTGTCAGAGAAGAGCTGTATTGCGTAAATACCATTCTCCCACATATGTTCTGCCGTGGAGCGGCATTGGGAAAGCAGAGCAGCAGGCTGCGAGCAGGCTGTTGGGCTGGATGGGGCCTGACAAACCAGCCTCGATACCGGCAGGCCGACGGCCTCACTCGGTTTTAAATACAACGTGACTCATGGTTGGGTTGGGTTGTTTTCCTTTGTTGACCCAGTGACTGGGCATTAGAAATACCGATTTCTGCCCAGCTCCTCTGCACGCCCATCCTGCAAGTGAGGGATGAGCCCCTAGTGCAGCGTTAGAGTCAGAATGTGATCCAAAATCTCCGTTCCAGGCTCACAGTCTTTAAGCCCGTCACTAGCTGGGCACCTACCGTATCTGTTCTGATCACCTCCTATTCACTGTGTTGGTGAGAGAGGGAACTTCCCCCTGCCCTAAACAGCATTAGGCGATTGAACACACAGCGCCGGGCACTGGACAGATGAACTGACAGCAGCTTATTAGTTACATAAACTGACCCCCTGGGGAGGAGGGCACCCCGTGCCACACAGGGCGTCACGGGGGCAGCACTTAGGTGCCGAGACGGTGAGAGGCAGGCTTCCTAGGAACGGGAGGGTCACGTGGCCCCTGGTTCCTGCAGAAGGTGTGGCTGGCTTGTTGGAATGATTCTGTGGGCTGGCAGGGAACTGAAGCCTTTTAGGGTGGGTGCTGGATGGGGGCAGCTGGTCCAGCTTATGGGGAAACCTGCAGGGTAGGGAGACTTTCTCTCTGGGAGGGGGGCACACTTGGCAGAGCAGGGAGCTCATGCAGAGGCCTTGGGGCCCCATGAGGCTCTGAGATGTGAAGGCGGCACTTGAATTTTTAGGTCTTGCAACAGTGTCCCCAGCAACTACAGGCAGGGGAGCAGTACAAATATATCATTCTCTGCCTTCAGGTCACTTGCCTTCTAGCTGAGGAAATGAGATATATGTTGGGAAGGACCTGTCACCAACAAGAAGGACAAAAAATGCATAGACCAAATATGTACAGACTTTAAACCACTTAAGTATACAAAGGAGGAAAAGAGCTCTTCCAAGTGAGTTAGAAGGTCCGTGGGACTTCTGGTGAAAATTCTATAGGGGAGAGAAATCTGGTTGACATTTATCAGTACAACCAATGGTAAGAAAATGCAGAAGTTGACCACTTTGGTTAGACCTGATTAGAATTGTCTGTGTGTTTGGGGGCGGGGAGAGGACTGTTACAAACACAGATCCTGGCCCCACTCCTGATCTACTGAATCATCATCTTGTAGAAACAAGGCCTAGATATATGACTTTTCAAACAAGATGTCCCAGTAATTCTTACGTACACAAAAGTCTTAGGTGAGACATTCTAGTTTATTGTAGGCACTCAAGTTTTTAGTTCAGTGTTATCAATTGTAACGTAATTTAACCCATGCTTTTTAGAGTGAACTTTTTTTTTTAATGCTTTAAGTGCTAGGGTACACGTGCACAACGTGCAGGTTTGTTACATATGTATACATGTGCCATGCTGGTGTGCTGCACCCAGTAACTCATCATTTACATTAGGTACATCTCCTAATGCTATCCCTCCCCCATCCCTCCACCCCACCACAGGCCCCAGTGTGTGATGTTCCCCATCCTGTGTCCAAGGGTTCTCGTTGTTCAATTCCCACCTATGAGTGAAAACATGTGGTGTTTGGTTTTCTGTCCTTGCAATAGTTTGCTCAGAATGATGGCTTCCAGCTTCATCCATGTCCCTACAAACCATATGAACTCATCCTTTTTTATGGCTGCATAGTATTCCATGGTGTATATGTGCCACATTTTCTTAATCCAGTCTATCATTGATGGACATTTGGGTTGGTTCCAAGTCTTTGCTATGGTGAATAGTGCCACAATAAACATGCATGTGCATGTGTCTTTATAGCAGCATGATTTATAATCCTTTGGGTATATACCCAGTAATGGGATGGCTGGGTCAAATGGTATTTCTAGTTCTAGATCCTTGAGGAATCGCCACACTGTCTTCCACAATGGTTAAACTAGTTTACAGTCCCACCAACAGTGTAAAAGTGTTCCTATTTCTCCACATCCTCTCCAGCACCTGTTGTTTCCTGACTTTTTAATGATCACCATTCTAACTGCTGTGAGATGGTATCTCATTGTGGTTTTGATTTGCATTTCTCTGATGGCCAGTGATGATGAGCATTTTTTCATGTGTCTTTTGGCTGCATAAATGTATTCTTTTGAGAGGTGTCTGTTCATATCCTTTGCCCACTTTTTGATGGGGTTGTTTGATTTTTTTCTTGTAAATTTGTTTAAGTTCTTTGTAGATTCTGGATATTAGCCCTTTGTCAGATGGGGAGATTGCAAAACTTTTCTCCCATTCTGTAGGTTGCCTGTTGACTCTGATGGTAGTTTCTTTTGCTGTGTGGAAGCTCTTTAGTTTAATTAGATCCCATTTGTTAATTTTGGCTTTTGTTGCCATTGCTTTTGGTGTTTTAGACATGAAGTTCTTGCCCATGCCTATGTCCTGAATGGTATTGCCTAGGTTTTCTTCTAGGGTTTTTATGGTTTTAGGTCTAACATTTAAGTCTTTAATCCATCTTGAATTAATTTTTGTATAAGGTGTAAGGAAGGGATCCAGTTTCAGCTTTCTATATATGGCTAGCCAGTTTTCCCAGCACCATTTATTAAATAGGGAATCCTTTCCCCATTTCTTGTTTTTGTCAGGTTTGTCAAAGATCAGATGGTTGTAGATGTGTGGTATTATTTCTGAGGGCTCTGTTCTGTTCCATTGGTCTATGTCTCTTCAGTTACAGCTATCTCTTCAAAATAGGAAGTTAAATTAGACATTTGTTAGTGCAGGATCATCTGAATGCCAACACAGTGAACTGTTCTTGCAGTTTCTCGAAAGGTTGACCAGAGATTACCATGCGACCTCACTGGTCCACTCCTAGGCGGTTCACCAAGAGAAATGAACACAGCTGTCTACACAGAAACTAGCACAGGAATGTTCATGGCAGCACCAGCCAATTCACAGTAGCCAAAAAAGGGAAAGAGCTCAAATGTCCACTATCTGGGAAATGGAAAAATAAAGTGTCTATCTATTCAACGGAATGATATTGGGCAATAGAAAGGAATAAAGTACTGGTGCCCACTCCAACATGGGTGAAGCCTGGGAAGAGTGTACTTAGCGGGAACAGCCAGGCACCAAGCCGCACGGGTTAAGATTCTACTCATATGACCGTCCAGGAGAGGCAGACCCTAGAGACAGGAAGTAGATGAGTGGTTTCCTAGGCTGGGGGGTGAGAGAGGTGGGAACTGAGTGCAGACAGGTCTGGAGCTGCTTTTGGGTGATTAAAATCTTTAAAACCCACCGATGGTACACAACTCTGTGAATATCCTAAAAACCATTGAATTGTACACTTTAAATGGGCAAATCATATGGAATGTGAATTATATCTCCAAAAAGCTGTTATTCTTAAAATGAACAGCTGCTAGATAATACGTTCCTTTCCTAAAACCCACTCTTTCATCCTCGAGGCATTGAGATTTGCTCTCAAACACAGATGAGGCATCTTCCTGTGGTTTAAGACAAAGGCAAGTGGATGCGGGAAGCTCTCCAGCCTGTCCTTGGCCACACACTGTCCTACTGTCCATCAGGCGGTTCCATGTTCACCTCTCCAGGGCACCAGGAGTGACCCGGAAGAGCTCCTTTTCTCCTTCAAGCGTAACGGTTCCTTCTTTCCCTTCAAAGTTGGCCTCACCCTCCCCCGCCACTGAAGGAAAGGGAGGCAAAGTGGGAATGCAGCTGGAATCTGTGCCTGCCTGCTCTGCTCTGTAGGAATACAGTGGAATGGAGGAGCGGGAAGCTGCACCCTGTTTAAGTTGTCGCTAAGCCTGGACTCCCTCAGGGCTGACCTTGGCCTCTTAGCTAAAGTGCAGAACGCTCCATCTCGATGACTTCACTCTCCCTAATGCAAGTATCCACGGCTGTTTATAATCCAGTCCACAGTGTCCTTGAGAAACGGCTCCTGATCCATGGTTATGTGGAATAGGCTGGACATAAAACTCTGTGTACAGAATAATCATGGTATTGTTAAATTTAAGAGTGACTTGAGCAGTAGTGAGGTGTGTGTATTTGTGTGTACACACATGAGATGGACATTGTGCCAGAAGCAAACATGCCAAAGTGAAGGGCTGACTTACAGGATTGGGGCTAGCTGTTGTCTTCTTCCCTATACTCTGTTACTGCAAGTTTTCAACAGAAATGAAATATCTCTAATTTTTTTGTAATGTAAAGTTATTTTTAAAATATTTTGGAACAATGTGCTTGAGTAGCTAAAATTATTTTTATGCTATGAAAATGAGCCATGTGGCTGGATGTGGTAGTCACACCTGTAATCCCAGCACTTTAGGGGGCAGAGGTGGGAAGATTGCTTGAGCCCAGGAGTTCGAGACTTAGGCAACATGTTAAGACCCCATCTCTACGAAAAATTTAAAAAGTCAAAAATTAACTGGGTATGGTGGCGCACACCTGTATTCCCAGCTACTTGGGAGGCTGAGGTGGGAGGATTGCTTAAGCCCAAGATCTCAAGGCTTCAGTGAGCTGTGATTGTGCCACTGCACTCCAGCCTGGGTGACAGAGCAAGACCCTGTCCAAAAAAAAAAAAAAAAAAAAAAAGCCATATAAACATAGAAGAATAGAAACATTTTTGTTTCCTTGTGTTCCTTAAAAGTCAGCTTTAAAACTAATCATTGTTTTACATCTTATACTGTTTCGGCTTTCCGTAATGATCCATCACTAAAAAGTAGATTTTTTTTTCCCAAAAATTTCATTGGAATCTATTTTCTGAAGAGAAAAATAGAAAAGCTTTGCAAATAATACTTTGCATACTTCGAAGTAGGTTAGGTCCCTGGATCTAACCATGATGCAGCGGAGTTATGTGGAGAGGAGGCCTGGCACTAACTAGCACTAACTGGTACTAACTAGCACTTAGCCTGGGCAAGGACACCTGCTGGCCCAAAACCTTAGTTTCTTGTTTCTTCCTCATCTGTGAAAGAAGAGAGTTGACTCAAAGGGACCTCCAAGTTTGTCTCAGCTCTAACACCTCTGCGTTCCATTAGCCCAAGTTGTTCAAGTATCTCCTAACCCGTTCTCCACCCTCATAATATCCCTGATTTGTGAGATCATTAATCATCCTGAAGAATGTCAAGGAGAAAGAAGGAACGCATGGTAACAGCCGCAGGGATGCTCTCCACCTGCTGACAGCAAAACCCCGAAAGCCCAGGCGGCCGTCCAGGGAAGATGCCAGGCATGTGAATAGTCAAATGTTTTGAAAAAGAAAAATGAAAGGAGGCGGGAGACCTGCAGAAGTCATTTTGAAACTCCAGCTTGTTTCTCCAAACCGTGGCTGATTGTCCTGTGCCTGGAAGTGAGGGTTGTCAGTGGGATTCCTTCCAGCTCACCTCGGAGGATAATGGCTTCCGACGGCTCCATTTGATCTCCAAACAAGTTTGGAGCGTTGGGCACCCGTCTCCTTCCTTTAGAGAGGGGGTGGGTCACTTCCGAGGGAGGTCATCTGCTCAGCTGCTGAGGGGGCCACACTGCTGGGGTGCGCTTGCAACCTTGCTCCTCTCCCTCTGACCCGGCGGTGCTGCCTGTCGCCCCAGTACTTAAGGATGCCTTAAATGTGCTCGACTCCTTTAACTTGACAAAGCTTCCATATTCATGACTCAACATGGAGTTATTACAGGTAACCGTTCTATATAATGCATTCCACATAAAATGAATTCCAAAGGGTAATATCCCCACTTTGTATTGTAAGGGAACTTGATTTAAAAGAATGTGTTGCAAAGAAACGTGTTCCCAACCGTGAGACCAAGAATGAACCAAGCCTCATCTTCATCAAACAGGGTTGGTCATGCACCTTAAGAGATGGGCTGTATTGTATGGAGCAGTAGTTCTCATCCTCAGCTGCAAGCTGGAATGGCCTGGGGGACTTTCACAAGATGCTGATGCCTCGGACCCCTCTGGGAGACTCTAAGTTGGTTGGTCTGAGCGCGAGAATTGATGAAAGCTACCTCCGCCGGTGTCTCTAGGGCACTGCCAACATGGAGAATCCCTGATACAGGGGCCAGGAACACCAAGTCCAGACCCTGGAGCTGAGTCCAGCTCTAACCCCACGAGCTGTGTCATCTTGGGGTGCCTCTCCTGGCCTCAGTGTCCCCCTGCTGAAAGTGGGATAGGTTGTATTAACAGATAACTACCCCACATCATTGCCGACGTGAGGCTCTCCCTTGTTAGAGTGTGCAGAGTGCTGCCGGCTCAAGCAAAGGCTTGGAAAGTGTAAGCTGTGTTCACCTTCAGCCCTTTTCTCCACAAAGACTGCTTGGCTTTGGAGCTGTGTTAGGACTTTCCTGGTTGAGGTTTTATTTAGTTCTGCTGAATAGGGATGTGGGGAGGAAGTTAGATGCCACCTGGTTAGAAAGAATGATGTCTTGGTTCAGCTGTAATACCTCCAGTTACAATATGAAAGGCCTGTGATCATGTTCATGACTAAAGATGGCCGGTGCCTGCACGGAGAACACAGGTGCGCCCTTCTGCAGGAGGGCTTGCAGTGTGGAATTCCTTCGTCTCGGTAGGCGCTCTCCGCAGTGTCGAATGAGCTGCTTACGTGAAATATTTCTTGGTAATGATGATTTTTCTGATAGGACTGCACCTGGGTTTTCATGCCTAACTAGTTTTCAAGCATTTTCCCTGCAAGTCAACTTTCTCAGCCTAGAGGAGATATGCATTCCCTTCCTGGAAGGAAATAAGCTGTGTTCAGTTGTTTGTAAAGGAGAAAATAAAATCATTCCAGCAGAATCTCTCTGTTGAAGCAAGTCAAGTCACTGATGGTTATGCTGGTGTGTGTTTTTGGCAGCTGTGTGGTGGGTCACTCTCATGGCACCCACGGCAGTCAGGAGATGCTGGAATGGGCCTAGGCAGCACAGTCCGAGCTTGCCAACATGTCAAAGCCCCCTCTGTCCTTCCTGTAAGCAGTGGAGCACGTCCTGTAAGATGGGATCACTGCAGAGGCACTGGGAATGCAGAGCTGTGTGTAGTGACCCGCATAGACAGGTATCAATGACAGCATCTTGAAATAGAACCTCCTCGGAGTTAGCCCGCCTGGCTGCAAACCCCAGAATGTTATTTTCAGCACCTCTTTATTTGTTTTCCTCTCTTATGCTGAGATGCTTCGTTAGAAGGCACTGAGTCACTCAGAAACTCAGCTCCGATCAATCTGGTAGCTTGAACAGATTGTATTTCCATAATATGCTAATTCATTTATGTCATTTGATTCCCATTTGGATGATTTCAGATTCCCAGGGGAGAAAAAAGTAAGGAAAATTCTAAGCACAATTTTGCCCTCTCTTAAGAGGGGAGGACTGTTATTATTATTATTATATTTTTATAAATCATCATCTTTATTTACGAATGATGAAACTAAGGCACAAGGCAGCAAAGTTACTCAAAAGCGTATTGTTTGGAGGTGGTGAAGGTCAGAATCCTATGCTTATCCCAAGATAACTCCTGGGGTCCCCAGGCCTCCCTGGGCCAGCTGCATCCTCACCAGATGACAGACTCCCTGCATTTCTTCAGCAAGAAGCTACATCCCTGCTCATGGTACTTAAGGTGTTTACTCTTCAAGGGATTCATTTCCCATTTAATTGCATAAGATGACAAACAAAATGAAAATGTCTCCTCCTTAAGCCATCTTTGACTTCTGTCTTTCTCAAGCCCTTTGTAAGGTACGATCTCACTCTGTCTCTTGCATTTCAGATAAACATCACCCTTACCTAACAGGCATCTGATTTATTACAGATACACCCGCCTCTGTATGGTGGAGTCCTCTATGTGTTTATTACCAGAGTTGCATTTCTTGAATTACAGATATTCAAAAAGGAGGAAATAGATTTTTTTCATTACTTGTCATCTTTAATACCTCTGCAGTGTAAGTAGTTAAGAGTAATGGGCTTAAGATTTTTCTGACAAAGATTCTCTATTAAGGAAGTCAGTTAAGTAACCATATCAGTCTTTTAAAAAATACTTGAGTATAGAAGAATAAAAAGACACCTGTTGGGGAGTCATGCCCATTCTGGTAATCAGTGTGGTTAACTTTGCTTCTTATTATTTATGGTTTTCTTCTCTTCCTTTATGTGTGGAGTAATTCACTGTAAAAAGTTTGCCCCCAAAAGTTTAGCCACACGATGGCTCGTGGAAGTCCGTTTTTTACTATGAATTAAACCTTTGAAAGCTAAAAGATACTGTGGGAAGAAGGACTTTTATTCTGCATCTGGGAGACTGCTCGGGATATAATTTCAGGCTCAATAGCCTTTATGGGGGTAAAGAAAGGAAGTCTCAGGCAATGGCCGCGCAGTGGGGGAGACCGAGCTAGCACAGCCCGCACTCTCCAGTGCTGGTAAGTCTCAGGCGAAAGTGTGTCTGTCGGCTCAGTCTTCAAAATCCCTCCAGTTGCGCTGCATCAACCACAAAGCATCATCGAGCCTCTGACTGCCAGGCCTTCAGGTCACCAAGGCCGTCTGCGTATGCTCAGCCCCCCACAGAGGTGTGTGCAGAAGCCAAGGTCCCGTGGGTTTGTGGCAGCAGAGCTATTGGCACTGCACGGTCAGTGCGGCATCCACTACGTCCCCAACACAGTGGTTTCCTTAGGTGCATTTACACAGCCATTGCTCATCTTCACAGCAGCTGACAGAATTGCATTTAATTTAATTTTATCTTAACCTTAATTTTCTTTTGTATTATCACCTAGATAGAACAGAACAGAACAGTATGCTATAATATGATACGATACGTGTCTTAGTTCATTCAGGCAGATATCACAGAACATCATAGATTGTGTGGCTTCTAAACAACAGAAATTTTTTTCTCACAGTTCTGCCACAAGTCCAAGATCCAGGCTGTGTCAGATTTTGTGCCTGGGGAGGGCTGCTGTCTGGTTCATAGCCATCTTCTGGCTGTGTCCTCACTTGATGGAAGGCATGAATGAGCTCTCTGGGGTCTCATTTCTAAGGGCACTAATCTCATGCATGAGGGCTCCACCCTTCTGACCTAATCACCTCCCGGAGGCCCCACCTAAAACCATCACACTGGGGGTTAGGTTTCAACATATGAATTTAGTGGGGGGAACATACACAGTCTATGGCGTTCCACCCCAGTCCCTAAAATTCATATCTTTCCCACATTCATCCCATCTCCATAGCCTCCGCTTCATTCCCACATCAACTCAAGTCTAAAGCCCAACATCTCATCCAAATCATATGGTTTCCTCTGATCCCCAATGTCAGTATCTCTGCGATCTCTCTGTATTAGTGAGATCCAAGGTATGATTCATCCTGACCACAGTCACCCTCCAGCTGTGAGCCTATGAAAACACACGAGCTCTGTGCCTCAGAAATCCCGTGGTGGGACCAGCATAGGACAGACATTTTCTTTCCGAAAGGAGAAATAGGAAAGAAAAGGAGTAACAGGTCCCAAGTAAGTCTAAAACCCAACAGAGAAAATAACATGGAACCTCAAGACTCCAGAATAATCCTCTTTGACTAGATGCTGTGCCCTCCAGACCCACTGGAGCAGGGGTCCTGCCTTTTGGACATAACGAGTTGGCGGTTCTGCCCCGGAGCTTTGCAGGGCAGGGGTTGGCTCTCCAAGTCCCTGGCCCCACAGCTTTGGGTGGCCTCCCACAGCTTTGGGTGACCCAATCCAGTGTAGTTGGATGGCCCTACAGTGGTTCTGTGCCTGGACCCCAGCCTTTGAAATTTAGGTAAGGGCAGCCACACCCCCAAGGCTCCTGCACTCCCCATGGTGGGGAAAAGAGAACCACACAGTCACTGCCAGCCTTTGCCACCTGCTCCCTCCAGAAGGCAACTGCTGGGGCTCACAGGGCACCAGGGTCTGCCCAAGGCAGAGCTGCACCCGGGACAGCCAGGGACAGCAGTGCTGGAGGGTGGGCAGCCCATGATGTGAGGCAGTGCCCTTGCAGTCCCAGGCACCAGTGGCCCCTACTTTTAAATCATTCTACCCTGGGGCTCTTGTGCCTGGCCTGACATGGGTGGGCAGCCCTGATGCTCTCTGAGTTGGCTGCAGGGTCATGTTTCTGTTGCCTTGGAGAATCGCTGCCGGCTTCTGTGGAGATGGCTGGTCCATACTGACTTCCTATCAGCATTCAGGATTCCTTAGTTATTCCCTAAGAAGATGTAGGCCTTCTCTACAGCTCTCCTTTTCTTTCTGAGTCCTCACCAGAATCACATTGAAAGGTCTGTTCATGGCAAGATAGGCCTTTTCTAGCTGTATCTCAGAACTCTTCCAACCTCTACCCATTACCCATTTCCAAAGCTACTTCTACATTCTTAGGTTTTATTATAGGGGCATCCCACTTTTGGGTACCAAATTCTGTATTATTCAGGATTTTCCAGAGTAACACAACCAACGGGATGGATATACATTTCTTAGAGGGAGATTTGTTACAGGAATCAGCTCACATGGGTATGAAGGCTGAGAAGCTCCAGGAGCTTCTGTCTGCAAGCTGGAGAACCAGGAAGGCTGGGGTGTCATTCAGTTCAAATCCAAAGGCCTGAGAACCAGGAGAGCTGGTGGCATAAGTTCCAGTCCGAATTCAAAGTCCCAAGAACCAGGAGAGCTGGTGGTATAAGTTCCAGTCTGAATTCGAAGTCCCGAGAACCAGGAGAGCTGGTGGTATAAGTTCCAGTCCAAATTCAAAGTCCTGAGAACCAGGAGAGCTGGTGGTATAAGTTTCAGTCTGAATTCGAAGTCCTGAGAACTTGGTGTGGGGAGAGGAGTGCAATGGTTTAAGTCTCAGTCCAAGAACCAGGCACTGATGTCCGAGGGCTGGAAAACATGCATGTCCCAGTTCAACAGGGAGCAGATTCCTCTCCCACTGCTTTTTTGTTCTATTCTGGCCCTCAGTGGGCTGGATGGTGCCTGCCCATATAGGGGAGGGTGATCTTTACTCAGTCCACCAATTCAAATGTTGATATCTTCCAGAAACGCCCTCACACACACACCCAGAAATCATGGTTCACCAGCTCTCTGGGCATCTCTTAGCCCAGTCAAGTTGACATGTAAAACTAACCACCACAATATACTACATAATGTAATATACATATAATGTCTATTGGTGGAGATCATTTAAAAATCAGAAACACAAAGCAATGCCTGCATTGCTGCCTGAAAAGAGGCACCTTGAAGAGGGGTTCCAGAAAGTAGCTCTAGTTGCATATCATATATCCTATGCCTGCCAGGATAATCTCACAAAGTGCTTCCTCCCGTGTTTTCCTGGGAAGGAAACCAGTGTGCCCTTCACAGTGGGGTGAACCTGTTGGTGCCTCCACAACCATCTCAGCCCCAGGGATTGTCTTGGGGCCATGACAGGTGAAGAGCACATGGCAGTTAGAGCTGGTACCAGTAGGCACAGGTTGCTGAACAGAGCAAAGTAAACCACGGAAACTACATCATCCAAACCCGAAACGCGGCAGGTTGGCCACAAATAGAGGGCTAATTTGAAGGACAATGAAATTTTAACTTATCCCCAGTGCCTACCATTTATTAGCGAATCTCAAGATAGCCGAGAACATTTATTCTTTTCACATCTATAGTAGCAATCCCCAGTCAACTCCAGACTAACCTGTTAAGTACCAGAGAATAAACATCACAGAGACGCTATAGCCTGGGCCAAATGGCCTGGCTCCAGAGTCTCCAGTAGTCTAGAACTACCCAACAGGAAATTGTTGCTGACATTTCTGAAGAAACCTCTTCACTTGGTTTTCTTTTTTATACATCTAGATCTTAGAAATGAAAACTCCTTGGACTCCCTGGCTGTCAAAGAGGCGGCTTGAACGTACTCAGCATCAGAAAATGAAACATTTGCTTTCACTGTCTGTTTCTTAGTGGAAGAATCACTCCATGGCTGTCAGTTGGCAGATCCATGGTTGCAGCTCTCTCATTCCATCCCTGGATATGGGCCATGAATGACTGACACCACCTAGGGTGGGCAATGGTGAGGTCAGTGGATTGCAGCTCTGCCCAGCAAAGCTAGAATTTGCACAGACCTGAACATCTTCCCTAGTCCCTCTTGAAGAGCCATTTCCAGTCCTAGTATTTCATATGCTGAGGGCATTGCTTGGTGTAATGACTGTCCTTGTCCCTTGACATCTTGTTTAGTTTGTCCTTGCATTCATATATGGAAACTAGGCATGGTCAGTTACACAGTGTTGTCAGCAGTAATATAGCCCTGCCCTGGAATGAACACATCCTTTTCCTGTTTTCTGCCACCCTAAACTCAACATATACTTGTGTTAGGCCACATTGTGCCTGGGGAGTCAACCATACAGAACATTCTTATAAAAACGTCTTCCCTGCACTGATGGGTTTAATCTGGAATATGTTGCATTCACTGTCATGGCTGGATTCTCTGTTTATTATTATAAGCATAATGATAGTATTTGGGTATTGTATTTATTTTGGCTTTTGACCTTTTTTCTGCTTGTTTAAGATAATCATATTTTTTTGTTTGCCTTTTAATTTTATAATCTTTTTGAATGGCCAATTTGTAAATATTTTGTAACTATGTTTACTGTGTTATTTCTTCCATAGTTTATATTTAAAAAACAAAAAAGATTCCCCTTCCAGACACCAGATAAGTGTTCAACTTTATTATAATTTGTTATTGCTTTTTTTTTTTTTTTTTTTTTGAGGCAGTGTTTTACTCCTGTCACCCAGCCTCAACTTCCCAGGCTCAAGAGATTCTCCCATCTCAGCCTCCCAAGTAGCTAGGGCTGCAGGTGCACACCACCATTCCTGGCTAATTTTTTGTATTTTTAGTAGAGACAGGGTTTTACCATGTTGCTCAGGTGCCAAGACCAGCTCAGTGGTGGAGACCCTAACCCAGCAGCGCTAGAGGAATTAAAGACACACACACAGAAATATAGCGTGTGGAGTGGGAAATCAGGGGTCTCACAGCCTCAGAGCTAAGAGCCTCGAACAGAGATTTACCCACATATTTACTGACAGCAAGTCAGTCATAAGATTTACTAAAAGTATTCCTTACGGGAAATAAAGGGATGGGCCCAAATAAAAGGATGGCACTGGCTAGTTATCTGCAGCAGGAACAGGTCCTTAAGGCACAGATCGCTCATGCTGTTGTTTGTGGTTTAAGAATGCCTTAAGTGGGCCGGGCGCGGTGGCTCACGCCTGTAATCCCAGCACTTTGGGAGGCCGAGGCGGGTGGATCATGAGGTCAGGAGATCGAGACCATCCTGGCTAACAAGGTGAAACCCCGTCTCTACTAAAAATACAAAAAATTAGCCGGGCGCGGTGGCGGGCGCCTGTAGTCCCAGCTACTCGGGAGGCTGAGGCAGGAGAATGGCGTGAACCCGGGAAGAGGAGCTTGCAGTGAGCCGAGATTGCGCCACTGCAGTCCGCAGTCCGGCCTGGGCGACAGAGCGAGACTCCGTCTCAAAAAAAAAAAAAAAAAAAAAAAAAAAAAAACAAAACAAAAGAACGCCTTAAGTGGTTTTCCGCCCTGGGTGGGCCATGCTGTCAAGGCCATCACAAGCATGTCACAGTGCTGCAGAGATTTTGTTTATGGCCAGTTTTGGGGCCAGTTTATGGCCAGATTTGGGGGCCTGTTCCCAACACTTAGGCTTGTCTCCAACTCTTCGGCTCAAGTGATCCACCCACCTCAGCCTCCCAAAATGTTGGGATTACAGGTATGAGCCACTGTGCCTGGCCAGCTTTGTGTTTTTTTGTTTTGTTTTGTTTTGTTTTTTAAGTAATTCTTTAATAGATCTGGGATTTATTTTAGTGTAAGATATAGGGAGGAGACCTATTTTTTTTTTTACTGTAACTAGGTAGTCCCTTCAAAATTTGAATATAAGACATCTATCTTTCTCTAATTTTTCACCAGACTTACCAAGTTTTCCTTACCAATGCTATAAAGTCAGACATGTGGCTAAACAATGTTCTTCATTCCAAATGGATGTGAATTCAATAACATCAGTCCTATTTAGAGGATTTTTAGATGCTCTTACCCAGAGTCAAAGATCAAGCTTTGCAAGGAGATGGCAAGATGGAGTAGGAACCCCCCTTTTCTCTGCCATGCTGCTTCACCAGGTCTCAGCTTCAGATCATGCAGGGCCTGGCAGATGGAACAGGGACTTCACCCAGAAGAGGAGGCACATTGGAATGACGGATGGCCTGCTCTCCCGTGGGCCCTGCCGAGCCTGGGCCTGCTCTGCTGAGATAAAGGGCACAGTGTAGGAAGCCTGGCCACATGCATCTCATGAGGATTTCTCCTTGTGGAAGCATTCTGAGTCTAGGGCGTGGCAGAGCCCACGGGTCCTCAATGGCAGCCCCGTTGGCTGTGTGATGTGTGACAGAGAAGTTTTCCTTGTTGAGTTTAACTTTGTTTGATGCCAGCAGGCAGCTCAGAGAGAGAGAGGCTTGTTGTTTAATCATCCTAGAAGGGGCAGTGTCCCCACCCCTCCCACTGTGTGCAGTCACTCCTGCCTCCCCCACCCCTGGCTTCCTGCAGAGCCTGCCTGCATTCGTGAGCCCTGTGTCTTCTGCCTAGGCCTTTGCTTTTACTTTGAGAGAAATCTTTCTGACTCCACTGTGTCCTTTCTTCCTTTGGGGTCTTTGTGCTGAGTGAATAGATTCCAGGTTTGCTTTCATCAACTCCCTGAAACTCTTTGGTGCTCACACTGGCTGTAGCTATTGGAGGCTGTAACGGGGGAGAGGTGGGCAATGGAGATGTGAACCCCCAAAATCTCAGACAGGTCTCAGTTAATTTAAAAAGTTTATGCCAAGGTTGAGGGCATGCACCTGTGACAGCCTCAGGAGGTCCTGACAGCATGTGCCCAAGGTGGTCAGGGGACCGTTTGGTTTTGTACATTCTAGGGAGACATAAGACATCAATCAACATATGTATGATGAACATTGGTTCAGTCCGGAAAGGTTGGACAACTCGAAGCAAAGGTGGGAAGACTTTCCAGTCTTCAGCGGGGAAGGGGCTTCCGGGTCATAGGTAGATGAGAGACAAATGGTCGCATTCTTCTGAGTTTCTGACTAGCCTCTCCAAAGGAGGCAATCAGATCTGCATTTATCTCAGTGAGCAGAGGGGTGACTTTGAATAGAATGGGAGGCAGATTTGCCCTCAGCAGCTCCCAGCTTGACTTTTCCCTTTAGCTTAGTGATGTGGGGGCCCCAGGATTTATTTTCCTTTCACAGAGACATTCTTTGTAACATTTTCCCTGTGAATCATTTTGCTTTTCCTCCCTACATTCATTCTCCTCTGCTGCAGAGCCAGGGTAGTAGATACAAGAGCTCCATTCGGCAATCTCCAGCTTGTGTTGAGAGCATCCTAATGACGTCACGCCGATGCTGATATGAGATTTTGCCCTTCAGAGTGTCCTCTCTGGTGCATAACTGCAGTCATGGTTAATAAAACAAGCTCTCTTCTTTTTATCTACATCAGGAACTATTTTTTCAAGAATGAATGGATAAAATGTTTTAATAAGAAAGTATATCAGAGCTTCTAAAAGTCACACCAAGGGGTTACAGAGATGCTGACTTCACTCACCCACCACATCACAGACCCAGCTGCGGGCCCCTCCCGGGGGATGAGCGATGTCCTCATCACATCGTCCCTGATGAATCGGCCATGAGTCATGCAACTCCACCAGCGGCCTCCTGCAGTCCCCACCTGGTGGACTGTCTTGAGCATCTGCTGCCACCAAACACTTCTTTCACATTTCCTGATTTCTCTGTCTGTCTCCTCCAGGTCTTCCCACTGTGGACCACATCATGGTGCATCCTCTCTCCCTCCTTCCCCAGAACAACAGTAACCCTACCGAGGTCCTCACCATGGTTCTACTCTCATCCTACATATCCTCCAGTGGTCCTTGGGCACCCTTGGCTGCTGCTGTGGGGTGGGCGTTCGCATCTGTATTTCCAGCAAAGCTCCAAACCAAGTCTTTTCCTGAGCCCTGCATGTCCCCAGCACTCAACAGGCCGAGAATGCAGGTGGCCTCTTCTCTCCCTGCCCACCACCTGACTTCTCTCCTGGCTAATTTCTCCACCAGTCGCCCAGGCAGAGGGCTAGGATGATGCAGCTCCCTTCTTTTTATTCTCAGCAGCTGAGAGGTCCTGAGGTCTCAGTTCTCCCTCCTCCAGGCCAGATCTGTCCCTCTGCAGGGCTGGATAGCAGTATCCTTTTGCCCCATTCTAGCCACGTTGTCCATTCCAGCCATGTTGCTATTGCATCCTCCACATGACCTCTTAAATCTAGAGGCCCTAAACATGTGCTGTGTGAAAGTCCTGTCCATGGTCTCTTGGCTCCCCAGGCCCCCATGTCCCTGCCCGCAGGCCTCATCAGTGTGGCACTGCAGCTCTGTGCGCCAGCCCACTGGCATCCCTGAGGGTACCCCAGCTGCCACCCTACAGGGCCATCCCTTGGCCTGTATCCTCCTGCCCAAGCACCTGGAGGCTCCCGGGTCCCCTGTAAGGCTTAGCCCCTCCTCTGTGAAAACCTCCCAGGCTGTTTCCAGTTCCCCCAGCATGCACAGGTCCCCCAGCACACAAGAGGTGGGACTGGTCACCCTCTGGTGGCCCCTTGCTGCCATCACCACAGGGCATCTCCCCACTGGGCTCTCACTTCCTGGAGGGCAGAGCCTGCCTCTTCACATTCCAAACACCTGGCACAAAGAAGACTGAGAAGTAGTGATGGGAAAGGAGTGGGCCAGGAGAAGAGGTGGGGGAGGAAGGAATTTGAGGCCAAGCGGCAAGAATTGTGACCTCACCATTCAGCTGTCTGATTTGCAAAAGGGCTAGGAAGACCGAGCCTACCTTTGCTCCCACATCTCCCCACAATCCGCGATCCTATGGCCTATTTTCCAGTTCACCTACATAGAGAAGAAAAACTACTCTGACCAGCACGCAGAATCCAGATCACTAAGACATGAACTCACAAATGATAAACAGGAGCGGGTGCAAGACTAAATTCTGCAGGAGAGCCTTCTGAAAATGTTTGCACACAATGACTACAATCAGAAAGGAAGAAAAGAATCTCTAAACTCCGGGGTCATTACTCTAGAGAGAAAATCATAGCCAGGGGTACAAAATTGTATTCTTTGAAAGTGTTCTGCGCTATCCTGGCTTCTGAACACAGTGCTCCACTTTAACGACTGGGACAGTGGTTTCCATTCATGGCCCCTCTCATTAAATCTCCTTCAGCCCAGGTTGCTTGCTTCCCCCTTTTCCTCCCCAGCGTTTGTCTTCTGTGCCACAGTCCATGCTGCCCCTGTGTCCAGTGAGGACAGTGCTCACATGCTGGCTGGGACGTACGCCAGGCCTTCACCCAGTGGAGCGGGGCAGGCAGGGGTCTCCTTCCTCCAGGCTACCAGGAGCTACCTAACTTTAAGCAATACTTTTTACTGCAGTGAGCATGTTTCCTCTTCTGTAAGAACATGGGGTTGAATTGCATGCTCCCCAAGGTCTTTTAAGCAATAAAATCCTGATTCCGTTAGTTGAGGCAGAAGAAGGACCTCCTGTGTCCCCTTGGGCAGAAGTGATAAGCAGTCGCTCCCGCACCCTCCACCTTGGTGTTTTGGTCTCAAGGGATTAGGAACTGCGAGGACCACTGGGGAAGGAGGTGCTGAGGTTTAGGGGAGACACTAGTATCCCCCAGCTCTGCCCACAGCACTGCCTGCTGGGTGCCTACTCGATGCCTGTCTAGACTCTAAGGCAAGCTTGTCCAACCCACAGCTTGTGGGCTACATGGGGCCCAGGATAGCTTTTAATGCAGCCCAACCCAAATTCGTAAACTTTCTTAAACGATTATGAGATTTTTTGTGATGTTTTGAAGCTCATCAGCTATAGCTAGTGTTAGTGTATTTTATGTGTGGCTCAAGACAGTTTTTCCGGTGTGGCCCAGGAAGTCAAAAGATTGGACACCCCTGCTGTAAGGAATGTCACAGGACCACGGTGATGACAAGGGTCTGGGGTTAGAAGAGGGATGGGCAGAGCAGTGGAACAGCAAGGAGAGATCAGAAAAAAAGAAAAAGAAAAAAAGGGGATCTGAGCATATAATAAAGGTGTCACTGCAATGACACCTGAAGCGGCACAGTGTGGGCGGGCCCCGTGTTGTTGTGGCACACACATCACTGCACAGGTTTCTTAGGCAGCCCCAGGAGGGGGAGCCATCTCATCCGGTTTGTATATGAGGAAACCAAAGCCAAGAGTAGGGCACAGTGACACTGACAGTGAGCTGGGTTGCAGGGCCATACACCACGGTCACCACCTGGGCCCCCGGAGACAGTATTACAGACCAAACGGGAAAGCAAAACTGTCCCAACACCAAAGACAAAGGTGGACTTCAGACAGCCTGAATCCTAGGTGTGAGTATTAAAACCAGGAGTTGAGACAGTGAAACTCAGGGACCCAGGAATGAGGAAGGACTTTCTCTTTTTAACTGTGGTAAGACATATATAACATAATATTGATCATTTTAACCATTTGTAAGTGAACAGTTCAGTGACATCAATACATTCACAATGTTGTCCTCACCAATGTTATACCCAAAATCTTTGTATCATCCCAGGTGGAAACAATGACTTCCCATTCTCCCCCTTCCAGCTCCTGTTCACCACGATCCTGCTTTCTGTCTCTCTGATTCTGGCTACTCTGGGCAACTCTTATAAGTGGGATCCTACAATAGTTGTCCTCTTGTGTCTGGCTTATTTCACTTAGCATAATGTCCTGAGGTTTCATTCATACTGTGTGTTAGAATTTTACTCTTTTTTAGAGCTGAATAATATCCCATTGTGTGTGTGTGTGTGTTTGTGTATGTGTGTGTGTATTTACTACAGCATCACATTTTGTTCATCCATCTGTTGATGGACACTTGGGTTGCTTCCTCCTTTTCTGTTGTAAATAATGCTGCCATGAACATGGGTGGATGAACCCGTTCAAATCCATACTTTCAGTTTTTTTGGATGTGTATCCTGTGAGCAGAGTTGCTGGGCTGCATGGTAATTCTACTTCTTTGTAAGGAACTACCAAGCTATTTTCCTCAGTGACTGCACCATTTTACACTGTCATCAGCAATGCATGATGGTTCCAAGTTCTCCACATCCTCCCAGTTTGTAATTTTCTATTTTCTTTTTATTATTGCAGCATTCTTGGTGAAGAATTTCTTAAATAAAACTTTAGCAGTATGTATCACAAGTCCTAAATATGGATAAATTTAAATACCTGGCCCATGATACAATACTGATCATATTTGTCCCAATAGCAATGTTTGAAGAAATTTTCTCCCATCGCTCATGGGGCTGTGTGAGGTCCCGGATACTGCCCTGGGTGTAGCAGCTTGCCCAGGGGAATGCTAAAGCTGTTTTTACTCAAGTGGTGCTCTTTGTTTGTTCATTTGTTTCTGCATCAAAACTAATTACATCTGTATTCCCAGATGGCCACACTTGAGATAGTGTGAGCACTAAGAAGAATATGTAGCTGTTGTAACACACTAAATTCAACAGAAAGTACATGGTCCATGGTTATCTTCATGGAGAGGGAGAGAAGGAATCTTCCTCTTGATTTCCAGTTCCATCAGAAATGTGACCATGGCTGTTCTTTAGCCCTGAATGATTCAGGCAGGGATCACGTATGTATGCTCACACCATTGGATGAAGGATTGTTAGGGAACCCGCAGGTCACTCTATGCCAGATATCAGCCCACAGGTTCTTGTTACAAAGGGACATGAAGACCTTTTCCATGGAGAGATGGTGACCTGCCACCTCAACCACACATCACGTTTAGCATCACACAGAGAGGGTGAGCCCAGCAGGCACCCCCTGATCTGAGGCAGGCTAAAGTACAGGCATCACCTGGTGACCAAAATCATTTAGCCCCAATCTTATCACGCCTCCAGTTTACAAGAAATACAAGAGTTTTAGAAAGCAAATGAGCAACCATCAGACGAACCCAGAATGTGGAACATTCTACAGACGAAAACTGACCTGGACTTCCCAAAAAGTCCACGAAAAAATACAGGGCGAGGGAAATAGGTATGGGACCATTGTCTTCTAGGAGCAAAACAAAGACATTTAACAACCAATATAATTGAACTGGATCCTAGGTCGGGAAAACGACGTGGAGGGGAGGACTGAATATAGATTGGATGTTAGATGTTTCATGGAGTGATTGTTGGCTTTCCTATGTGGCACAGTAGGTGTTAAAGTTATGCTAAGAGACTGTCTTTATTCTTAGGAGACACCTGCACATGCACCTCAGAGTAACATGTCGTGCTGCCTACAATTTTTTGGAGAGCTAGAGATGCATATATATATATATATATATATATATATATATATATATATATATATATATATATATGAGAGAGAGAAAGCAAATGTATTAAAACGTAAGCAGTTGTTAAATCTAGGATTATTGTACAACTTTTTCAAGTTTTGTATATGTTTGAAATTTTTTAATGAAAAGTTGGCGGGAATTATATCTAGTATTTCATGTTCAGTGTTCCTCAGAACTCTTATTTCCTGCCTCATGAAAGCCTTTATCTTTTTACTTTGCAGTTCGGGACCGAGTGAGATCGAAGATGGAGAGAGACATCTTGGCAGAAGTGAATCACCCCTTCATTGTGAAGCTTCATTATGGTAAGTAGAGTCAAAATGACACTTTAAAGAGGACCCAGGGCAACCTTCTCCAGATCAAAGAAAATTGAAAAAGAAATAACAGATCAGAAAGAAGAAAATCTTTCCTATACCATAGAGTCCTGCCCTGCCTGGGGAGGAAGGTGCCTTCTATCCTGATCACTTAATCTCTTCTGTATTTATTTTCTTTGAAAGAGCAAGAAGCCCTGTTTTCATCTCAAAGATCTAATTTTAGATGGGGTATCCATTATTAAATTATTACCATACCATTGATAATTTAGAAGATCTTAACCTAGATTGGGGTGAATCTATGACTTATTTTTGTGTTGTTTTAGAATAAAATACTCTATGACCCAATAATTTCTTTAAACCAGAAATGGTAACACCTCATTTCAAATGAATATCATGTTTAAAGATAGTAGTTCGTTGAACCCTCAAAACTTCTATTCAAGGTAGCTTATTATTTTCATGTTCTGAGGCTCAAATAATTAACCAAAGGCCACATAGCTGCTTTGCCACACAACTTCTCTTCATTTGCTGTCTGCCTTTTTATCCCAACAGAGAAGCAGTAAGTGAAATCTTCAAATTTAAAAAAGATGTGATGAGATGGTGGCTGCAGATTCATGGCTTATTACATTAAACTTTCCCACCTAATAATCCAGATGAGCAAAGTACAGAAGGGAACAGCAACAAAACTAATAGTTTGTTCTTGGTTGCAAAGGGCAAGGTGGTGTGTCGGGGAGGTGTTAGTGAGATTTGCGTGAATCTGAGGACAGGATGAAGGAGGCCTGCAGAAGCTGGGCACACCCTGCTGTTCCTTCTCGGCCGTGGGCAGCGCAGTTGCAAACCTCTACCTCCCGGCAGAGGAGGCTGCAGAGGCTGGCTTTCCAAAACTCTGCCCCCTCCGCTGCTGCCAAGTGGCTGGTGTCAAGTCCCATCCCACGTGTCATTTACATTACTTGCTAGGGTGCTTTTCTGAAGAAATTGAGAACTGGGTGTCCTACAAAGAGCTTTAAACAGACCTCCACATCACCTCAGTGGTGACCCAGCACCTCCACCTGCCTGCCAAGCCCAGGATGGAGCATTTAATGCACACTCAGTTTACACAGTCCTGGCAGAGGGCTTTCTAGCTGGGGGCTATGTTTCTAAAACCCCCACATTTATGATGCTTCTAGCATTTACTTTTAGAAAATAAAACGTTTTCTAGTATGCAGGGATATTGGGATCCCTTCCAGCCACACTTCCTTTGTAGATAAAAAAGATGCCACGCGGTGCCTCACCAGTGCCACTGCAGCAACCATCGTCACAGCAGCGATGGTGACGGGCTTCTCTAGACCCTCCCGTGCTCATGCGCCCGCTCAACAGAGGCAGGCCCTTGCTGAGTGTGGGCAGGAGCTGTGTAGCCTGCCTGTGGCCTGAAACAGAAAGTCTGCAGTTATAGCTCACAGTGACCAGACCTAGGACGTGAGCCCCATTGTTGATGTTCAAATAACTGGGCTGACCTATCACCAGAACTGCCTCAAGAGAGGAAGGCAAGCGGGGGGCTCCCTGGTACCAGAGTGGAGTTCTGTAAGAAGAAGGCACTTCCATAGGACGGAAAGGACATGTCCTCCAAACCCACCAGAGCCATCTTCAGGCTGCTCACTAATGCATTACGACAAAAGCCAGCAACGATACCAGCTTAAATATTCACATCTTTCTCCCCGTGTATCTTTCAATTCCTTTGTGATTAAAAAAGGGAGGGAGGGGAGAGGAAAGAAAGATGAAAGAAATCTCAAGGCCCCCTAACGACAGTGAGAGAGGGGCAGCGCTCACAGTGTCAGACCCCCTCTGCCGGGTGCTGCCCCTCTGAGCTGGTCACCAGCCGGGGTCCTGCCGTTTCTCAAGTGACTCAGCCTCCCGGAGTAAGCAGCACCGTGAGCAGGGAGAAGCCAGAGAGCGATGTTGCCACAGGACATTCGACAAGCTGTCAAAATGCGGGTCTCTGTCCCCCACAGCCTTTCAGACGGAAGGAAAGCTCTACCTGATCCTGGACTTCCTGCGGGGAGGGGACCTCTTCACCCGGCTCTCCAAAGAGGTGAGCAGCCGCCACATCACACAGGAGGGCGGGCAGGAGCTTCTGTCTGGGACTCGAGGGGAGGAGGGGTGGAGAGCATTGAGAGGACGTGAGCACGTGCGAGAGTGCGTGTGTGTGTGTGGGGGTGTGTGCATGTGTGAGTGTGTGCAAGAGTGCGTGTGTGGGAGAGGTGTACATGTGTGAGTGTGTGCAAGTGTGCATGATGTGTGGTGGGGGGTTGCGAGACTGCATGTGCATGTGTGGGGTTTGCATGGGGGCTGTGTGAGTGCATGTGCGTGATGTGTGGGGTGTGTATGTGTTTGAGTGCGTGTGTGGGGGGGTGTGCGTGGTGTTTGGGGTTGTGTGTGCATGGTGTGTGGGAATGTGAGTGTGTGTGCATGTGGGGTGTGCATGTGTCATGTGATAAGTGTGTGGTATGTGTGTGATGTGTGCTGTGTGTATATGTCAGGCGTGTGATTTGTGGTGTATGTGATGTGTGCTGTGTGTGATGGTGTGTGTGCTATGTGTATATGTGGGGGTGTGTTTGGCATGCTGTGTGCATGTGTGGGGTTGGTGTGCGTGGTGTGTGCTATGTGTGGGGTGTGTGGTGTGCTTTGTGCATGTGTGCATATGCAGGGTGTGTGTATGTGTGGGGTGTGTTTGTGTGTGGGTGTGTGTGTGCTATATGTGGTATGTGTGGTATGTGCTTTGTGTGGTGTGGGGTGTCTGTGTGTTTGACATCCTGTGTGCCTATGTAGGGTGTGTGTATGTATGAGTTGTGTGTGTGTGCTGTATGTGGTATGTGTGGTGTGTGCTATGTGTGATGTGGGGTGGGTGTGTGTGTGTGTGTGTGTGTTGGGTGTGCTGTGTGCATTGCTGCCTGGTTCTAAGGAAGCTGCACAAGTGGCCCTAGCAATCGTCCCAGGTGGCCCTGGCAGCGCCCCTGCAGCTCTGGGACCATAAGTCACGCTGTTGACCTCCCAGCTAGCGCAGATGGAAGGCGCAGGTCGGTGGGTAGGAGCGGCTGGGAAAGACTCTCACAGGGTCTCACTTTCCATCCTGGGAAGAGGGAGGGAAGAGGGAGGTACTGCTAAGCCGGCTGAACATTGGGGCTGTTCGGGAGCATCGGGTGTGGTCTTCGCACGCCACCTTTGTCTCACAGCCGCTACTGCACACCCCAGGGCTTCTCCTTGACCTCCAGTGCCTTAGGTAGGAACCCTCCAGGATGCAACTTCACTGCACCCTGAGAGCCCCGTGGCCCTGATTGACGTGAAAAGCACCCCGCTTCATGGGATGGCAAAAGGCAGATTCTGCCCATGGCAGTGCCAGTGCCGGGCTTTCCGTTCTGACGATCCTGCTTGTTCATCTCTTATACAAAGGAGTGGCCGAGGTGCTTTCACAGCAACAGTGGCCTTCACACCCCCCACTCCCTTTTCCCCACCTTCCCCCTTTTCAGCAGGAGACCCCGCTGTCTTGCACAAAGCCCCAAATGAACAGTAAACCAAGGCAGAGCTGCTCCTGAATCGGGCGCAAAGGGTCCCAGAGACCATGGCTGCCCTGTCCCTCTGCGTCCAGCAGTCCCTTGGACAGTGGTGCACGTTTCTGTGGGGCTCCTTGCATGGAGGAAAAACAGTGGGCCGGGAGAACCTGATCCAAGCTCTACACAAAGGCCTTTGGGAACTGGCGTCTGGCCCCTTCCTTTGCCTCCTGCTGTGTGGCCATTTCCAAAGATGCTGGAGCCTGGTGTCTGCCCATTCCTCATGTGGTATCATCTGTTGGTTTGTCCACTCCCCTCTCATCCACAGGGAGTCAGTCCATTTGGGGTCCAGTTTTGTCCAGCAGCTGCTATGACACGCCTGTGGTTGGGCCCCCTGACCAAAAAGACAACAGTAATCAGCAAAAAGTCCTGCAGCTCCCCACGTGGGAATGTGTGCCTCCCCCGAGGGCCTTCATTTCGGAGTAGGAGGGAAGTTGTCCAGGGCGGGCACCACAGATTCGTGGAGTTGCTGGGAACCTGCGGAAAGTCTTTTCCTTGGGTCCTCATTCAGCAAGTATGGGGTCCAGCATCTTATGGGGACCGTCGCTGTGCCGGCGAACCTGCAGAACTCACCTTGGGTCGTCATTTAGCAAGTACGGGGTCCAGCATCTTACGGGGACCATCGCTGTGCCGGTGAACCTGCAGAACTCACACCGTGAGGTGTTCCCTTTCTATGGAGAAACTTCCTGCTATTGTCCTTGGGGGTTACACTAAGAGCTAGGGGAGTGGAAAGACAGGTTTGCCTCTGAGCCCTAAATTGTACACAAAACCCATGGTGGGCCACGTGTGGATATGTCAAGTCAGAGGAAAGAACCAGGCCACTAGCAGAACGTGCTGTCAGTCAGTCCACTGAGCACCTTAACCGATCTAGAAAAGAAACATACATCCGGGAAAGGCGCTGGCCAAGCGTGGAATGGAGGACGGGGACTCGGGGGGCCGGTGGGTGGCTGGCACCCACCAGTCACTGTCAGGATGCAGAGCCTGCGTGTCCAGCCCTGTGGAAGAACCCCCTGTGTGAAGCGGGTGCCCGGCTGTCGGCCTGACGCCACTCACCGTTCAGGTCCCCTGGCTGCCCTTCTAATTTTGTGTTTGCCGGGCAGCCTTCTGGCTGCGTGCTGATTTTTCACGTCTGCTTACCGGAGAGAATTCAGTAATCATGTGGACTTGTAGTCTCCATAACATTGATTTCTCCTGACGAATATAGAAAATGGCTTGTGGTCATGATTTTGCTTCCTCTTAAGGGGGTCTACAAAATCTATGTGCTGATTCTAACAAGTCGGGGGTGGGGATGAGTCATTATGGGGCGATGGCTTTGGAGTCTGTTGGGCTCCGAGGCCTCATGCATGTTTCGGCTGGCCTGAGTGAGCCCCCGGGACATGGACACTTAGGCCATCCCTGCCTGGTCACCTCCCAGCCCTGAGCTGTCCCAGCTACGTGGGATCCCGGAATGTGGCTGCCAACCCCAACACCTGGAAACCCCTCCCCATCCCGCCCCCTCAGCTTGGGGCACCCATAGCCAACTCTGTACCACCTGTGGGTGATCTTTGGTAGAACTAATCCCACTTTGGGTTGACAGCAGGTTACGTAGGCTACTAGTTTGCATCAACCCAAGGAGTGGAGATAGATAATCCATGGGGAAAGAATGATATTTGAGCCCCATTTTCAGTCACCTCATCAAGCCCTCAGCGTCTTACTTGTATTACATTTGTTATGAATTCACATGAGCAGCACTCATGCTAGAATGTAAACCCAGAAACCTACTCCAGAGCCAAATGATTTGCAGGGGTGAGAAGGACACAGAGAGGAGAGGCTGAATCTCAGCACCCCACTCTCAAGGCGGCATGAGTCACCTGTGCAGGAAGCCCTCGTCTCCATCCACTGATCTTGGAACTGCAGAGGGAACTCACTTTTCCATGAGAAGAGTCAGAAGACCACTCTGGGGGGCCATAGCGTTCCACAGAGCAAACTGACCCCAGTGTGGACTCTCAGTCTCTCTGGCAGAGTTCTTTAAAACACACCAGCCATAAAACAAGTTAAACGTTTTTTGTTTTTGTTTTTGTTTTTTTCTTACTAGGTCATGTTCACGGAGGAGGATGTCAAGTTCTACCTGGCTGAGCTGGCCTTGGCTTTAGACCATCTCCACAGCCTGGGGATCATCTACAGAGATCTGAAGCCTGAGAAGTAAGTGAGAAAAAACTAGGGCTGACTTCCCCACGCCCATCAGCTCCATGTATTTTCCTGGCCCATGTTGGTAGCCACTGCTAGATATTTATTTCCTAAATGAGGACATATCAGAGAGCAGGCTGGGGAGACTCTTGTGCCGGCAGGACCGGCTCAGGCATCAGGTGCCCAGATGCAGGTGTGGCCTTGCTGATTTGCATAGGAAATGCCCAGGCCCATTCTCACCTGACACTCATAACGCCTGAGGGAGGCCAGGCTCAGGTGCATGTCTGTGATGCACGGGAAGCCGGAGCTGGGGAGGGGCACGCCCACGACCCTGACCCACATTCCCGCCCTCTCTCCTGGGTGAGGCTCATCTGGCCACTGGGGACCATCTCAAACATGGCTGCCTCCAGGGCAGTTTCTCCTCCTCTCTCATCTCTTCCCTACTGTCCTCCAGATTCAGGAAGCCCTTTCATCTACTTCAGCAAGTCCCAGGAATGTGGTCAATGAACCTCTACTCAGTTACTTGTCAGCCCCACCTCTAGGTCCCCAGTCAGAACAGCTCTCCCAAGAACTTACCTAAAAGACAACGGCCCCAGAATTCTCAGACCCAGAGTCCACTGAGATTTGTATATCCTTGGCAGTGGTGACCTGTGAGGCTATTATTTCTACGATATTTTGCTAATCTATTCTAGATTTTTGAACAGTAAAGTCCCTCCAAAATAATAGTGTTCCCATTTTCATTTTGTTGTTGTTGTTTTTACATATTCTTTGTAGACCTGACACATAACTAGGAGTGATCCACTTAGAAAAGAAGAGATTTGGAGGATGGTATTTTAGGTTGAGTTGACCTCAGCAGTATCCCTGAGGTGATCACTCACTCTTCCCTGCCCTGAGGGGCCGATTAATGCCACCCACCCAGACCAGGGCCCATAGCCGCCCCTAGATGAGGCATCACCTGTGGCCTGGTGGGACCGACCGGCCTTGGGTACCACCAGAGAGCCCCGTGCCTGTGAGCTAAGACCAAGGGGGGGCCCTGGGGTCTGCAAACGCGTCCCAGTTGCTACTCCACATTCCTGCCCTGTCACCTGCATGGAACTGAGAAAAGACAAGCCCTGCTCCGAAGCTGGTGTTGTTAGATGCAGCTGTCATCTATGGGAAACAGCTGGGTTTACCCAGAAACCAGGTCACATCCCATATCCACTGCAGGATGCAAAATGCATTTGCCCATGTGCTTGATGATCTGACTTCACCACCAGTCCGTGGAACGCCACAGGCACACATGTGAGTTGAATACGTGTGTAAATACAGCTGGAGCATCCCTCATCCGAATCTGAAATGCTCCAAAATCCAAAACTTTTTGAGCCCCAATGGGACACCCCCCAGTGGAAAATTCCACACATAAGCACTTAACACAAACGTGGTTTCATACACAAAATTATTTAAAATATTCTATAAATTAGCTCCAGGTGATGTGTAGAAGGTATATATGAAACATAAATGAATTTTGTTTCATTTCAGACTTGTGGCCCATCTCCAAGATATCTCATTATATATAAGTAAATATTGCAAAATCCCCAAATCCTAAACACTTCCGGTTTCAGGCATTTCAGATAAGGGATGCTCAACGTAGAATCAAAAAAGACTTTATCCAGAGTAATCCCATGAAGAGAGCAGCCTCCGCAGCTGCTGTCTCCCCACAAGAGCAGCAGCACAAGGCCAGATTTCCATTTCAAAGTGGGTCTGACCTAGAACCCCGTGGTGCTCTGAGCCCTGGGAGTCCCCTTTCGCCTCTCCTTAATTGGGAGGTGATTGCAGAGCCTGGCCTGTCACCTTGGGTCGTTGCCAAGGTCATCCCAGAAGTTAACCTGGTATTAATTACCCTCCAAGTCGGAGTGCCGTGTTGTGAGTCTGTGTGGACGTTGCCACTCCTCCTCCTCGTGCGGCCCTGGCTGTTGACGCCTGTGTGTTAGACACACTCCCCGTGCATCCACTCAGGCCGGGAGTGCCGGTTCTCATTGCTCCTGAAGGTCAGCGTGATCCTTACAGCTAAAAATAGCCTTATTTAATTGCAAGCTTGAAGGAAAAGGTTGTGTTGTTCAACTAGAATTATTAGAGAATTAATCTTGAAAGGTGCTTAATTCTGGGCAAAGATTGAATATGCCCAAAAGGCAAAGATGAAAAGATTTGCCTTGTTCATTATAAATTGTCATCTTAATTACATGCTGTAACTTTTCCTTCCCATTTCCAGAAAATAGTGGTTATTTTTTTAACTCTGTGGCAGATTTTTTTTAATTGTAGAAAAATACACATGACTTTTACAGTTTTCACCACGTTTAAGTGCCCAGTTCAGTGGCATTAAGCACGTTCCCATTGCTGGGCCCCCATCCCCACCGTCCATCTCCAGAACTGTTTCATCTTGCAGAACTAAAGCTCTGTCCCCCTGCACAGTAGCTCCCCAGCCCCCGGCACCCGCCATCCACTTTCCATCTCTGTGACTCTGGCCCCTCTAGGGACCATACATTTTATATTTGTAAAATCATATAATACCTGTCGTTTGGGGACGGGCTTATTTAATCGAGCATAATGTCCTCCGGGCTCCTCTGTGCTGTAGCAAGTCAGGCTTTCCTTCCTTTCACAGGTTTCTATAAAGGTATCACAGATTAATCCTCCAAGCCTTGCCTTTGTTTCTTTCCAGCCCACTTCCTGGTCTCTTTAGGGCTAGGCTGGTACCTCCCAGCATCTGGAAGAACAGGATTTAATTACAGCCAAATAAATAAATGGGGAAAGTTTAGGGCCACAGGTGTGTCAAGGTATCACAGCCCAGACTCCCGCCTGATGTTCAGGGAAGAAGGGATTTATGCCTGCACCCAGCCCTTTACGGACCCTGCCTCCATTCTCTATGCAGGGTTCACCCCACGGCAGGATACCTGGGAGGAGCAAAGGCAACTGTCACGTCCGGCACATGGCGTGACAAGGGCTTGGCAGGGAACAAGACAGGGACCCAGTGGCCCGCAGGGGTGCCAAGCCGGGAGCAGGTCTCATCACAAGATGTACCTGCTGAAGCCCGAAGCTCCTCGATGCCTTGGCCCCCGCTTGTGCAGGCCTCACCTGGGTGGGTCTGGAGAGCCAGGGCAGGGCTCAGGGGAGGATACATGGGAGAAGAAGGGGGTCTTTGGACATCAAGGGCATCCCGAGTGCAGAAACATTCCATCTGCGAGGCTCTGGGTCTCCACAGGCCACAGCAGTCCCAGGACGCTCTCCACCTATGCTTTGCGCACAGCAGTCTGGAGGGCTCTTAGACCTTCCCTGGGGACCCACGAATATCTAAAGCCAGCAGTCCTCCAGCTGCACGAACACACATCCCTTTATCCAGGAGGTGTGGCACCAAATGCTTTCTCGAGCTGGGAGCTGTGGAGAAGCGAGGCAGGATGGGAAGGCCCACCGCACAAGCCGTGGGGATCTCCTGGGCCAGCTCCATCAGGGCTCCCTGAAAACGTCCGCCCCCAGCTGCCCCGCAGCTCTCCTCTGAGCTCTGCGTGCCCGTCGGCAGGCTGGGTCTCTTTCTAAAGCATCTGTTTTCTCTCCCTTTCTTTTAGCATCCTCCTGGATGAAGAGGGGCACATTAAGATCACAGGTTTGTAAAAGACGGCAGGCCCCCTCCATGGCTTCATCTCAGCCCTGGTACCTTTGGGGACCACCTCAAAGCCCAAGCCCTCTTATTTACACCGCCCTTCCCTTTGCCAGATGCTTGTCTCTGATTTGGCAGAATTTTCTATAGCTACAGACTGCTTATGGCATTGTATGTCTTCATAACGTCCAGACCCATGCAGCTTCCCGGTGGCCCCTTCTTTTCCCTCTCCCCTGCCACGTTCTGTTTGCTGGGCTCCTTCAGCGTCGCTGGGTGTTTAGTTCAGGAGTCCCAGTGCCCAGTGCTGACCTTAGTGCAGACATCTGGAGTCTTGCTGGAGTGTAGCCTGCAATGTGGGCCTTGCAGATGCCCAGTGCCAACCTGAGGGCAGACATCTGGAGTCTCGCTGGAGTGCGGCCTGCACTGCTGCCCTCACTGATGCTGTCCCTGCCTCCTTCTCACTCCCTGGACCGTGGTGGTGGCCACGTGACTTCCCTCCCTGTTTCCATCTGAGCCCTGGCAGCCACCAGCAAATTCAGTCAAACTGGCAACAGCTCCTCTAGTCTCAGGACACCCCATTTGTATTAGTTCCCTATAGCATCTGCAACAAAATGCCAGGAACATCGGGGCTTTAAACCACACAAACTTATCACCTGACAGGTCAGGAGGCCCCAAGTGTGAAATAAGTCTCCCAGGAATGAAATCAAGGTGTCAGCAGGGCTGCCTGCCTTTTGGGGGCCTCTAGAGGAGACTCCCTTGCTTAGCTTCTTCCAGCTAGTAGAAGCTGCCCGCAGTCCTTGGCTGGGCTGCGTCCCCCATGGTGGAAGCCAGCAGGCAGCATCTTCCAAGCTCTCTGACTGCATCTTGCCTCCCTTCCTAACCTGAAGACCCTTGCAATGGTGTTGGGCACACCCAGAAATCCAGGGTCATCCCCTATCTCCAGATCCTCAATGGCATCTGCAAAGTCCCTGTGTTAGTCTGTTCTGAAAGTCCCTGTATTAGTCTGTTCTGAAAGTCCCTGTATTAGTCTGTTCTCAAAGTCCCTGTATTAGTCTGTTCTCAAAGTCCCTGTATTAGTCTGTTCTGAAAGTCCCTGTATTAGTCTGTTCTCAAAGTCCCCATGTTAGCCTATTCTCACACTGCTAATAAAGACATACCCAAGGCTGGGTAATTCATAAAGGAAAGAGGTTTAATGGACTCACCCTGTTCCACCTGGCTGGGGAGGCCTCACAATCATGGCAGAAGGAGAAGGAGGAGAAAAAGCACGTCTTACATGGCAGCAGGCAAAGAGAGAGCATGTGCAGGAGAACTGCCCTGTATAAAACCATCAGATCTCGTGAGTCTTATTCACTGTCACGAGAATAGCACTGGAAAAACCCACCCCCATGATTCAGTTACCTCCCACTCTGTCCCTCCCACGACACGTGGGGATTCTTACAATTCAAGGTGAGATTTGGATGGGGACTCAGCTAAACCATATCAGTCCCTTCTGCCACATAAGGTGGCCCATTCCCAGGCTCAGGGGCAAGGACATGGCCTCTCTGGGCACTGCTGCTCTACCCACTGGCTGGGCCTGCCTTGGCTCTATTTAGCCACGCTCTGTCATCCCCAAGACTTGGGGGCCCTGAGCCAATGCACTCTTGTTCTTTCCAGCCCCGGGGCCACTTCCTTCAGAAGCCCCTCCTTGCTCTGTGGCACCTGGAGATCCCTGTTCTTCCATCATAGCTCGGCCTCTGCTCCCCAGGCCTCCTCCGCCTGTCTGTGCTCTCCACACCCTCGTGTTGTCGGGGCAGGGCAGGTTCGCCACACTCTGCCTTCCCCTTGGCTCCCCGGCAGCCAGAGCCCCTTTCCCAGTAGCTGTCAGCCACACACCTGCCTTCCACCCCAGGTCCCTCTGCCCTGCAACACCCCACCTCCACGTGCCTGTGGAAAAGGGTCTGGGGGAGTTCCCGTCACTGACTGACAACCTGCTGTCTGGGTGGTGTTCCAAGGCGCTCCTGAGTGTGTACACTCATAAGGAACTCCTCACGCTTTGAGGATTTCGGCTTCAGGCACCGGCGGGCTTCGGGCACTGACGGGCTTCGGGAAGCACTCACATGGTCCCGCTTTTGCTGAGCAGGGCTCTGCTGCGCCCACCTGGAGAGGGGGCAGAGCCCACAGAAGGACGCTGATGCCCGCCTGAGTGTGGACCCCCGAACACACCCAGAGACTGAGGCAGTGTGTGTGCTGTGTTTGCATGTAGATTTCGGCCTGAGTAAGGAGGCCATTGACCACGACAAGAGAGCGTACTCCTTCTGCGGGACGATCGAGTACATGGCGCCCGAGGTGGTGAACCGGCGAGGACACACGCAGAGTGCCGACTGGTGGTCCTTCGGCGTGCTCATGGTGAGCCTGCCCCGACCCTCTTCTGTGCCATGGCGGCTGTTCCCCACGTGGACCCCTGTCCCCAGGTTGGTTCAGAGGTCCCGAAATGCGGAAGAAGGCAGTGCCTGAGGGCTTGGGACACTGGGCAAGTGTCCAGGCCAAGCATTTCCTGGCAGCCTCCTCCCCATCCCACATCCCCACCATCAGAAAGTGGGGCTGGGATGCAAACGAGAACGCAGAAACGCAGACGTGGGAGGAGTCGAACCCTCTTTATGCTTTGTGCTCTTCGGGCTTAGCGTGATGATTACAAGAGATGCCATGATTTTCGAGTTAAAGTATTTTTCTTATTTAGACACAGAATCCTTGCGCTTAGTTACAAACTGAGATGTACACGGAGTTAGGCATTTTTGCATCAGCGTCTGGAAATGTGAATTGTCTCTGTCGCGTTTTCGCAGGCAGAGTGCTTAACAGAACCCAGTTTGGACTGGGTCTTCTCCGCCCTAGGAACTGTGTGGGCTCCTTTCCCAATCTTCACAGGACCCTCCCTCCCTCCCCCAATCCCACTCTCCCAGCTGGGCAGGGGGCTGGTGACCTCAGGGTGGAGCAGGCGTGCAGTGAGTGCTCTGGAATCTGACCTGGATGACAATCGGGTCGTGGCATTTCAGGGGTATCCCGCCCTCCGGCCTGTGCATCACACACAGGAGGAAACTGAGGCCATGAGCACTTTAGGAGACGGGATGAAGGTTGCTCCGCTGGCGTGTGGCAGAACTGTGTGCCTGCCAAACCCAGTTCCCTTCAGAGTTTTGACCGCCTCTCCTCCCACCACACCCTACTCCTCGTCCCCTTGCTAGGGAACCCCAGGGCTGAGTCCTGCGGTGTCGCCTGGAGAACCCCCGGCTGGTGCCCAGGGCCTCGCTGGTCCTTTGCCACTTGGGTCACTGCAGCACTCTCCAGGCTCCGGCCTCAGCCCCGGGAGCTCACAGGCCCTGGCTGTGTTCCACGTGCCCGCACGGGCTGCTCACCTCTCCGCGAGGGGCAGACACACATTAGACCAGCTCCGGAGATGGGCCCACAGCCTAACCCAGAAAGCCAGTTCGCAGTCGGAGATGCCCACATCACGTTTGTGGCTACTCCTTCCTGTGGAAGCCCCTTCCGTCCCTGGTCATTCCTGCCTGTAAAGTGAGTCACAACACAGACAGTCGTGCAGTTCAACACGTGAGCACAGGCACGACACTTGAGAGAATGCCTGCAGCAAAGCAAGGGGCCCGCGAGCTCAGCCAAGAGGATGATGCTGCTGATTTATTTTTTACTATTATTCAGACCTTCAGTGGCACTGGCTAAGGAGCAGGTCCTCTCCATGCGGAGACCACAGAGCTAAGTCCCCCACGGTCACCCCTCTGAGACCACCTCTGCTTTCCTTCCACTGAAAGAGGTTTTCTTTAGATAGGTCAGTGAGGCAGGTTTGCTTTGCCGTCTTGGAGGTGATTTCTGCCTCGATAGGTCCACTCCCTTCCACATGTGTGGGTTTCCTGTGTGACCCTGGCTGGTGAGTGGTGGGTGAGGGCAGCGGGGATAGCCCTGTGGAGACCTCCCACGCTGGTGCAGGTTTTGCCGGTGCAGGGAAGTCTGATGTTGCCTTTGCTGACGCTGGGCTATGGGTCCAAGCTTATAGTCTGTGGCTTCAGGAGAGATTCCAGTTCTTAAACCCCCTCCTGAGAACCCCAAATTCCCCCAGAGAGCAGGGCTGGCCACGCTGCACATCCAGGCTCCCTGAAAGGGCTCCTGGCATCCTTCTGTCTCTGGGTCCTGTCCTATAACTCTGGGCTCACAAGTGGCCCATCCAGCAGTACTGCGGGCCAGCCTTTGTGTAATGAACAAGGTCATAAAATGTTGCCACCTGGCTCTCAGGTGAACCAATGTTTAAAAAGAACAAGAGGCCAGGCTGGAGTGGAGAGGAGTAACTTAGCAGAGAAAAGCACAGCCAAAACACCACATATAAGTCAAAACCAACTGGACTTAGTTTTGTGAGGTTTCTGGGGGGACAGGGGGAGGGGAGATTTGATAGTCTTCTGTTTCTTCTATTAAGGCAACAGATCATAAAACCTATCTCATAATATAAAATATATATTTAATTTTTTTTCTTTTTTTTCTTTTTATTTTTTAATTTTTTATTGTTTTTTGAGATGGAGTCTCATTCTGTCACCAGGCTGGAGTGCAGTGTTGCAATCTCAGCTCACTGCAACCTCCGCCTCCTGGGTTCAAGCCATTCTCCTGCCTCAGCCTCCCAAGTAGCTGCGACTACAGGCACCCGCCACACCCAGCTAATTTTTTTTGCATTTTAGTAGAGACAGGGTTTCATCGTGTTGCCCAGGTTGGTCTTGAACCCCCAAGCTCAGGCAGTCTGCCAGCCTCGGCCTCCAGAAGTGCTAGGGTTGCAGGCGTGAGCCACCACGCCCAGTTCTTCTGGTCTTAATCACTGCAAACCGAAAAGACAAATGGAGAAGCTGAAAGAAAAAGAAATAGGAGAACAGAAGAGACAGAAGAGGAATGATCCAAAGATGGAGACACGACGAGGGGCCAGAAGAAGAGGAAATGAGACCACGTCGGGCTCGCCTTGCTCCAGCAAACTCCCCCCGGTCCCCTTCCACCATCAGCCCTAAGACAGAAGCACCACTCCCAGTGGCCTTTGCTGACCCTGGCCGGGTTGGTGGCTCTGGCTGGTGGCTCTGGCTTCGGTGTCTTCTCAGCACTCCTGGCTTGCCACTGCTCTAACGTCTGCCATCTTTTATTGTCGTTGTCTGTCTCTGTGAGTGTCTCCTGGCACGTGGAGTTTCTTAAACACCAGTCACCTTACCCAAGATGCCCCAGCACAGACAAAAGTGCCTGCACCTGGCCAGGCCTCCAAGGGACCCATGAGGGAGTGAAGACAACAGGGTGGAAGCAGAGAGGCACTCACACCCAGACCCAGTGCCCGGCAGCCTTCACCCATCCTGGAGTCCCCACCCTCCCTGTCCCTGGAGTGTGAAGAAGATGATATTGAGAGCTTCTGAAGGAGGCCTGGCCCAGCGCTGCCCGGCACGTCAACACAGCAGGCACTCTCCTCCCACGTGCCTCCCTGGGCACAGGACATTTCTTACTGAATTGTTCACTTGTTTGCTGGGATCGTCCCGCATTCAATGTCTCGTGACAGCTGGGGAAGGGGTCCGGCTCCAGAACTGCTGTGTCACTCTCGAGCCCGAGGCAGGGCTGGCTGTTGCCGTGGTGACCACAAGCTAAGGCTGCCTGGCCATCTTCACATTTGATCTCAACCCAACAATCTCCAAGCCGGGCAGGAAAGACGGTATTCTTTCTGTGCACAGAAATGAAAACTAAAGCTGAAAGAGCCTAAGTGTCGGGCTCAAGATCACATAATAGTCCCAGAAACACATTCTCATTTAGTGCCGCCCGCCCACGTGGTGACTGGCTGCACACAGGCAAAGGTCTTGACTGTGGAGGCCCCACGCTTCCCACACGTCCGTGGGTGGCATCAGAAGTGACTTCTGAATTCTCATTTGCAGCTAAGAGATGGGCCTCGGGTGACCTTTGAAGTCGTATCTTACCCAAGCCTTGTAAGCGGATCGGTGCAGAGCCGTTGTGCGTGTGAGGGGCCTTGTTTTAAAAGAAGGCTGAGACCCTGGAGGCCGCGTGCTGAGGGAGTGGTCCTCATGTGTGGGTGGCCGTCCGTCCCCTGGAGGTGGATGTGTGCTGGGATCTCTTCCCGAGGAGCAGCATCCACAAGTGCCCTCCCCAGACCTGGAAGGAAGGATGCCTGTGCCAGGGGCAGGAAGTCAGTGTCCCTGAATAAAATTCCGTGTCTGAAATTAGGAGCTGGTACCTGGAGAAGAACGTGCAAACCTGGTGGCCGGCTGCGTGGTGACATTTGTAGAATTTCCAGCACTCCTCTACGCCAGGCTGGAGCCAGTTTCTAGAAGGATATTTGGGCTGTTTTGTAAACATCTAAAGCATCTCTTGAGCACTCTGGTTTCGTGAGACCACTTTATCCTTCTCCCGTTTCTTAACCACGGGCACGGAATGTTCTGGACATCCCGCCTCAGGTGCCATGTGATGTGTCCTTATGCCACCATAGCAAACACGGATGGTTCTGAGCTCAGGCTCTGCTGCTTGCCACTGGACCATTCATCTGTAGACGGTTGTGAGGAACGGCACCTTCCAAGGCTGTTTTGAGACTGAGATTCTTGGCACTCGGAGTGGGGTGCAGCACACGGAGCGAGAGCAGCTCGGATTAGAGGGCATGTGTCTGTGCACACAGGGACCTCCACACATGGGCATGGATCAACACAGCTCTCCGAGACCCAGCCCCTCCATACCCTGCAAAGCCAGGCCCTCTACCACTTCAAGTCATCCATCTCAGGTCAGGGCTTGTCCTCGCCTGTTTTCAGATTAAAATGTTAGCTTGCTTTTGGTGCCCTTTTAAGAATGGTGATCGGCCAAGTAAACTTGAAATCGAGGCTCCTGTCACCAAGGGTCTCCCCAGAGTCTCCTCCTTCCCCTGCCCCCAGTACCACTGGCCTCCATGAGGCGCATCCTGCCTGTGCCGGGGCCGCCACTCTTTCCAGGTTCCTTAGCTGTCCCTTTAGACAGGGCTTCTCAGCCAGCACTGTTGAGGTCGGGACTGGACACTTCCTTGTTGTGGGGCGCCCTGTGTGTCATAGGATGTTTAGCAGCATCTGTGCCTCCCTCAGTGGACGCCTGTAGCACCAGGGCTCCCGGGCATGACAGCCGGAAATGTCCCCTGGCAGGCAACGGTGACCCCAGTTGAGAAGCACTGCGTTATGTCTGTCCAATTACCTTCCCAGAAGCATCGGGCCTGCACCCGGTGGAGCTTTGGCTACATCTCCTTGAGCCCCTCTGTGCCTGTCTGCAGCCTGGTCTCGGTGCCGATTGGGAAAGAATCCTTTGGAGTGCCCTCCCTCCCCCGGTGCGTGTACTTGACTGTGGGAACCCCAAGATGAACCTCGGCTTTTCTCAGTTCACCCCGGAAGCCTTGGCAAGTCTCAGTGCTGCTCAGCAACACAGCAAAAGTCTTACTGTAAATAACGTCCCAAGAAACTCATCAGCAAAACCTCAGTCAGTAATGCTTCGGCACTGGAAAGTTCCCGGGCAGCTCCATTCAGACAATCATACTGAAATGATCTCCCTTCTCCACAGAAAAGGGTGGATAAGGGGATGGGAAAGGCAGCAGAACCCCATGGCTGGTGGAGGCTGCAAAGTCCACACCTCCGCCCCAGCATCATCCCCACCGTCAGCAGCACCTTCATCACCAAGAAGCAGTTGTTGAATATTCATGGGTGCTGTGCTGGGTGTTCTCTGGCTGAGTAGATGGTTGGGGACCTCCTACCATATGGATGGAGGAAGAAGGGGAGGAAGAGAGAGAACCACAAAGCAGTGGACCCTGATCACAAGGGAATCATCTTCAAAAGCTAAAAAGAAATCACCAGACCAGGCGCAGTGGCTCACGCCTATAATCCAAGCATTGTGGGAGGCCAAGGCGGGCGGATCACTTGAGGTCAGGAGTTCCAGTTCAGCCTGGCCAACATGGTGAAACCCTGTCTCTACTAAAAAAAAAAAAAAAAAAAAATACAAAAATTAGCCAGGCATGGTGGCTCACGCCTGTAGTCCCAGCTACTCGGGAGGTGGAGACAGGAGAATCGCTTGAACCCAGGAGGCGGAGGTTGCAGTGAGCCGAGATTGTGCCATTGCACTCCAGCCTGGGCAACAGCGAGACTCCATCTCAAAAAAAAAAAAAAAGAAAAGAAAAAGAAATCACCAAACAAATGTATGCAAGATACCAGTCCATCAGCAAAAAATAAATGATATCCGGGCATCTGGACAGGCACCATTTGTGTAACAAGGATTAAACGGTGTGTATGGGATGACAGCTTTCTCATTTCATGTAGCCAGAAGGCTTGTCCTTGGAAATGGGATTTCATAGTGCTATTAATAGACTCAAGAAAGAAAGAAGAAAGAGCAGAATAGGAAAGGAGTTCCCTTTGCTAATACCATTCTATTCTGAGAGATATTTCAGTGTGTATGATCAGCTTATAAACTTTCATCCTGTTTTACCAGACAAACAGCTCATCTGCCAGTCAGAGCATTCTGGCCTTTCCTGTTTAATTACACTTGTCTCTTTTTCAGTTCTCATCTGGACCCCCTTCCGCTTGCTTTTTATTACTTTTGTATTGATTGATTGCCTGCAGCCTGTCTGCTCTGAGTTCCCTCACTTACTCTGTGCACCGGATGGACAGCACATTTTAATGTGACAGAACAGGCTTCAAACGTCAGAACTGGTGGAAGAGTTTCCATTTCTTTTATAATGTTGTTTTCAGAAAGCAGACTGGTAATATTAATAAAACCTTAAATGCATTCATTTCTTTAAGATTATAATTTCACTCCTAGCAGCCTATCATAAGAATAAATCTTAGGAAATCATCTGTGCACATTTCAGTAGTACTTACAATAGCAGAAAATTGGAAATGTCCTAAGTGTACAGCAACAAATACACTCACTATACATTTTGTCATATCCATGTTTGTTAAGTGATATTACAAAGATTTCATCATAACCATTGAAAGTTTTATATTATTCTGTGAAAAGTTAGTATACAAAACCTTATCTGTGTTTTTAAAACAAAATAAAAAACAGCTTGAAAAAAGTACTAGGAGGAACTAACAAATGTTAAGTTTGGATATCTTTGGGTAATGGAATTCTGCGTGATTTTTTTGGTCTTTCTACTTTGTGTATCTCCTGAGATTTTCGAACTGCAAAGGACGAATGCTGGAGGATGAATTCTAAAAGGGCAGAGACACACGCAGCAAAAAATAAAGATGAGAGAGAATTCAATAAGACCATGGAAACACCTGCTTCCCCGTAATTTAAACTGACGTGAAAGACACCGAGTAGGATTGATCCTTGGGCACATTCCACTTAGATTCAGGGTCTTATTTTATGAAAAGATTGGTTCCTGCTGCAGCCCTAGTTTCTTTTGTGAGAAGCGGTCAGCTGTGCACCTTGCTCTGATGAGACCATTCCAGGCCACTGCTTCCAGAGTGTGTGTAATCACCACTGCATGTGCCCGGGGGAGTTGGTGCAAGAAAGAAACCCATGCTCAGACAAGGCTGTGCTCCATCCCCTCCTTATCTCAAGTTCCGTCCTGGCAGGTGTCCAGTAATAACAAAATAAGGATGTAGGGTGCGGCAGCTGTATCTGAGAGGTTGCTGTGCCATATTGTCCTCGTCAGAGGCTAATGGCTGTGGTCAGGTCTATCTCATGCTGGAAGCACTCTAGCCCCCACCATCCAGGCATGCATGGGTGTTCAACATGAGCTAGCTGTTCTCCTCCTCCTCCTCCTAGCTCATCCCTTCCACAACACCTGCCAGGGCAGGACAGGTTCCTAAACCGCGTGTAAGATGTGTTCGTCCAAACTGCCTGACCACAGGACCCTGCTCTGCCTCTTTTCTCTGTCGTACTCGGGGCCTGCTGGCCTGCCACAGAGTGTGATTATCTACCACATCTGTCATTTACCCGTCTCACCCACCAAATGGCAAGCTCTGCGAGGCAGTTTTAGTCACTGTTGTACCCCAAGCACGTAGGCCAGTGGCTACAATTGACTGATGGAGATTTTGCATGAGGAAATGGACACGGTAGCAGGCTGCCCTGCTGGGGTACTCTGCCGTGAAGCCGGGTCCATCTGGATGAATGAACTCACTGTGCTCTGTGTTGCTCTGCAGTTTGAGATGCTCACGGGGTCCCTGCCGTTCCAGGGGAAGGACAGGAAGGAGACCATGGCTCTCATCCTCAAGTGAGTAGTGTGGGAGCCACCCCAGAGACCTGCGAGCACCTTCTGATATCAAGAGCTGCTGCCTCTGAACCTGGAACTGTGAAGTTTTAATTACATTGCTAGGCTTACAGTGCCAAAGTATTGTAAGCTGTTTTCTAAAAGTCACTGGTTTTACACAAAATGGTAGCGCTCGTCCGCCAGTAGCAGTGGTAATAGGGTGCTGGGCATTCTAATGACAGTGGGTCAAGGGAGCAGTTGCTGGTTTGTCTCATCCTGCTGAGTGGTTCTGATGAACTCTTCTACCATAGATAGTTTTCCATCAGTAAGTCACTTAGAATGTGTAGTGGCTGGTTTTCAAGCGTGATGGTTGGTGACCTCCCAGAAGTAAAGGATAGACGGAAAAAGACACAAGGCCTCCAGGGCCTTGTCCGGAGAGATCACAGGAGCAGGGGTCTCCTTTCCCTCCCCACCTGCTGACCCCATTCATATAGCACTCCTGGTTGACCTTGGCAGGACTCGGTATCGTTTTACCATGTGACTGGATACAAACCATTTTCTGCTTAATTCTCATGAAAAATCATTTACTAAGCCAAGGTTTTGCTCTTGGACTGTAGGAAGAAGCCTGATCCCCATACCACCTTGCCATAGCATCCTAAATGTGAGCAGACACCACTGACTATCACTGTCCCAGAGCAGACAGCAGGAGGGCAGGAAACAGAGAGGCTGGGAGCCCCTAATCAGTTCCTTCCTAAGTGAGGCCACTCGGTGGAGGAGTCATAAAGCTGTTTGTCCTCATGAGCTGCTCTTGCCAACTCTGCTTGCAAATGGACACATAACTTTTATAAAATTGAGAATCACCTAAAACACCACCAGCTCAGCTTTTGTAAGCTCGGTCCTTATGTAGATGGAAGGAGAGAGGGGAGTGAAGGAAGCCCCATTGTGAGGACCCTTTTGTCAAGCTAAGGAGTGTCTTTTTATTTAATCAGCCTTTTCCTCCATCAAGGGACCTTGAATTGCAGCAGACACTGAGAGCTGCAAGTCAGGACCTTTGCAGTGATTCTCATTGTTTGAATTTTAAGGGAGGACATGTTCTTTACTTTTGCTAAAGCTGGAATAATCCCTGACAGCAAGTCACGGGTGTGGCCTCAGGGCATTCCACTTGGGAGGGATGGAGAATTTCTGGAGGGAGCACTAGGCTCTGCGCGTGGGGTTCTCAGTGTGCTCTGAGGACTCCGGTGGTCCTGAGACCCTCCCGGGGTTTGCAGGTCCTCCTCTCGCAGGTTTTCTTCATAGCATCGCAACAGACCGAGCACAGGGTCCAGCTGTCTCCTATGAGCCAGGAAGAGACGCACCCAAGTGCAGAACAATGCCACTAAAGACTTTTTTATATGTATGTTTGAGAAAACATAGATAATTTCCATTAACAATGTTATTTGTGTTAATGGGAGTGTTATTGTTTTTTAATGATTTTATTATTAAATAATGTTTATTAATAAAAATTTATTAAAGTGAATTAGGAAATGGAAATTATACAAATTTCTCACTTTACTTTCTACTGTGGTAAATATCACAGCTGTAACCCACATAAACATAAGCTCTTTGGTGTCCTCAGTAACTTTTAAAGCATAAAAGGGTCCTAAGACCCACGTGGTAGAGCACGGGCTGCTCTGGGTGACTGCGATTGAGGTCTCTGAATGCTGACTGGGGCCCTCTTTATAGCTTGTCCTTGTTCTCCTAAAATAGATCCTAAAATAGGATCTTGTTTTTCAGAGCCAAGCTGGGGATGCCGCAGTTCCTCAGTGGGGAGGCACAGAGTTTGCTGCGAGCTCTCTTCAAACGGAACCCCTGCAACCGGCTGGGTAAGATTCCCCGGGACACCCCACCACGGGAACGTGCAGGGCGCTGCCCCGCAAGCTACAGTGGAGATGTGGAGGGCCACCCTCCTGCTCCGGCCCAATGCCAACCAAGGTCACTGAAAACAGACCTCACCTAGAGGTTGAAATAGTACCAGTGCCATCTGAGCTCCAGGAAAAAAGGCCCCTTCACAGCTTCTAAAACACATAGTTGCTGCCAAAATACCATAAGCTGTTTTCTAAAAGCCACTGGTTTTACCCAAAATGGTAGTATCCTTCAACCAATCTGACTTCCCTGAGTTTTGAAAGTCTCTAAGCTAAGGACAGAACCGTTGAAAAGCTGCTTCTAATTTAATTCTCCCTAAATTGAGAAACCTCCACATCTATTAAAATCAGGATCTACTTTAACTACTGATTGATTTTCTTTTCGTGTATGTGACAGCGTATTGAGGATTACTCCGTGGGCTGGGCCGGTCTTAGCGAGTTGGCGCGGCCGTGTTGTCTCAGAGTCAGACAGCAGCAGGAGCAGGGTGTTTCCGGTTCAGACAGCAGCAGGAGCAGGGTGTTTCCGGTTTAGACAGCAACTGGAGCAGGGTGTTTTCGGTTCAGACAGCAGCAAGAGCAGGGTGTTTCCGGTTTAGACAGCAACTAGAGCAGGGTGTTTACGGTTTAGACAGCAACTGGAGCAGGGTGTTTCAGGTTATTTTAACAAGAAAACGAAAGGAACACATTAAATTCTGTTTTTTTTTAAACTCTAACCTCATAGATAGAAGACATACCAGAGGGGAAGGCAAAAGTTAAATCAGGAAATACTTCATTTCGGAAAAAATACTAGATTTTCCTCTCTGCATGCCTTAACCCCAAAGAAAGAAGGACCCATTTAACTTCTTCCCCACATCAGCTTCCATTGCAGGGAACTTTTGCATTCATTTGCAATCCTTCAGTGATTGAAAGTGAAGCTAATCAAAAGTACCTTCCTACTCCACAGTCATATTTCACAATGTGAGATAATTGAAGTATAACTGTGATCTTAGAAAAAAGGAGTTAAGGTGATTTTTAAAAATCAACATTGATGTATTTAAAGTACTGAGTACTAATCCCCATGAGATTCATCTTGTAATGAATTGTCATAGTTGTATTCACCTAATTAAACACATTTACATCCAACTTCTAATCCAGATTTTTATCACGTAAACCACTCTTCCTTCCTGCAGATTCATCTTCATAGTAATTCTTTACTTCATATAAAGATGTCCCATAGTTGTATTTCCGAGGCAGTTCTCCTCTGTGTAAGCAGATATTTTATTCCACTCTACAGACCTCTCGGTGATAACCCACTGTCAGCGCCTTTGTCCACTCAGCCTGTTTTCATTCTTCCACACAACACAGTAAAGCAATTCCTCCTTGTCACCGAGCACCTCTGCATGCCGAGCGTGGCTACCAGGAGAGCAGGTGACACAGTGAGCTCCCGTGGCACTGGTGACGTCAGAGCAGGTGACACGGTGAGCTCCCCGTGGCATGGGTGATGTCACAGGGTGTTCTGCCGTCACTGTCTGCCAGTCACTGCAGGCCAATCCAGAAAGCCCAGGGCACGTGGGTGTGTGTCAGGAGAGTAAATCCCTGCAACATTTCAGCACCTTGGTAAAACCATCAGAATGTTAAATGTATGCACCCTTTTGCCCAGAAGTGTTACTTCCAGAAATCTCTCCAACAGAAATAGCCATACCTGCGTAAAAGGGGTACAAATAAACGGTGTTTGCCGAAGGTCTTCCTGTTTAACAAAGACCTGAAGATGAAGTAAGCATCAATCAATAAGGAAATCATTGAATCAATTATGAAACGTCCACACCACAGCCTGGGGCTGGAGGACGGTGTCTCGGCCACGGCTCTGCACCGTCTGCATTTTGGGCCGGTTAATTCTTGTTTTGGGAGCTGCGCCATGCATTGAGGCTGTTTAGCGCATCCCCACCCCCACCCCGTGATGATCAAACGTCTCCTGACATTGGCAAAGTCCCCCTGTTGAGAATCTCCACGTTGCTGTTACTGACATGGAAGGGCCAGGGTCTAGACTGAATTGCAGCCCACATGGCTGGAGAGTGTAGACTCACCCCGCAGCGGAGCCCGTGCCACCCACACCACAGTGCATCCATGCCAGGGCACATGGAGACACCGATGGACCCAGCCCCCAATGCCACCTGGCAGGGCCCCATGCTGGTGTCTGTGGAAAGGACTGTGTCCAGTGCATTGGATGAAAACTAACTAGCAGGTCACTGCACACATTTTATAGCGCTGTCCCCAGTCAAGGGTCTGAGAGGCTGGGGAACTGTCACCCAGACAGAGGCAGCTTCCTTAGAGGGGTATTCACCAACAGTGCTGTGGACAAAGCTGAAGGCCCCAGCAGAGCAGCCCCAAGTCACTGAGATGCCAGCTGGGGGCGACAATGAGATGGGAGGCCCAGGATGGAGAGCACTCAGGACCAGAGGGGAGGACGCCTGATCAGGACAGAGGGCCCATGCTGCAGCACACACAGGGGCACTGTGTGTGTGTGTTCATGCGTGTGCGTGCACATGTGTGTGTGTGTGCTCACAGCTGTGTGTGGGGTTCATGGCTTAGAGGAACCTACTGACCAAACAATTTTTGCCACGTTGTTGTTACTGGGACCCCCTCAGCAAAGTCCCAGATGGGACCTGAGATTCCAACCAAGAGTCATCAGGACTCCTCCTTTTCATCAGTGGTGACGGTCGTCGTTAGCCAGGGTCACAGCCACATTTCCAAGAGATGTGCAGCTCCTAAAGCTGTCTGCACCTTGGCCCTTCACTCGCTGGTCCTGGTGCACACCCACGGTTACACAGTGACTCGGCTCAGGAAACGCAGCAAGGGCTCAGCGCTCACCCTTAGTGCCCAGAGTCCCTATCCACACAGGGCCTGTCATGGGCAAGACCTCACCCCCTGAGGGTGGGGTCCCAGTGGTGGGAGATGCAGCCTTGGACAGAGGGACAGCCTGGGCTGGGCAAGGCAGGAAGGGCTTGTGTCCCACCCTGTGTCCCGAAGTTGCCGTTTCACTGCAGTTTTCCCAAATCTGGGTGTGGTCTGGCCTTTTGTTTACAGACCCCCCCGTTCATCACCGTGCGTCTGGGGAGGTGGGGGAGGCGGTGTTTCTTAACTCTGAGGGCGTGTTTGGAGACAGATGCAAGTTGAGAAGCGTGTCTCAGCTAAGCCAATGCATCGCGGTGCCCTGGTTTGTCCAAATGCTATGTCAAAGGTCATGTTTCTGATCTGAGTCTTCCAGATTGTGAATTAAATTGAGTCCCTTCCATTGCAGTGTCCGTCAGCCCTAAGAGCAATGTGGATGTAATCCTTCTGGGAGGAAGTAACCCTCCCAGCTGGAGGGGATCAGGGGCTCGCTGGCAGGGGCTTGCTCCCCAGCTCAGCAGATCTCAACCCACTTCAGGACACGCCTGCCTTAGAATCGAGTTTGCAATGCTGTAAACTGCCACAAAATGCACAGAAGCATCTTTGCATGCCATTTCCACTCATCTCTCAACTCTGAAGTTTGCCCATGTCTGGAGCCCCTGGTCTCATTTCATCAGCCTTTTCAGTGTCTGGTCCAGAGCTGTTCTTTTCCGTGACCCTAGGTTGCACCTTTATTGTGTCTGTGGCTCTCCTCCCCTCATTCTCTATGCTGCTGGGTGTAAGCACAGCCTCCCCCACACAGCCCTGGAAGGCAGGCCCCATGGGTGGTGGCAGAGGGTGGGTGGACAGCTCCGACGTTCCCCTGCCTGGGCGGATTTCTAATGAACCAGGAGAACAGGTCGTTCTTCGAGCCTCAGGTTTCCCCCGGCACGGTGCTGTTGATGAGGATGAGAAGATGCCTTGGCACTGCACTAAGGTAGTCATTATCTGACTTGAATTCTCGTGACAGTACTTCAAAGCAGGTCAAACAAGAAACTTACGAAATTCACTTATGAAAACAGATGTATCCATAGGAATTGCTTTTAGCTGCAAGGAATAGAACCTTTAAATAATTTTAATTTTTTTGTTCAATTAATTTAGTTTTCCAAATCACGGTTTCATTCTCTTATTAACACACCACGTGGTGGTGGATGAGTTGTAGACACTGGCAGCTGAACTACTGCTGTCAGGAGCCCAGATCTTCCTGTGGCTTCTGTTTCCCATCCTCAGTGCACTGCCTTTTCATCCTTATCCTCGGTGCCTTGTGATGGCAATGCGGCTACAACACCTCCTGGAATCACATCCTCACTGCAGGAGAAAAAGGAACTGGATGAGGCCAGCTGCCTCTGTCCCCTTTTTCACAAAAACAAAGCTTTTCTGGAAGCCCCTGGGAGTTCTCTGTACTTCTTGTTGACTGGAACCCTGTCTCATGGCACTCGTGACATATGGCACCGTAAGGAAGGCAGGAGAACAAGCATCTGTGGTTGGAGGAAGGAAATGAGGGCTGGAGTGGCGGCTTTACTGGCCAGGCAGCTGGGCCGGCCACAGGTATTCACTAAGTGATGAGATCCACGAAGGCAGAGGTTGTGTCTGGCTCATCTTTGTGTCCAGCTCTCGGACCACGCAGAGCCCCTGGTGAATATGCATGAACTAAAGTGAATTGAAGGAATTGTAGTTGTTCTTTAAGGTGCTCTGAAAAGCTCCTTGCCCTGAAGTGTGTGGAGTTGAGTCGAGCCTGACCCTTGGTGCTCCTGCTTCATCTCTATCCATTTTCCCTGTCAAGTGGTAAAGCAGAAAAGACAGCACAGGTTTGCGGGCATGTCACGCCTTGGCCCCCGCAGTGCCTGCTCAGATGCACGGGCTCTGCCTGTGGACATGGACGTCATGCTGTTTCTGTGCGCTTACCCAGAATTCTTGTTCACAAAGTGTTTTTCTGCTAGTGACTTGCACAGTCCTGCATTCTCTTAGCACTTCACACCTGCCAAGCATGCGCACCTGTCATCTCCTCCGATCTTCATGACAAGACTGTAAAATTGTGTTCATCATTTTCTGTTTGAGTGAGGCTCTGTTCCAAGGTACAAGGGCTTGTCCCGGGACCCTATGTGTGCAGGAGTCGGCTCTAGTTGGCACCCGACCAGCCAGAGAGCAGTGCAGCTGTCGCAGAGGCCTGGGTCCTCCCTTCCCGAATGTGGAAGCACAAACCCATTCCTTCTCTGTGGGTTTCTGAGAAGACCATGTATGAGCTTCTCTTATTTAGTGAGGATGCGATTTACCCTTAATCTTAAAAAGAGGAAAAAAAGGCCCTGCTCTTCTCATTCTTCGTTAGCACGACATTTTTGGTCTTCAAAATGCAAAATGGGCTTTTCTTAATTTTTTCCAACTCCGTAAGAAATCAGGCCTGATTTTTCCTTTCCCCTGAGCGTTTGCGGGCCGTCCTCCTGCTAGAAGCGGTGGATTCTCTGGTGTTGGTGTGGCAGCAGGATGTGTGAGAGCAGGATCCAGGAGGCCACGGCCCCAGCTCTGTGAGCTTCTGGTCTGCGGCCCACAGTGGCATGGGGGTTGTCCGGATTCTGAGTTCTAGACCCTACTGGGCTGTGGCCAGCTGCACAGCCATGGGCCCTGTCCCTCCTTTTCTCTGGGAAATGAAGGTGGGGTTGATGGTCCCTGCAGTTCCTTCCAGCTCCGACAGCATGCAGCTGCGCGTGTCCTCTCCCCACACACATAGACGTCCCAGGTGGTCTCTTACCTGGTGTGGCACAAACATGTCCTATAAAAGCGGCCCCATCGGCCCAAAGGCTCCCCGCAGTCTTCAGGCTGTGAGTCTTGGGGCATCTTGTTGCATCTGGTTTTCCAGAATCTCTGCTTTTGAGGCAATTGGAAAAGTGTTGGGACTCCCTGTTGAAGGTCAAGGCTGCACGGCCACCTTTGTTTAGAACAGTCCCTTTTGGGAGGCAACTAATTTAAAATGATCCCCCACATTTGCTTTATGGTGAGGGCGTCCTGTAGCATGGCTGCGAAGCACTCTGGGTTTTAGGGAAGATGCAATAGGATGTGATGTCTCTCTCCCTCTCTCCTCCTTCCTCTCCCTCATCTTCCCTTGTCTCCAGTCCCACCCAAACACACAGATTTCACTTGTTGAAACTGGAGAAGTTCATGAAACCTTTCCACTTCACTAATTTGGGTGGGTTTTCTCTCCTCCAACGGCTAACCCTGTGAAGCCAGCCTGAGAGGGTCACACTCGTTTCCTCATCATCGCCCGAAGCCTTCTGTGATCGCAGCCAGAATAAGCAAGGCCTCTAGGCGTTAACTGAGTGGCTCCCTGTCATTGCTCCTGGCTCTGGTTTCTGAGACAAAAACAAACTATTTAGAAAACTATTTCTTTCCTCGGAGCACAGATACCTGTCCCAGACACAGTGTTACTCAGAGAATTTCCTGGGACATTCCTCCCCCAGCAAGGGCAGTTGCATTTGAAAGGAAAGGGTGGCATCTCTGCAGTCACCGAGGGCCCAGATTTGGAGCACATTTGGCTCTTGGGCCCCGATAGCTGAGGCAGAATTTCCTGCCAGAAACTGGTGACAACCCAAGTAAAATGAGAAAGAACCAAGACTTCCAGTGTACTTGTGTGTGCCTGCACCAAAACAAAGAGATGCACGTGCATTCTCCCGTCTCATCAGAGAACTTAACAGAGCCCTCCACGCTGCAGCACATACTTTAAGATCGATCAGAGAGGTATATGTGCAGTCTACCATCTCATCAGAGAACTCAGCAGAGGCCTCCACTCTGCAGCACATACTTTAAGATTGATCAGAGAGGTATATGTACAGTCTACCATCTTATCAGAGAGCTCAGCAGAGCTCTCCAAGCTGCAGCACATACTTTAAGATCGATCAGAGAGGTATACGTGCAGTCTGCCATCTTACCAGAGAACTCAGCAGAGGCCTCCACTCTGCAGCACATACTTTAAGATTGATCAGAGAGGTATACATACAGTCTACCATCTTATCAGAGAGCTCAGCAGAGCTCTCCACACTGCAGCACATACTTTAAGATCGATCAGAGAGGTATACCTGCAGTCTGCCATCTTATCAGAGAACTCAGCAGAGGCCTCCACTCTGTAGCACATACTTTAAGATTGATCAGAGAGGTATACGTACAGTCTACCATCTTATCAGAGAACTCAGCAGAGCTCTCCGCGCTGCAGCACATACTTTAAGATCTATCAGAGAGGTATATGTACAGTCTACCATCTCATCAGAGAACTCAGCAAAGGCCTCCACTCTGCAGCACATACTTTAAGATCGATCAGAGAGATATACATACAGTCTACTATCTCATCAGAGAATTCAGCAGAGCTCTCCACACTGCAGCACATACTTTAAGATTGATCAGAGAGGTATACGTACACTCTACTATCTCATCAGAGGCCTCCACTCTGCAGCAAATACTTTAAGATCTATTAATTCAATTTCAAAGGGGACCTTGGCTTGATTCCAGAGCAATGTCAGACATCAGTATCCTTTTTAAAGCCACAAATTAGAGCTGAGCCTTCATGGCTTATTTATTTCTAATCTTTGCAACAACAAAGACCACTTTGAGCTTTGCTCAGTCTTAATTAAAAATTGAAAAGGCTTTTCAGGAAAATTCCCTATAGCTATGCTTGTATTTCTGATAAGAGTACTTGACTTGGCCTTTTAAACTTGAAAAATGAACTATCTTTTAATTCACAACTCAATTCTTTTATACTTTAATATGGAATGAATGTATAATTATTCTCTTTTCCTGCAGAGAATTTCCCAGAATTTCACTGTAGCTTAATTTCAGAATTTTGTAAAAATCCCAACTTATTTGTTTTCATTGAATTTTATATAGAATTTTTATTCTATAGAAAAATTGGGCGAAAAGCATCAAGGTTTAGAAAAACACTAGAAGAAAGATATGTATATAAAATTGGCCAGGCATTGTGGCTCATACCTGTAATCCCAGCCGAGGCGTGTGGATCAGCTAAGGTCAGGAGTTCAAGACCAGCCTGGCCAACATGGCGAAACCCCATCTCTACCAAAAATACAAAAATTGGCCAGGAGTGGTGGTGTACGCCTGTAATCCCAGCACTTTGGGAGGCCCAGGCAGGCGGATCACCTGAGGTCAGGAGTTTAAGACCAGCCTGGCCAAAATGGCAAAACCTCATCTCTACTAAAAATATAAAAATCAACTGGGTGTGATGATGGGTGCCTGTAATCCCAGCTGCTCAGGAGGCTGAGGCAGGAGAGTTGCTTGAACCCAGGAGGTGGAGATTGTGGTAAGCTGAGATCGCACAACTGCACTCCAGCCTGGGCAACAGAGCAAAACTCTCTCTCAAAAAAAAAAAATATATTATATATATATATATATATATATATATATATATATAAAATCACAATCTTAAGGAATATAAGATTCTTGCTTGTCAGGTCCAAAACATCTAGCGAGGGTTGAAGATTTTTCCTAAAGCCCTCCCTGTCTTACGAAGGGGCTATTGAAAGTTCGGCACTTGTTGCTTTCCGTGAATGTTTTTGTGCTTTCGAATCAGCCAGTACCTGTACATTTCTTCGTGATATTTCATGTCCTTACTGTCTTCATGGAGGTCTAGCCCATTTTTACCTCTCAAGTTAGCACAGAGGCACACATTTGGCAATCCTCACTGTTGGCGATGGGAGAGCAGTTTCCCAACTTCCGGGTGAAGGGGTGTGTTTTTCCCACTTTTCATAAGTCAACCTGAAAAATCTCTGCAAAAGTAAAGCACATGCACCTCACCCAAGTAATTCCACCTCAAATAATATATCCTTCAAATATATTCACACAAGTGCACAGAGAGATATGGAAGCTGAAACCCACATCACCCAGGGACGGTTAACTGAATTACCGTCGTCTACACAGGGGATACTATGTGAGTACTGAAGAGTGAGGCCATTCTGCATGCACTAACATGGAAGGATGTGTAAGTTAAAAAAAGAAGTGTTAAGTAAAAATAGCTCATTGCAGCACAGAACGTTCAGAATTATCCTGTTTGTGTTTTTGGAAGCAAGGGAGGTAAGCAAAGAAAAATTCTGCAAACACAGGCAAGCAGCTCCTACAGCGGGTGCTTCTCCCCGGAGGGACGGGCAGAAGGGGAGCTTTTCCTTTCACCTCATTCATGCCAATATGGACTTTTTCTGCCAATATGTATTATTTTTATGATTGAAAACCCAGTTTTTAAAAAGTTGTTTTAGGGAGAAACATTTGATGCCAGAGACTTCTCTGTGACGTGCTAGCACACGCCCCACCTTGGGCCACCCCCTGGCGGTTAGCAGGACCATGCTGCCACCTCACCATGGCTGCCACCTCACCTCACCTGGCAGTTAGCAGGACCATGCTGCCACTCACCATGCTCTTCGGGCAGCTGGCGAGTCACGCTGCCATCTCACTGTGGCCGGGGCCGCCCCCCTGGCAGATTGCAGGACCACACTGCCACCTCGCCGTGGCTGGGGCCACCGCCTGTCCCCAGCATCGCCTGCTGCCCCTTTCTCATGGCTCTTGGGCAGACACTGGGTGCTTTCGTCCAGAGCAAGTGTGAGTGGATAATGGGCAGTCTGGCCCGTGCCTTCCCTCACTCGTGGGCTAGGCTCTGGGGACCCGTGAAGCCAAAGTGTGGCCCTCATGCTCGTGGGCTCTCTGACAGCAAACAGCAAGGCCAGCTGCAGCCCAGACGCGCACAAATGCCTGCAGCCAGGGCAGAGAAGCAGATGAGGCACAAAATGGATCTCAGAAGAGGGGAGAGGGCCTGATGGAAGGGGAAGAAAGAGCAGCAGCGAAAGAGGAGAGGGGAGCGTGTGGGAGAGGCTGGAGTCCAGGGCAGGGCACAGAAGCAAAGTGAAGCGAGAGCCAGGTGCTCAGACCCACGCCACGCACCCCTTCCTGGCCGTGTGGGCCTGAGCGGATGGCTTCACCTCTCTGTGCTTGCTTATTTATTCTACGAACTGAGGGTAATACCAGCACCGACATCGTGAAGTAGGAGGATTTGAGGAGGCAGAGCAGTGCCTGATGGGTGGGAAGCACTGTAATGGGTCTGACGAGTAAACACATAAACAAGCAGAGAGCACCGGTGTGCAGAGGCCTGTGGCCGGGAAGGGTGTCCAACCCCCCGGCCTCATTGCTTCCTGCTCATCTGACACTTTTCTTTCTCTGCCACTTGGCTGTGGGACAGAACAGAGGAACGTTATCTGGTGCACAATAGCCGAGGAGCCACAATTCTGAGCGTTTTCTGGAGAAAACCATCGTTTTGTGAGATGCATTTTAATAGATGTTGTTAAACCCTCCACTGAGCTGGTTGCAGAATGGAAGGGTAAATGGAAAGCCTGCAGTACCAGCCAGAAGAACATTGAGGCCAATGCCAGAGTCCCGAAGCTCACCCGGGAAATCCACCCTGGCAAGAGCACAGAGTCATGCCCGCCTTGCCCGGGGTCTGATCCCTCAGAGGGTAACATCTTCACACAGTTGCTGCCAGGAACCTTGCCGGTGGCTGAAACTCCTCTTTCAAGACCAAGCTTTTATGATGGAAATCTGTGTAGTCTCTGCCTTGTCATTCCCAAGCACCCAAATGACATCTGGACACTTATTATAACATAAGCACGTGAGCATATGTGCAAGGGACGTGCCGCCTCAGGTGGCAGGCACCGCGACCCCACCTCTGCCACTCCCTCTGAGGTGACGCATGGTAACCGCCCCCGCCCAGCCGAGCTGCCGCAGTCACCACCTGTGGGGCCACATGCGTGAGGGTTTGCTGTGCACCCCTCCCCTGCTTGGCCTCCCCCTGGAAATGCGAATTGGAGTCAGAAAGGAGAAGTGGAGATGCTGGACGTATTTATTCATCCAAACGTACATGAGAGCCAACAATTCAGATCTATTCTTGCAGCAATCGAAGCGCTTTGTCTTGGAGTCACTGTTTCCTCTCCTTTCCTTTTTTAAACAGGGTCTTGCTCTGTTGCCCAGGCTGATCACAGTGGTGCAATCATGACTCACTTCAGTCTCAGTTGCCTGGACTCAGGCAGTCCTCCCACGTCAGCCTCCTGAGTAGCTGGGACTACAGGCATGCACAACCACACCTGACTAGTTTATTACTGTTTTGTAGAGAAGGGGCCCCGCTATGTTGCCCAGGCTGGTCTCGAACTCCTGGACTAAAGCAGTCCTCCTGCATTGGCCTCCCAACATGAGATTACAGGCGTGAGCCACTGTGCCTGGCCAGAGTCACTATTTTCTTTCAAACATTATTATATTGCTGGGAGAGGATTTGCTACAGTAAATTGGGTGAATGTGACAAAGTATTGGGGTGTTTGTACTTTTTCTCCCCTTGTTCTGGGAGAAGCAAATAATTTTCTAAATAACCTATTTTTTAAATTAAAACCCTTCAAATTTAACATTACTAAAATCATAGTTCTTTAAAATATTGTTTTAGTATTTGGTTTAAATTATGGATGAGAGAAAGATGGAGCTACCTCCTCCCTAGGTGTAGAGATGAGTATTGGTTAAAAGATACCAGCCCCCTGGAAGCTCACACAAGCATGGAGAATGGCTCACCTCGGGCCAAGATCGCCCTTCAAACCGTGTCTAAGTGAGTTATCATCAAGCTTTCGAGGAGCTGTGGACCCTCCCACAGGTGTATTTTACAACCTAAGATGCCCAGGCTCAACATGAAGAAGCTACAGTCAGAATTAATTGCCCAGCCTTTATCCAGGGAGGGCGCTGGATTTAGTTGCCTGCGGAGCTGGAGCCAGGTAGTCTGAAAACCCCGCTGGGCAGAGTCACCTTCACCTGCACAGGCGGCCGGTTTTGTGGCTGGAACTTACCTCTGCTTCTGACTGCCGTGAGCCTTATTCTCGTTCCTCCAAAAGAGCCTGGAATTGAGTTCTCCCTTTGACCATCTGGGGAATTGGTGGCTGTTAGAGGCCTCGTTCTAACCCTGGGCCCTCGCATGGATATGCAAGGCAATCGCACACCTCCAGCTGCCCCTGTGTTGAGCCTGTCTGATAAGAGCTCTCAATGCCAGAGCTCTCCCGCCCTGGACTCGCCACACAGGACCTCAGGGCCCAATTGAGGGGCTGGGAGGAGGAGCAAATGCGTCTTCATTGCCTCCCACCTGTCCTCTCTTGGTGTCTCCCCTAGTGTGAGTCCCCTCGAGCTGTAGACTCTCCCTCTCTATGGCCTCCCCCAGGGAGAGAGGGGACCCTCTCTGCCTCTCGACCTCCTCACCCCTGCCTCTTCCTTAATGAGCCCCCACCAGCGGGAAGCCTCTGGATTTCCAGACAGTTCCGTTCAGTCCAGTTGACAGAGGGATCAGTGGACAAAACAATAAGCTAGAAATTAGGAAATCAAAGGAAAAATGTGCCCTCTGTGTGCGCACAGTGTAGCGAGAAACACGGATAAAAACACACGTCTCTAATGCCCAGCGGACCACAGTGAACACTGAGCTGTTCGTTGGCCGCCCCTCTGTGTGAGTTTCTTGGGGCAGCCTTGACAAAGAACTGCAAACTGGGCAGCTTGAACAGCAGAAATGTGTCCTCCCGCAGCTCTGGAGGCCAGAGGTCCAAGCTCAAGGCTGCAGGGCTGTGCTCCCACTGAAAGGAATGTGTCCCTGGCCGCTCCTAGACCCCGGGGCTTTGCTGGCCAGCCTTGACACCCCTGGCTGTGAATGCCACACCCTGACCTCCGCCTCCATCTCCATGTGGCCTTCTCCTCCGTGTGGGTCTGTGTCCAAATTTCCCCTTGTTCTAGGGACAGCAGTCATAGGAGATGAGTGCCTGCCCTGCTGATGCCGGACTCATTATACCTGCAGTGACCCCTTTTGCACATGTGGTCACATTGTGAGACATTGGGGATATTGGGGATTAGGGCTTCAGCATACAAATTTGGGGGAGTTGACCCCTCCCAGAGTTTCTGCACAGATATTGACAGCTGGAAGAGATGGCATAATGTGTTTATACATGTCCAGACTACCAGAAATACAGACGCATCTCATTCCTCTCTTACACTCTGCAGGTGAGAAAACGGCCCTCTGCCCCCGTGTGAGTTGCTCCAGGCTCCTAGGCTTCTGAGTCTAAGACTGGCATTTCTCCCACCTCCACATCCCCTGAAGATAAAATGTCTTCGTTCAAAAGAGTTCTAGACTGAATCCCCCTGCCTTCGTGTGTGATCTGTTCAGTGAATGTGTACTGAATGCCCGTAGCAGGTGCTGGCTTAGGAAGGTGGATGGCACTGCCACTGACCTCCAGAGGCCACTGGTTTGGGGCCACTGATCTATTTGAGTGGGGGCGACAGAGCTGCTCTGTGAGGACGCCTGGGTTGGGTCTCAGAAGATGTCCCAGATGCTGGACGGGGTGTGGGGGGAGGGGCCTTCTGGGCCCAAGAAACGTCACGTGCAGAGTAGTGGGAGGAAGGAAGGAAGAATGGCACACCTGGGGGCACGTGTGACTCTGCAATGTCCCCATGCCTGGGTGACGGGTGAGTGGAGAGGAGACAGAGCAGCCAGGGGCCGGGCCACGCTCGGGAGTACGCAGTGGGTGTGGTGAGCGTGGGGGCTCTCAAGGGTGCAGCCGAGGGGACACCAGTCTTGTTTCTTCGCACTGTTGTTCTGGTGGTTGTGTGGTTGTGAATTAGAGAAAGACCCTGGGGTGGCTGTAGCAGCATGGGGTGACCCAGTCTAAGCAGAAGCACCACAGGCTGGGGCACATCCCACGATAGAGGCCTTGGAGGGTCACACCCCTGCTCAGGCTGTCTGCTTTCTTGTCTGTGCGAGGAAAACGCCTCCCAGGTGGAGGACTCGGTGACTCTGAGTGATTTGCAAATCCAGGGACTTCAAAGAATAGAATAAAAGAAAGGTGAGAAAGGGGCTCCTGGCCAGCGCCCTCGGCACTGCACCCTGTAAGCACGGACCAAGGCAGCATCACGGGTAGGCTCCGGGATGAAGCTCTGCAGGAACAGGCTCAGCAGGACATTTGGTCCCTCTGTGCTTGGCGCTGCTCCCGGCTGAGATGGGAGAGGCTCGCGGTTGTGGGTGATGCTTCTGCTGAACAGGCTTTGTAGGGCTAGACCCTGGGTGTGGTGTTGGCTGCTTCTCATTACTTAAGTGAGTTCCATTTCTGATGGAAGTTTATACCATAGTGATGTCTAGAAACAGCTGTAAATGTATCCTGCACTGAGATCAGGAACTGCTGGGGTTTTCAGCACCAGTGTTTGTTATTTGTTATCTCCCGACTTCCCCCCCAGGACAGGAGTTTGCAGTGAGTATAAAACTTCCTAAGCCTACCTCCAAATCTTCCTTTTTTCCAAAGCTGACAGCTTTCTAGCTCATTCCTAATGAGCATCTGTAGCTTCTCCTAGAAACTCATGAGATATTCTGAGACTCCCAGGGGGAAGTTTAAAGTGAGGGAAAGGTTAGAAAGGAATTCGATGTGCTGATGAGCACAAAAATAGCACAGCAAATCAACGCCCATCACCTAAGCCAGGCGTGCTGTCTTCACAGCACACCTGCTGCCTGTGGCTGACGCACGGGCAGAGGTTTTCCGTTGCTCTTGTTACTGTTTTCCTGTCCAGAACTGATCTCCAGATGATGTGTTTTTAATGACTTCAAACGTGGTCCATTCTGATCCTCATCCCAGTTTCTACTGGCATTGCTGGGACTGCCTGTCATAAGCCAGGCTTTGATGGTTGCTGAAGACCAGGCAGCCCCACCCTCACAACCAGCCCTAGGGAGCCGCTAGAGACCCATGCCCAGGGCCTGTCTGCAGATCTGACTCCCACACCGCTCAAGCCTGAGCCCCTAGCCCATCCCTGACTCCTAACCGGCTGAGTCCTGTGGGACACGAGCGACTCCCTGACAAAGGGTGTAAACATGAAATAGATGAAATTTCAAATTGGCCAAAAAAAAAAAAAAAAAAACCTTTAAACAAATAATGTGTAGATAACCTTTAAGTGATGAAGAAATTGAAAAAGCAGACCTAGTATTTAAGTCAATGATGGAAGTTGCCCTGGATGGTTATAGGCTGGACATGGTGGGCTGGTTAGGAGAAGCTTGCAGTATGTAAGAAACCTAAGGAGGCAGCCAGTAAGATTCTACTGAATGTTCCCAGAAGTGTCGGAGATGGGTTTGTGTGACTCTCAAACAACAAAAATGAAAATATTGCAAAGGAGTCCCAAACCATGAATTAACCATCTCCTAAAGCTATCTGTGGATATACAGACACAATGCACACATTTTTGGCAGATACCAAAACCCTTTGGGAATCACCTGCTGAGAATTTAGAATCCCCACAATGAAATGAATGGCTTACCTCGTGAAAAATATGGAGTAGAAGAGCTGGACAGAATCGGTGCAATGAAAGAATAAATCATCCGTGCAGTGGCTCCTGCCTATAATCCCAGCACTTTGGGAGACCCAGGCAGGCAGATCACTTGAGCCCAAGAGTTTGACACCAGCCTGGGCAACATGGTGAGACCCCATCTCTACAAAAAATACAAAATATTAGCCAGGTGTAGTGGCACATGCCTGTAGTCCCAGCTACTCAGGAGACTGAGCTGGGAGGATCACCTGAGCCCAGGAAATCGAGGCTGCAGTGAGTCACGATCATGCCACTGCATACCAGCCTGGGCGACAGAATGAATCCCCCCAAAATAAAAAAAAAAATCCATTCACAGGCACTGCACTGCACTTTAGTCATTGATATGAGAGTTCCAACTGGTTGCAAAATTATACCCTTAACCAGAGAACAGCAATTGGAGACACAGACCCAGATAAACACATTAGGTGACGCCCCAATTTGGAGATAGACCACAAGCCATTTAAACAAACAGGATCAGGTGTTATTACTACCGAGAAGAAGTGTGATTCTTGAATCTTCTGTTCCCCTGAACCTTGAACTCCTATTTGCCCTGCATTAAGGAACTTAACGACAAATTGCTAAGCCTGACAGGAGGGAATTCCGGCCTTCTGTGCTCACAGTTTCTGTCCCTGTTCTTGTCAGTGCTTCATGATCTAGATGAGTGGCAGCAGTCCTCTAGAACCAAGGAAGGCCTTCAGTGCGTGTCATCCGCATCCCGTAGCGAGCCAGCCGTGATTCCAGCATCAGCCTGATACCTTCCGATTCTCCCCGCCCAGAACTCCACTCACCGTCATTTGTCCAGTGGGTTCAGTGGAGATAAAAAGGGGGAGCCGAGTGCAAAGTCACCTATTTTAACAAGAATAATAAACCTGACTGCCCTGGGAGGGTTGACACAGGTTTCAAGGTGCTGAGTGCAAAAGTCCTCCTCCTGTTTCATGTTTCCCCCTGTAATTGGAACCCCTGTAATTTTTTAGTGATAACCAAAGTGTTATTCCCCTGTTGACTCTTTTTGCTGAGGGCTTAAAATACAAACATGGTGCAAAATCTTACTACCTTAGGGGAAAGGAGGTAAAGATAGAAATGTGTTGATTGCAGTGATCCAGGTAAACCCAGCATATACCAGTTACATAGTAGTTATACCAATACCTGTATTTCCTCTGCCTCTCACTTTCTAAAATTCCTGCAGACCATATTTGCAAATGATGAACAAGAAGGAAATACAGTGGGTACAAAATGTGAAATAGATCCTCCAAAGAAGTACAGCCAACAAGTTGCCACACCTGTGCGTGTACCAGGGCCTCTGAACTGTTTGTTCCAATCTCCAGCCTTTTGAGAGTGCCTCTGGCCATGCGTCCAACAGTCACCAAACAAAAGAGTAGAGGAGAGGCACACTTCAGAGGAGGGTCTTTCTGTTAATCATCGTGACCAGAAGGACTCTTCAACCCAGAGTTCTGGTCATCATCAAAGGAGGCCTGCACACAGGATGGGCGCTTGGGGAGGGCTGTTTGGAAGTCAGACTGTCGCTCTGGAAATTTCATTACAGCAGCCACTGGTGCGCCTGCGAAGGCTCATGCCAGCTGCTGCGATTGCAAAGGCCTGGGATCAGATCCCTGGGCTCAGGGTTTAGAGGAGAACAAGGGAGCTAGACTGGGGACCCGGAGGGGCCTCAGCAGGGAGTCCTCGGGAAAGACACTTCAGAAGGTGGGGCACCTCAGCTGCTTTTCAGACATGTGCCTCCAAACCCAGTACCTGTAACTCATAACCTCTGGTCTGATTTTGAACAAGCTACCCAACCTGTGTCAGCCTCAGTGTCCTCGTCTGTAAAATGGGAACAGCAATTGTGCATCGGATGACTGAGATGTCCGTGTGCTATGTCTGTCCTATGATTCTGCGTCCTCATGGAAGGAGAAACTCCTGAATGTGTGCCCTTCCTCTAATTCCTTCTAGATGGACTTTCACGTCAAAGTGTGAATAACACAAAGCTGAGAGTGCTGTGAGAGTGCCTTCAGGGGCATTTAGTATGTGGGTTCGTTCCTAGCACCATGGCCCTGGCCAAGCTTCCAGGGTAAGGGGACTGTCTCTGAGCCGTTGACCACCTAGAGGCGCTTTCTGAGGCCACCACAGCCCCCGAGCCTCCTCCACATCACTGCCCAGAGTGCGGAATGGAGGGGTGGGAGGGGTCAGGACACGGGCAGTTCCAGCCAACGATGGCACCATCTGCTGTGACTCCCGGTGACCTGCGCCACTCCAGGCCAGCTTCCAGCCGGACAGGCCGGGCCACACCTGTGCTGACCACAGCATCCCCGGGCAGCCCCGCTCTTCCAGGAGTGAGAGCTGGACATGAGGGGGGCTCCACGAAGGGGCATACATGGCACAGGAGGCTCTGATTTGGAGCACAGCCGTTAGGAGTTGGCAGCGGAAAGGAACACAGCTTGCAGAACAGGGGAGCCGGGCCCCAGGGATCAGACCCTCCCCAGCCCTGGGCCCGGAGCTGGCAGGAATTCCCCAGCCACCGCCGCCACTGCCCCTTCCAGCCAAGCCCGCCTCTTCTCGGATTCGTGACCCGGGAGGATGGGCTCCTCTGTGGCCGTCCCATCCTGGAGAAAACACAGAGTCCTAGAGCTTTAGGGCCTTTTGTTTTTAATTAATAGACTTTGTGTTCAGAACAGTTTTAAGTTTACAGAAAAACTGAACAGAAACTGCAGCAAGATTCCACGGCCCCTCACTCCCTGCCCCACCGCTTTCCCGAACAGTAGTGCCTCCGTGAATGGGCACGCTTCTGCAGTCGGTGAGCTGAGCTACTGACTAAAGGCCTTGTCCACACTGGGCTCGTTCTGGGGGGACAGTGGCGATTTCTGGCAGATGAGTGGACATGTATCCACCGTTAGGGAATCATGCTGCCTGAAAGGGCCCCCAGCGCTCCGCCTACTCCTCCCTCCTTCCTTTCTGCCCCAGGGCCTTAGGATTGTACGCAACAAAGTAAGGGAGGAGGTTAGGTAGAAATAACAGAACAAAGCAGAGATATTTGTAAGCAGCCTCCAGGTAAACACAGTCACCTGTCTGAGCAGGCTCAGGGGTGGCCAGGTGTGGGCAGGAGGCTGGGCTCTGGCTTCCTCCGGGACTCAGTCCTGTCAACTCCTCTTCATTTCCTGGAATCCTTCCCTCCCGGGTTAACTGCAGCAGCTTTGCCAGGAACTCTGCTCTGCACCTTCCCCTCCGGCCTCCTGGGAGGTCCACCTGGTGCTCACACTCACAGGCACCTCAAGCTCCTGGGGGTGACAGTGGGGTGCTAGGCAGCCGTCACATGCAGCAGGCAGCACCTGGCTGGCCTGTCCCATGCTTCTCTTGACCACCTCTTTTGCTCACTCCAACCCCAGGCCACCTCTGCCTCACAAGCCCTCGGGGCTGAGTCGTGGCTTTCTGAGCTGGGGGCATCGGCAGGTGCGCAGGTGCCTTGGGCAGGAGTGAGCAGCCTCTGGGCTCCTTCCCACGGCCCCACCTCTGCACATCCCCACCCTCCACACTGCTGCATTGGAAACTGTCAGAGAACCCCATCTTGGATTTGTTCTGATGATCATTTCTGTGTTGTTGACAGGTGCTGGCATTGACGGAGTGGAGGAAATTAAGCGCCATCCCTTCTTTGTGACCATAGACTGGAACGTAAGTTGCATGCCACAGTCCCCACCTGCACACGCGTGACACAGAAGTGGGTGGAGGGAACATACGGCTTGGTGCAGAGGGTCCTCAGTGTCCGGGTCACAAGTAGGTCGGAGGTGAATGTAGACAAGCCACCTGCAGGCAGGGAGCCCCCAGGACCCTGCTGAGCGGGCTGGCAACTTGGGAGGCACAGACACGTGAGTGCCCCTCCCTCCAGCTTGAGGCCTGAAGTCCCCTCAGCTTTCCTCCTTCTACTCTCCTCTGCCCATCAGAGTCGAGGCTTCTGTCCTCCCTGCACCCACTCCCCGGCCTCTCCGAGCCCTGCATATTCCCGATTGCTCCAGGAGTGACTGTCTTCTAACCTCAAGGGCTGAACAGACAAAAGTCATGACAAGCTGCTCAACCAGGACCCTTTAGTGCTAGGGCTATGGGCAGGCCCAGATTCGATACTGCATTTTCCATCGTTAGTCAAGCTGATGCCCACGTGGAAGTCACATTTAAAAAAAAAAAAAAAAAACAACAGTGCCGAGTTGTTGGAATAAACTGGAGCTTCTGTTAGTGGAGTTATTGGTAAAGCCTCCATTTCCAGTTCTCTGGGCCAGGCTGGACATTGTCTGAGAAGTTCTCGTATCTCACTTTTCACCAAGCTACAAGTGTCAATTGCCTATTTCTGCCAAGACGCCAACTCCGAATGGTGAAGCAGTCAGCGTCTGACGCGTCCCCCACACAGGGAGTTCTCGCGGCTAAAACTCGGAGGCTGTTCCTTCCATCTGAGGAAGGCGATACCTCCTTTCCTATCAGTTGCTTTCAGCTCTTTCCTTTAGGTTAACACAAAAACAGCTATGTTGGGATTTTCTTTTCCTGACCTAACAAATTAACCTCAAAAGATTTTAATGGAACACTTTTTAAGATTTAAATGCCCTCTACAGTATAGAGTTTATTATCTGCTTTCGCTTTCCTCTCTGTCTTCTTTTTTTTTTTTTTTTTAGTCTCGCTCTGTCGCCCAGGCTGGAGTGCAGTGGCGCGATCTCGGCTCACTGCAAGCTCCACCTGCCAGATTCACGCCATTCTCCTGCCTCAGCCTCCCGAATAGCTGGGATTACAGGCGCCCCCACCACGCCCGGCTAATTTTTTTTATATTTTTAGTAGAGACAGGGTTTCACCGTGTTAGCCAGGATGATCTCGATCTCCTGACCTCATGATCCACCCACCTTGGCCTCCCAAAGTGCTGGGATTACAGGCGTGAGCCACCGCGCCCGGCCTCTGTCTTCTTTATGTCCTCATGGAGTCCGGGGCCTCCACGCATTTCATTAAGAGGTGGGCCCCACCTGCAGCCCCAGACCTCTCCTCTGGGAATGTGTAACACCAGTGCTGGATAAAACCAGCCAGCTCTCCTCTTCCTTCAGCCTGAGCCCCAGCAAAGCACTCAAACTGGGGAAGAGTGATAACTTTTTAAAACCTAGTTTTACAGTTCTGACTAAAGAACTTTCGTAAGATTAGACTTCTTTTCGAAAGTAAGATTAGAGAAAAGAGTGTAAAGTTTCAGGACATCTGTGCCTCCCAACCAGGACCTCCAAGAAATGAAAACCAAGGCCTCCCTTTGGAGTCTCTTACTTAGCTTCCCTGAAAATTTAGGCTTATCAGAAGCTCAGGCTGTGCTCACCTCACAGATGGGCACCTAAGGTCACTGTCATTCGACTCTGCGTTGGAATGTATTTTCTATGGAGACTTCACCTTACACGGCGTTTAGATCTCAGGCAAGCCTGTTTCATGAAGAATGGACCTGGGTGTCAGCCTGTGGATGGTTAGCACAGCACTGTGCCTGGAACCCAGATGCCTGCCCCTCAGGGGGTCACAGCATGTTGCATCCCCTCCCCTGCCTGCCAGTGGTTAAGGTGGGACCACACAGCTTCTCCCCGTATGATCTGCTTCTCCATTTATCCAGCCCTTTCTGCTGGGCGTCCCAGTCTCAGGCACTTTCCAGGGCTGGGGATAGAGCCGTAGATGGAACAAAGTCCTGCACCCGTGGGTCTTGTGATGACTTGGCAGAGAAAGGCGGTGGACAGATGGGTCTGCACATGTCACAGGAGGACACTGTGCTGACAAGGAGGATGCAGCAGGGGACAGATGGAGAAGCACACGAAAGTGGTCAGGACAGCCACACCTCACCCCTCCCATCCTCACGGAGCCTCCTTCCCATGCCTCCATGGAACAGGTTCCCCCCAAGCACTGGCTCCAGCTGGTCTGGCTTCCAGGGCCCCTCCTGCCCAAGTCTCCCAAGGGCTCACTGGTCTCCTCCTTCCAGTCTGCCATTCAGTGTCATCTTATGAGACCTGTCCTGCGGCTCTTCCAAACTGCAGCTCCTCTCCCAGCACCCCAGCCCCCGGCCTTGCTCTGTTTTCATATCCCTTATCACTTTCTGACTCGCCTCAAAATACCATGTGTTTCTGATGTATATTATTATTTTCTGTCTCCTGCCACTAGAATGTAAGCTGCAAGATCAGGAATCTGTGGCTTAGAGGTGTATCCCACAGCTCTAAAACAGGGCCTGGCTCAAAGGAGGCACTTTATGAATCCCTACTGAGTGAGTGAATGGATGAGTGAGGGAAGGAGGGAGTGAATGAGTGAGGGAGTGAATGAATGAGTGAGTGAGTGAATGAGTAAGGGAGTGAGTGAGTGAGTTAATGAGTGAGTGAATGAATGAGTTAATGAGTGAGGGAGTGAGTGAATGAGGGAGTGAGTTAGAGAGTGAATGAGTGAGGGAGTGAGTGAATGAGTCAGTGAGTCAATGAGTGAGTGAATGAGTGAGGAAGTGAATGAATGAGTGAATGAATGAGTAAAGGAGTGAGTGAGTTAATGAGTGAGGGAGTGCATGAATGAGTAAGGGAGTGAGTTAATGAGTGAGTCAACAAGTGAGGGAGTGAGTGAAGGAATGAGTGAATGAGGGAGTGAGTGAATGAGTGAGTGAGTGAATGAGTAAGGGAGTCAGTGAGTGAGTTAGTGAATGAGTGAGTGAGGGAGTGAGTGAATGAGGGAGTGAGTGAACGAGCAAATGAATAAGTGAATGAGTCAGTGAATCAGTGAATAAGTGAGTGAATGAGTCAGTAAGTCAGTGAATGAATCAGTGAATGAATGAGTGAGACTCTCAAGACAGGAGTCACAGCTGTCGAGGGAGACTTGCCCCCTCCATTTCCTCACTCTCACACTCTAGTCCTTCCTCCAGAGACCATGCCTGGGAGAATGGAGAACCAGGATTGCTGGGCTGGGAGGGGGAGCTGCAGGTGGGCAGGGCAGCATCCTGGGATGGGAGACCCTGAGGGCTGCAGCTGGTAGGAAAGAGAAGTCTCTTCACACCGAACCCCCAGGTGACACAGTGCAACACAGAGCACTCAGCCAAGAGTGGAGCCACTCCAAAGTATGCATGGCCCAGAAGGGCTTACGCACTTGCTAAGACAACCTTGTGAGATGCCTGGAATTTTAACAATACGATGGATTTGGAAAACTATGACACATTAGATTAATGTGCATTCCAGAATGCTGAGGTCCGGCGAGCTCTGAGCAGAAGCCGCCTTTTTCCTGTGGCAATAAGAGCCTTCTCTACACAGCGCCTCTGCTCAGGGTGCTCTGGTCTCCCTGTGGCTGGAAAGCAAACACAACCCAAGAAGGTGGCATTTCTGCGTGATTTCAAAGGAATCAGACTAGAATCAGAGCTGAGAAGTTCCTTTTGTTGCTCTTAGCACTTAATTTGATTTTATTTTGGCCTTGTTTTCGTTTTGAGAGAGGTCCTTGTGATTGATCAGAACCAGGCGTGTTTCCTTCATGTCTGTACTTCCCAGAGGAAGGCAGGCAGCAGTGCTAGAGGAATGGCAGGCTCTTGTTCTGCCCAGCGCCCTGAACCCACACAGCCCGTGAGTGGCAGAAGAGCTCAGAAATGCCACTTTTGCATTAATTCATGCATTTGATAAATAACGCTTGGTGCTCACCCTGGTGGTGCACCAGCAAAGTGTCCATGTCCATGACGTCACAGCTGGAACGCAGAGCCCCGTCCTCCAGCTGCTCACAGACTGAGGAGTCTGCTGTCCCATAACGCCATCATCCACCGATGGAAGAGGTTTGTGCACAGTGAAAGTGGCCAGCAGAAAGAGAGAGAAATGATGCCTGAAAGAGGGCGAGTGGAATTAACCAGCAGAGGGGCAGAAGGAGGAGAAGAAGGATGCTTCCAGCAAAGATGTGTAGGCATGAAAACACCGTGTTCAGGACACCGCGTAAACTGCAGGCACAGTCCCGCTCCGTGATGGTCTTAGAAGCTGTCAACATCTTGCTAGGATGAGTCCAGTGGTCCCCCCATCTCAGCTGATCCTCTCTCATGAGTCAAGTTTGCCCGTGTGTTCTCCTGTGTCTGCGGCCCCAGTAGCAGCCCATGTGTCTTCATGGCTAACCTCAAACCCCAATAACACATCCAGGCAAGCCATCAACCCATTCTTCAGAAAGCAGGGGCTAAAATGCAAGATGTTTAAAGGTATTTATTTAAGGGGTAATTTTACTCCGTGATGTATTTGTCCAGATGTGCCCATTCTGCTTTTCGGCAGCTCAGAAAACTGAAAACCACAGTTCAGCCTCATTTGCAAGAACTGTTAACACCAAAAGCCGTTCCCTCTGCAATGCAGACACTCCTTAATGACGAATGAGAAGACATTTCCTAACCACTAGATTTCTGCCTGGGTACTTCACCCAATGGCTTGCCTCAGGATCCAACTGGGAAAATATTAGGATATTTATTTTGCTTTCTGCTGCTCTCTGTGATCCGATACTGCCAGCAGATCTTTTTATTTATTTATTTATTTATTTATTTTTTTAAGTAAACACCTGTCATCCCACTGCTGTCCCCGGGGTCTTCAGTGGCCTGCTGGAGCAGGACCCATCTGCTGACAGTAAGTGTGGGGACGGTGGAGGTGTGGGCTGCTGCCTTTTAATTTAGCTTCAGAGATGAGCGAGTGAACGTCTGCACGGGAGCCATTCCTTCTGAAGGCCAGCTCTGCTTGATGAGCTGAGTGAGAAGCCACGAGTTAATGATCGGACTACAAACCTCTGCAGAGGATACGGCAGAGTCCAGCAGATAGAAGCTGTGTTGGTTTTTCCCCCGTGGCTGAAGCATGCTGAGAACACAGAATTAGCACGAACCCAAAAAAAGCTTCGTAAAAGTTAATCACTGCAGACAGCACAAGCCAGTCTGAGGACGGCTCCCAGCCCAGCCTGGCGTCCCTTGCAGGGGGACCCAGGGAACTGCAAATATTATTACAGGCAGTGAATGATGATGCTGGAGACACACAGTCACCAGGGAGGGACATCTTTGTTTCTGGAACTCTGTCCAGGGCCTAGACCCTTAGTATTGCACTGACTCTTATTATTACTGTTATTCGTTATTCATGATCAATACTAGTAGCTCATGTTTATGTTCTTTGTACAGTTTGAAACCCTTCCAAGCACACCATTAGCTGTGATGCTGTGAGATGGGAGAAACTTGTAGAGGAGACTGAGGCACAGGACAATGAGAAGCTTGAGGTCGCTCGGTGATCTGGCAGCGCGTGGGGTGTGCCCTGAACTTGGCTGTTGTGTGTCCTGGCAGGAGCAGAGGGTGGGTTCCGGGTCTTCAGGCCACTTTGGTCTTCTTGCCCACAAGTGGAGTATTTGCAGTATGGCGCAGAGAGTGGTTTGGGGGTGTGGGAGCTGTAGGCTGCGGGTCAGGGCCTCACAGCACAGGCGTCTCCATGCAGCTGTTGCTCCCATTGCCAGCAGCGAGATTTCTATCCTTTTATTCCTACATTATATACACTAGGAGCACTCCCCCTTCAGGGAACCCAGCAAGGACTCTGTGCAATGAATCATCACCCTTCAGGTGCTTCTTCTGTTGGACCCACCTACAGCCGGGTAAACTGCAGGCACAGTCCCGCTCCATGAGCCACTGACCTGTCACACCCATCGTGACGCTTTGAAAATCGTTTAGATTCTTCCTGCGGCGCTTTCGATCCTGTCTTCTCTCTGGTCTGCATATTTTTGCATTATTATTTTAGGAATAATCTATAAATGTGCCCTTTGCCTTATTGGAGCGTATTAATTCCAAAATGCCTGAAGCCAAAACCGTCTACAGAAGGCAGATGTTAGGGTCTGAGACCCCAAACTAGCATCTGTTTCCTATGTCATCACCCAGTTCCCGTTTTTCTGTTGCTGTCTCGGTCCTCTTCTCACTTAGCTGAAGGTCTTTAGTATAAATAGAATCCTGATGGGCCTGCTCCGGGCTTCCTCACGTGCGCTTGTTTCCCGTGAAATTCGTTTCAGCCCTGCGGCCACACTGTGTCATTCTGACATCCTGGGACAAATGAGATGATTTTAAATGTGCCTGGCGAATTTGATCATGAGACTGCATTTTCTCTCGTCGGTTTCGGCATGAATTGTCCCAGAGTCTCAGAAAGGGGGGATCCAGGGCAGAATTGCCAGTGTCTGTCTCGTTAAGCTCAGAATCCCAGGTGAGATGCTGCTGCTGTTTCACTCTCAACACAACCCTGCCTACAGTGGTTTACATACAAAGCAAGAGGCCGGATGACTTCTCCCCCAAAGCCTCAAACCCGTTCTTAGGTTTGCACATGGAAAGAAAAAGCATACACAGTAATAACACATATTAGCACCTTCCAAATGTTTACGCAGCATCAGGAAGACATTGACCGGCCTTTAAGATTGCAGCAAGCCTCGAGGAAGCCGTCCAAAGGGCCAGAGTGACCGGCTCCAGTTGGCCACCGGCGGCCCGCACAGAACCTCACTGCCTGGCCCAGACCAGAGTGAGAACGCAGCAGCCTCCAGCAGGTGGGGCATGGTGGTCTGCAGGCCCCAGTGAACAGGCTGTGTTCATAGCTGCGGTTGGCACACGGACCCATGTTACGGGGTGGCCAGTTGCCTGAAGGCTCCCGCGGCACAGAAGGAAGGCCCTGGCCCTCAGCAAGCGCTCCGTCCACTCTCACACGCATGCCTCCCTCTGGTCTTGTTGGGGTCTGTGAGCTGAAAGCCTGGGCTCACAGCCGAGGGGTGGAAAGCACGGGGAAAGCAGAGGCGGGCTTCCTCCTGCTGCCGTGTGAGGGGGAGCTATTTGTGTGGTACAAAAGTGCTACGGGACTACCTGGGCTTAGGACCTCCTCACTGGGCATCCCAGGTGACTCGCAGCACCGGGCTAGGCACAGATGGGGCAGAGCACAGGGGAAGTCTGAGCCCAGCCCCCAGGCGCAGTGTCCTGGGCTGGAGGGAACCGGGACCTGACTTAGCAGCAGATACTTAGTATTAAAGGAGTGGGATGGCCTCAGCCCAGAGGAGGTCACAGCAGTACCAGTGCTGGGCTGTGAATCTGACTTAGAAGGCAGGAAGGTGACAGCCTCTGGATGTGAGCCTCCAGAGGCAGGGTGGTCACAGATAGAGCCTGTGCTTTCCTGGACAGCTGTGAAGCGAGGCTGTGGTGCCTGCCCCATCGGTGGACGAGGAGGGAGAAGGATGTGGCCTGTAGGAAGCCAGGCAGAGCCTGCAGCCCTGCCCCACCGGGGGTTCCATGGGGAGGGGAAGGGGTTCCAAGGACAGTGGCCAGTCGCCTCAACATCCAGTCCTCCTTCTTGAAGAAGCTGGTTGACGTTGCACTTTTGAGGGTTGGAGCAGAAACAAGGCAGGAAGGGTGAGGTAGAGAAGGAAGCAGGCAGGGCCAGGGTCTCCCACCTTCACCCTGGGTGGCACCTGCGCGATGCTGTGTGGTGGGGCTGTTATGGGTGGCTGGGTTCTGCACACCCTGGCCTCCACCCCTTGGGAGCCTGCAGCGGTCACACAGGTGTGGCAGCCAGCAGTGTCTTTGGGCACTGCCAAATGTCCCAGTGGGGGCAAAACCCCTCTATGAAGAAGCACTGGGCACCAGGCTCTGGGGATGGTTTTATCAGAGGCTGTGGTGGGGCAGGGGCAGGGGTGGGCAAGATGGGTCCCCAGGATGATGGAGGAAGAGCTGGCACGGAGGAGAGGAGCTAGAGGGGCCATGTGGGCCCCTGCTTTCCGGAGGTAAACACTTCACACTGGAATGAATACGTGACAACCAGTTTTGTATTTTATTTTGTTTTTAATGGAAATCTCTTGTGTAAATAAATTCCTCCTCATAATAAAAGTAGGAGGCCTGGCTCTGTGCTGGATCGAGCTAGTGCGTGCTCTCTCTCTTTCTTACCCCCTTCCCCTCCCCCTCCCCCATTTCTCCCCTCCTCCCCTCCGTCTCTTTCTCCCCCCACCCCCTCTCTCCCCATCTCTCCCCATCTCTCTCTCTCTCTCTCTCCACCTCTCTCCCTCGCTTGCTCTCACACAGAGGGAGGATGTGATTTTGACTTCAGCAGGATTCTTAATAGCCCGGCTCTCAGGACTCTCTGGGTGGGGAATGGGCTGCACTGGCCTGTTCGTGGCACCCGATGGCCTGGGCTTCCCAGCTCAGGAGACTTCCTCAGGCAAGCACATGTGTCTGGGGAGATTATTCCCACCTGTCCTGTGCCTCACTGCAGAAAGCAGCGTCTTTTCATTTCTGAAAATGGCTTGAAGAGTAACTCGGTGCTAATGAAATCTATGCCCCCAAGGCAGGAAATGAGCAAATAATTCAGGGCTGAATTCAATCCTGTTTCTCCTCCGATGGTTCCCGCGTGCACGCCCTGAGCTCTTGCACATCAGGGCACATCCTGCTGCCTGATAAGCCCCCGGGGGAGCTCGGGGGCGTCTGTTGGCACCTCGCCCTCCTGCAGTAGCTGTGGGCCCTGGTTTCTGGCCTGGGCTCTGACCCAGGTGCTCCCGGATAAGCAGAGCAGGGTGTGCCCCAGGTGGGACCCAGATGTCAGACGCCCTCCTCCCTCCTCTCCCTTCCCGTCGGGCCTCATCGGAGGAGGTGTTGAAATTTGCTTTCCAGAGATGTAGAACAGGTTTTAGCTGGAGTCACTGTGTCCATTTTCCAGAGCTGCACGGCCATGAGGGTCCCTGAGTCCAGAACTGAGCTCTAGATGGTCACACACAAGTGCCCAGGACAGGACTCCAGGCTGGATGTTTTCTGCGAACACCGTGGGGACCCTCCCTAGGCAGGATTAAGGAAACCCCATGCTCAGTGGGGGGCAAGACCCCAGCCTGGCCCTGCCCTGCTGCTGCCCTGCTAACTACCAGGCTGGCCCCTCAGCACACTGGCATGGCCCGTGCCTTCTGTCGTCAGGGTGATTTGACTAAACCCAGCATCCTCTACTGAATCTGCCCGGAGGTCCCTCGGCCTTCCAGTCAGGCCTCAGGCCCCAGTCCTCCCTCCAGTGCCCCTCCCCCTCCACACTTCTCTCAGCACTGGGCTCCCCCGGCTCCCTCCATCTAAGCACCACCTGCAGCATCACCCGCCTGAGGACTACGCCAGGTTCCAGGTACCTGTGTGTGCTTTCTTTACATTGAATTCCCAACAGAATGCCTTGTTGCCCTAGAGGATTGAAAACAACACATCTCAGCTTTGGAAAGCATTGTCAGGCAGGCAGCTCTGAGACCGGAGCACAGAGGGCTGTGGACTTTCTGTGCCTTCTGTCCAAGGTCCTGTTGGGGAAATAAGTTTGGGCCCAGAGGGGGCATGGGAAGGGCCGGTTCTCTGCAGATGCAGGCGTCCTCCTGTCGAGGAGCCTGGGCGCCCTCATTCTGACACCCAAGGCAGGTTTCTGGCAGAGGTGCCAAGGCCCCAGAGCACAGGCCCTGAGACACTGGCAAGAGAGCACCCTGGGGTGGCTCTGGGTCGGCGGTTTTTGCAGTGCCCCGCAGAGCTGAAGTTCCGTGGTGCTGGCCCCAAAGTCCCAGGGCAGGGAGGAGAGAGCCACACGGCCTCTTCACTGCTGTCCCCAGTGGGGGCAAGTGGTGGCTGTCCTGTATGATTTTACTTGGAAAAGAAGATTCTACTACCAAGAAGAAGCTAGAAAACTATTGCCCTAAAATGAAGAACACTTGGCATGTCCCCAAACCCTCATACCTCAAACTATGCCTTTTCTATACCTTTCTATAATACATCGTTATTATATATGCCATAGTATCTATCATACTACACATAATATATTTTATGCCATCTATATTTCAGAGTATTTAGAAATCCCTTGTAATCCACAAGGCCAATGCAGTCTGTGATAAGAACATCCTTCCCTCCCCACAGCAGGTTTCTCTGTCCCCAGTGTTCTGTGGCAATGTCTGTGCATCCTCAGTGCCCTGTCTTGCTTTCCTTGTATTAATAGACGCTGTACCGGAAGGAGATCAAGCCACCGTTCAAACCAGCAGTGGGCAGGCCTGAGGACACCTTCCACTTTGACCCCGAGTTCACAGCGCGGACGCCCACAGGTGTGTGCCACAGTGGTTCCCTCTATCGGTGGCTTCTCCCACCTGACCCCTTAGAGACAGATATCTAGGAACAAGAAATTCCCATGCCTCAGAATTCTTTTCATGGAAAATAACTGTCCATTCTGTTTGGGTTTTTTGTTGTTGTTTTCTCTGCTCAGTGATAAAGGTTTAAGTGATAGCCCCAGTTCTCTGTTGTTCCCTATATAACCTCCACCTTGGAAATGATGAAGGTATCCTTATTCCAAGACACCGGTCCAGTTACTTCCTGTGTCAGAGAGACACACAGCAAGAGCAAGAAAAGAAACTGGAGGCAATTAAAATCCCTCTTTCAATTAAAGTGCATTTACGGAGAGGGAAGGCTGTCAGTTATGTCTATAGATTTATGAGCTATAGATATTATTCATGCAAAAAACAGAAACCCATTTGAAAAGTAGTATCGGCTACTAAATAGCACAGCAATTGGATGCATAGATTTGGTCTCCTGGTGTGTCTGAAATTACTCTTGGGGTCTAGCAAATTTCATCAGAACTGGTCAGCTCCCTTTAAAAGTTATCTTTTTGGGATATTAATGAATTAAAGTCTGCTTTTTTATATATGGTAATTATCCTGGTCTGATAGGGCTATCATAACAAAATACTACAGACTGTGTGGTTTAAACAACAGTCATTTATTTTCTCACAGTCTGGAGGCTGGAAGTCCAAGTTCAAGGTACTGACAGGGTTGGTTCCTGGTGAGAGCTCTCGCCTTGACTTGCAGACAGCTGTGTTCTTGCTGTGTCCCCACGTGGCCTTTCTTCTGTGTGTGCAAAGACAGCAAGATGGAGCTCTGGTGTCTCTCTGTCTTCTTATAAGGACACTAGTCCTCTTGGATTAGGGCCCCACACTTTTATCCTCACTTAACTTCAGTTATTCTCTTAAAGGCCTGTATTAGTCTGTTTTCACACTGCTGATAAAGACATACCTGAGACTGGGCAATTTTTCAAAAGAAAGAAGTTTAGTGAATTTACAGTTCCACATGGCTGAGGAAGCCTCACAATCGTGGCAGAAGGCAAGTAGAAGCAAGCCCCATCTTACGTGGATGGCAACAAAGAGAGAGCTTGTGCAGGGAAACTCCCCTTTTTAAAACTCTCAGATCTCATGAGACTCATTGACCATCATGAGAACAGCACAGGAAAGACCCACCCCCATAATTCAGTCATCTCCCACCAGGTCCCTCCTACAACACATGGGAATTATGAGGGCTCCAAGATGAGATTTGGGTAGGGACACAGAGCCTGAGATTTGGGTGGGGACACAAAGCTGAACCATATCAAGGCCCTGTCTCCAAATACAGTTACACTTGGGGGTAGGGCCTTAACATTTGAATTTGGGAAGGACATAATTCAGTCCACAACACTAACAGTATGCTGGTTATGTACAAAACCATCCACAAGCTCCTTCTGTAGACATAAGTGGGACAAGTCCAGGGAGCTGGTGGTTGGCCAGGCTGCATCTTGGATCTACGGGGATTCACTGTATTTTTTCTCGCTGCTTTTGAATCTGAAATTTTCTTATTTTTTAAAAGATAATCGGGAAACAAATATATGGTCAACCACAAAATGTCAGGTAGATGAAGTTAGAGAATCCACTTTGTTCCTCCAGATTCAGCTGTTGGTGAAATCCCTGTTTCCCATATACCCAGATGAACACATTGAGGAGGGTGTGAGCGTGTGCAGATAGGGAGGGTTGCGGGGCTTTTAGCGGGACTTTTGATGGGCCTAGGCCAGCTCCTGACCCAGGCCACATTGGTACCAAGAACAGGAAGAAAGCTGATTCCGGGCACTGTAAACCAGGGAGTCATGCCACCGGCTGCTCAGTTACTTCTTTTGGGTCATCCTGCAGTCCCCAGGTAGAATTAAAACTATCATTATAGCTTTGGTTCATCACTGATTCATGATGTAATGAGGCTGCCTTGGAGAACACTTCTGGGTCTGCTCTCTCCGGTAAGTGACTGTGGGATTTTCACCTCACCCCATTCTCAGCTTCCTTAGAAAGTATTTGTGTGTTGGGGTTGGTCCTTCCCATTGACAAACTTAACCCAATTCACAGAACAGGATTACTTTTCAGTTTCTGAGTTTGAAAAGATGGGGCAGGATTTGGGGATTCCCTCCTGCCCCTGCCCACAGGTCACCCAAGCAAGTCATGATATTTCTCCACCTATTGTTGGCCTGAATGTAAAAGGAGCTCAGAGGCAATTAGGTCTGACCACGAGATCGTTGTCCCTAAGTCCACAAGGACCATAAGGTCCCTAACAGAACGTGCACACATCCTCGTGAGGTGCCAACATGTGGGGCTGTGTGTTTAAAATGTGGAAAGAAAGTCTATGTTTGTGCTGCTTGGTAAGAAAATGTTAATACAGTCAACTCTAATATTCATATGGACATGCCTTTTATCTTATCTGTGAAGAATTTAAACCCCAACCTAGTTGGCCAGTGGAACCGGAAGCTTTTTTTGAGCTTCTAGAGAATTCCATTGTATTTTAATAATAGCCTAAGGAAAACATAATTAGACACAATGCACTCCAGTGCTATTCAGAATTGCCTTTTTTATTCCTTAGTGTTTCCAGTTCTCCAATCAGTTTCAGTTAATTTATCACACCACTGTTTGCCTTTGAGGTAGGTAGTAATTGAAGTGCTAAAGACACATTAAACTCATTCTGATTTGTACAGGAGAGTAGGATTTTCTAAGCATGTGAGCTGAGCACATGGCTGGGTGAATGAGCAGCTGTAGAAATGTGACTCTGAAGCAATGGATAAGCTACAAATCCTCTATGTTAGATCCTGGACTCACAGTGGGAATTTCTTACAGTTAGGCTTTCAGTCTTTTCTGAAACTTCAGCCAGCGCTCAAGCTGGTTTCTATTCCCTGATCACACCTTGGCTGCCCCCTAGAGCATGCTGCTTAGCCCGAGATGCCAATCTAAGATTTTAAACCGATCAGGCAGACTCCACAAATCAGGAAATACCCACAGGACCATGAGAGGTTGTTTGTAATTACTGTAGTTCTACATCTCCTTTTATCTGACTCACAATTTTGCTCTTCTTAAATACTGTGCTGAAAATCGGCATCCCTCAGGTGATTATAAAGTGCTTTAAATTCTATTTAGGCCACCTGTCATTTCCTTACTAGCTAGCCACACCGACCAAATGTCAGCCTCTTAACTTTTGGTGAAGATCCACTTGGCCTTCGGTAAATTGCTGTTACTTTTACCCTTTCCGCAGGCTCTCCTTGGTCTGTGTGAGGAGAGGCATGGGTTCTCTGGCCACGGAAGGTTGTGGCTGTGTCTTCCGTGCCTCTTGGTTGGTTAGAAGACATTGCTTATTGGAATTACAGATTTTCCATTCACCAATGAAACTGTGTCTGTCAAGTTAACATGGCCTGTGCCCCCACCCCCGCACACACTCCTCCACAGGCTGTAAATTGGACTCCCAATCCTTGCTCAGCACTTCACACTCGTGTGGCTCTGCGGATTCCCCAGAATAAGCTCAAGCTCTGAGTCTAAATCCCTAAGGGAAGACATCAAAGTGCCTCCAGGTTTGAAGATTTCTTAAACCATGATGTAGCCATGTGTGTTTCATTTTTCCGGGGGAGAATCTGCGGCCCGTGGTAGCTCAGGGGATCTTTGGGAGGAGGCAGACCTCAAAGCCAGACTTTGTGCAGAGAGCAAACCGGGTGTAGCAGGAGCGCCTCCTCCTCGAGCGGCTCCGTGTGCCGCGAAGCAGAGCCGCTCAGAAAGCCCCGAGCTTCTCTGCCGGGTCGCGCTGCAGAATTTCAGTTTCTAAAAACCACTCAGGGTACCTTCGGTTTTTTAACGACGCTTCGCTAGTCTGGAGCGTTGGAAGTTTATTTCCAAACACAGCCGACTCTGGTCACATTAGTCCAGGGGTCGCGTGGGCATCTACCTGGGGTGACTGTGAAGGCCCCTTTTTTGGCCCCTTTGAGGGCCGACACCTGGCTCTAGCTGCCTCTTGGTTCAGGACACTGAAGATGAGCCCGGGTCCATGACGCTTCCTACCCCAGGAAGAGCACCAGTGGGACGCTGCGTCGTCCATCTGCCCACGGCCTGGCCCCCGCTTGCACCAGAGGCCCACGCGGCGTGGGGCCCGGCTCCTGGGCTTCGGAGCGGCTGCCCTCATAACCGTTGTCCCCAAAATATGATGCTAAGAAACAAAACACGTGTTCTCTGCAGCTGCCTCCCACCCCCACACACCTGCCGCACCGTGTGGAGATAAAACTGAGAACTAGGTGCACTTTCTTCCTTTCAAAGTACAGCACCTAAACAGACGAGGGGGGGAAGAAGTGCTGAGAGACAAAGGCCTGCGGGTAGAGAATTCTCGAATATACAAATATGCACACAACTATACATACAGGGAGTCTTAAAAGATATATAAATAAGAATGTTTAAATTTGTACATATGTGTGTTTTCAGGAAAAATTACGTATTATATTTTCATATATTATAAATTTACATATTATATAATGTATTATAGTATTCTATTTTAGTGTAATATATATTCTATTTTAATATATTAATCTATTATCCTATTCTGTTTTTAAATATATTAAAATATATTTAATTTTTTAAGTAATGTCTGGGTTCTTCATATTGTTCAACAGCTTTTTGCTTTTTTGATTTGACAAACGATTAGGAAGCCACGTCTCTGTCAGTCCATGCAACTGTGGCTCCTTCTGATGGCCCTGGTCTCGCTGGCAGGACTCACACTGCAATCATTACAAAGCATCCTGATACAGATGGGCCACTGTTGACCATGACCATGATTGTCTTAGTGAGGAGTATTTAGTGTCTCCTTTTTCTTTTCTGTAACACATATCACTGAAACAGACTTTTTCTACATTTATGTCTAAGTACTTTGGGATTTTTTCGTTTGCTTGTTTTTTTGTTTTGTTTTGTTTGAGACAGAGTCTCGCTCTGTCACCCAGGCTAGAGTGCAGTGGTGCGATCTTGGCTCACTGCAACCTCCACCTCCCAGGTTCAAGCGATTCTCCTGCCTCAGCCTCCTGAGTAGCTGGGATTACAGGCGTGCGCCACCCCGCCTGGCTAATTTTTGTATTTTTAATAGAGACAGGGCTTCACCATGTTGGTTAGGCTGGTCGTGAACTCCTGACCTCGTGATCTGCCCACCTCAGCCTCCCAAAGTGCTGAGATTACAGGTGTGATCCACCGCGCCCAGCCTGTTTTATTTTTTATTTCTGTAAATTTCAGAGGTACAGATGTAGTTTTGTTCATGGGTAGAGTACATAGTGGTGAGGGCTGGTCTTTTAGTGTAACCATCACCTGAGGAGTGTTCATTTTACCCATTAAGTAATTTCTCATCCCTCACCTTCTCCCACCCTTCCACGTCTCCATTCTCTATCCCACCACACTCGACATCCACATGCAGACATTATTTAGCAATTTAGCACCCACTTATGAGTGAGAACATGCGATGTTTGACTTTCCACGTGTGAGTTGTTTCACTTAAAATAATGGCCTTCTTTTCCATCCATGTTGCTGCAAAAGACATGATTTCATTCTTTTTTATGACTAAATAGTATTCCATTGCGTATATGTACCACATTTTGTTTACCCAATCACCTGTTGATGGACACTTAGGTTGATTCCATGACTTTGCAATTGTGAATAGTGCTGCAGTAAGCTTCCAAGTGCGGGTATCTTTTTGAGACAACGATTTCTTTTCCTTTGGGCAATGCCCAGCAGTGGGATTGCTGCATCGAATATAGTTCCATTTAGTTCTTTGAGAAATTTCCGTACTGTTTTTCATGGAGGTTGTACTAATTTACATTCCCACCACCTTTCTCCACATCCTCACCAACATCTGTTATTTTTTTGACTTTTTAGTAATAGCCATTCTGACTGATGTAAGGTGATATCTCATTGTGGTTTTCATTTGTATTTATCTGATGATTAGCGATCTTGAGCATTTTTTATATGCTGTTTGGCCATCTGTATGTCTTCTTTTGAAAAATGTCTACTTATGTCCTCTGGTCAATTTTTAATGGGGTTATTTGTTTTGTTGTTGTTGTTGAGTTGTTCGAGTTCCTTGTAAATTCTAGATATTACTCCCCTGTCAGTTGCATAGTTTGCAAATATGTTCTCCCATTCTGCAGGTTGTCTGTTCATTCTGTTGATGATTTCTTATGCTGGTCTTAAAGCCTTTTTGTGTGTGTGTGTGTGTGTGTGTGTGTGTGTGTGATGGAGTCTCACTCTGTCGCCCAGGCTGGAGTGCAGTGACGCCATCTTGGCTCACTGCAACCTCCGCCTCCCGGGTTCATGCAATTCTCCTGCCTCAGCCTCCCAAGCAGCTGGGATTACAGGCGTACACCACCACACCTGGCTAATTTTTTTTGTATTTTTAGTAGAGACAGGGTTTCACTATGTTGGCCAGACTGGTCTCGAACTCCTGACCTAGTGATCCACCTGCCTCAGCCTCCCAAAGTGCTGGGATTACAGGTGTGAGCCACTGCACCCAGCCCTTAAAAGACTTTCGAAGTCTTTCGCTAGACCCATGTCCTAAAGAGTTTTCTCTAGGATTTATTCTAGTATTTTCATTGTTTCAGGTCTTTCATCACTTAAGTCTTTAATCTCTTAGTTGATTTTTGTATATGGTGAGACATAGGGGTCCAGTTTCATTCTTTTGCTTATGACGAACTAATTTTCCCGGTATCATTTATTGAAAAGAGTGTCTTTTCCCCACAAAGTTTTTGTTGACTTTGCATGTGGCTTTATTTCTGGGTTTTCTATTCTGTTCCGTTAATCTGTGTGTCTATGTTTATACCAGTACCATGCTATTTTAGTTACTATCTCCTTGTGATATAATTGAAGTCAGGTAATGTGATGCTTCTAGTTCTAGCTTTGTTCCTTTTGCTTAAAATTGCTTTGGCTATTCAGGCTCTTTGTTGGTTCCATGTTAACTTTAGGATTGTTTTTTCTAATTCTGTGAAAAATGACGTTGGTTTTTTGATAGAGATTGCATTGAATCTGTAGATTGCTTTGGGTGATATGTTCATTTTGATGATATTAATTCTTCTGATTCATGAGCATGTGATGTTTTTCCATTTGTTTGCGTCATCTACAATTTGTTATTACTGTGCACTTTTGAAAGTAATTCTGTAGAATTACTTTCAAAATTTTTAATTTTGAAATTTTAAAGTTGGCTTTAAATGTTGCCAGTTGACTTTCCAGAAGATTATGCCAGTTATGCTCCCTCCTACAATTATAAGTGTCCACCCCCAGCCAAACCCAGATGTGATTGATTTCTTTCATTTTTGTTAGTTCATTAGACAAAAGTGTTGTCCTATTTAAATATGTGTATGCTTACTCCTTAGAGAGATTGGGCATCTTTTCATGCCTATGGTAGCTATCAGAATTCCTTCCTTTGAGTATTTTGCTCTTTTCTCATTGATCTCTGGGAGCTTTCGGGCAATAGAGAGTTTAACCTCTCATCTGTTATGTATGATGCAGATTTTTTTTCCCCACGAGGGATTTATCCTTTTGTTTTTCTTAATGATAAACTTGAAATGGGATCAATCTCACAGCAGTCATGCTTTTGAACACAGATCTTACAGAGATCAGAAAAATCTTAATGGAAGGGAATTACTCCTTTCGTACTATGCCTTGCTGTGGACAGGAGAAACGTTGCCCAAATGTCCTTGGAGAGCAGAGCACGTGCACAGCACACATGCAGTTATGCAGCTGTGGGCACAGGGGTGGGACCTGTCGAACCTAGAGACCAGAAGCTAAGGATACAGGATTCATGTTCACTGACAATTCCATCCTGAGGTCATTGGTGCCTTCTTAACTGAGTCTGGAGTGGGTAGGGGTGGAGGAGTGTGGTCAAGAATATAGAGTAAATTCAGAAGTTGGCAAACTAACAGATGCCATCAATGATAATCCTGAAGTTTTTGTTCTGGGTATTTTTGCCATTTAAAAATCAAACCATTAGCACAAGCCAAAAGAATGTAGTTTCATCTGGTTCAGCATTTCTACATGTCTGTTTTACCTTTTCCTCCACCACAGGCATACGCCACGTGCACACACACACACACACACACACACACGGACTTGCACACACATACCACATGCACACACACACTATCACTTCACCCCAGGGTCACCCAGCTTTCGTGGCATCTGAACTCTGCCCCTGTCACCTACAGACTCTCCTGGCGTCCCCCCGAGTGCAAACGCTCATCACCTGTTTAGAGGATTCAGCTTTGTGGCCTCAAGCCTGATCCAGGAGCCCTCACAGCAAGATCTGCACAAAGTCCCAGTTCACCCAATCGTGCAGGTAACTGTGTTTGCCTGCAGTGGGTTGGGGGTAAGAGGGCACTTGGATGATGGGTGACTCTGGTGTTCCCTGTGGCCTCAGTCACCCGGGGGTTGGGTGCTTAGGATGGGTGGACTTTAATCACCAATTCTTCCCTCACACTTCCCATTGTTCTGAGTGTCTGCCATGGTGGTCCCTCGTGGTTATCCCCCATGGCGGTCCCCATGATGATCTCACGTGGTGCTCCTTCATGTGGTTCCTGTGATGGTCTCACATTGTGGGCCCCCATGGTGGTCTCCAGTGGTGGTCCCTGTGACGGTCCCCATGGATACTCCCATGGTGGCCTCCTGTGGTGGTCCCTGTGGTGGTCCCCATGGTGGTGTCCTGTGGTGGTCCCCATGGTGTTCCCTGGGGTGGTCCCTTGTGGTGGTCCCTGTGGTGGTCCCTGTGGTGGTCCCCATGGTGGTCTCCCAGGGTGGTCCCTGGGGTGGTCCCTGTGGTGGTCTCCCATGGATATTCCCCATGGTGGCCTCCTGTGTTGGTCCTCATGGTGGTCCCTTGGGTGGTCCCCTGTGGTGGTCCCCATGGTGTTCCCTGGGGTGGTCCCTCTGGTGGTCCCCATGGTGGTCTCCCAGGGTGGTCCCTGGGGTGGTAGCCATGGTGGTCCTCATGGTGGTTCCTGTGGTGGTCCCCATGGTGGTCCCTGTGGTGGTCCCTGTGGTGATCTCCTGTGGTGGTCCCTGTCGTGGTCCCCATGCTGGTGCCTAGGGTGGCCTCCCATGGTGGTCCCTGTGGTGGTCCCCCTGGTGGTCCCTATGGTGGTCCCCGTGGTGGTTCCCTGGTGGTACCCGTGATGGTCTCCTATGGTGGTCCCTGTGGTGGTTCCCGTGGTGGTTCCTGTGGTGGTCCCTAGGGTAGCCTCCCATGGTGATCCCTGTTGTGGTGGTCCCCATGGTGGTCTCCCTGGTGGTCCCTGTGGTGGTTCCCATGGTGGTCCCTGTGTTGGTCTCCATGTTGGTCCCCATGGTGGTTCCCCGGTGGTACCCATGATGGTCTCCTACGGTGGTCCCTGTGGTGGTTCCCATGGTGGCTCCTGTGGTGGTCCCTTAGGTGACATCCATGGTGGTTCCCATGGCGGTCCCTGTGGTGGTCTCCATGGTGGTCCCTGTAGTGGTTCCTGTGGTGGTCCCTGTGGTAGTCTGTCATGGTGGTTCCCATGGTGGTCCTCGTGGTTGTCCCATGGTGGTCCGCGTGGTGGTTCCCATGGTGGTCCTCGTGGTTGTCCCGTGGTGGTCCCTGTGGTGGTTCCCATGGTGGTCCCCGTGGTGGCTCCCATGGTGGTCCCTGTAATGGTCTCCGTGGTGGTATTCCATGGTGTTCTGAGCCCTTGCTCCTACCCTACTTGGCATTCGTCTTAAAGAGGGAAGGTAAAGCCCTGGGAAGAATGTCACCATGGTGTCTATGGCCAGAGACTGGAGCATCTTCACTGTGTGGAGCCCAGCCAGGACCCTAGGGTAGCAGTTTAATTTGTGGGCATCATTTTCCCATGATGAAATGGAATCTTTGGGAGGTCTTTGGAAGGTGGTATTTTCATAATGAGTTTCCCACCTAATAAATGTAACCAGAATACAGAGAATTCTAAGGGGTTAAACTTAATTCTAATTATGATTAAACTTATTTAAGAATGAAATCCGGGTAAGTTGAATGGCATTGGATTTCCATCCTATTTCCTTCCCTGGCCTTTGGAGAAATACAGGTGTGTAAAGTAGACGTTGTCATGACAGTGCAGGCTGCCATGGTGGCTTTCTGTCTTAGTTAAGAGCGGGTGGGTGGGGCTGCTGCATGCAGGTCAGAGCAGGCTGTGACTTGGACACCATGGAGTCAGATTTCCGATGAGATGTTTCCATCCAGAGTCTTGCTCTGCACACAGGCATTGGAGCCACGCACCCAGCAGCTGCCAGCACTTCCTTTTCACTTTCACATTCTCCTGCTCTCAGATCTTTGCGAGAAACATACCAGCCAGTGGACACAGAACGGCCTGGTGTCTCAAAGTTAAGAGTCATAGCCCAAGGAATCAGAGAAGCTGGCATTTAGGTCAAGAACATCACTAAGTAGCTCTGCAGCCTTGGGCAGGGGGACCCATGAGCTCCCAGGCCTCCACACACTCAGTTCACAGTCGGTGCCTCTCTTCGCCCCACATTCTGTGTGCGTGTAGCTGCACCGTCCCCTCGTGTGAGGGTTCCGACAACTCTTCTTCTCTTGGTCCCTCTGCAGCAGTTACACGGGAACAACATCCACTTCACCGATGGCTACGAGATCAAGGAGGACATCGGGGTGGGCTCCTACTCAGTGTGCAAGCGATGTGTGCATAAAGCCACAGACACCGAGTATGCCGTGAAGGTAAGGCAGGCCTGCTGAGTGAGCAGGGCCCTGTGTGAGTGCAGCGCGTGGGAGCACGTGTGGTATGTGGGAGCACGGAGCATAGGAGCATAGCAGGGCCCTGTGTGAGTGCAGCGTGTGGGAGCATGTACAGCACATGGGAGCACGGAGCATAGGAGCACAGCATATGTGCTCACGTGCTCAGCTGTGCAGTGACTCCAGCAGGGACACCTGAGCCTGAGTGAACATTCTCTCCATTTGCCATTTTCCAAGCTCTGATATGATGGAGTTCAGTTTGCTTTGATATGAGGTCACCCATTAAAAGGTAGTTTTGCAAATCATGAATATTTTCAGTCATATGTACCACGCAGGGACTGAGCACCTTTCGTAGCTTGGTGTATGACATACACCAAGAGCAAAAGTTTTGGGCCCCCAGTATTTTGAGAAAACAGAGTTGGGGGACAGGTATAGAATTTGGCAAGGAAAGGAAGGAAAGAAAAAAGGGAGGAAGAAAATACTCAAAGAAATAAATAAGCTTGTATTACTTACAACAAACTTTGGCAGAGAGCTAATGGTTTTACTCCCAACCGTCAAGAACAGTATAGAGAAACAATTCTTTGTAACCCAATTTGGCAATCTCTACATAGTAACTTTAGCTTTCGTAATTGTTGCTGCTTAAATATTTGATCTGGGAATCCAGAATACCAGTTTCTAGAGATTTTTGGTTAGTAAAATGTGGATTAAAGGTAAAGCTTCCTGCTAAAATCAGAATGAAATTTATGTTAAAAAAAGATACATTGTACATCCTCTCCAAAAGACAGCAAGAGACACTTGAAACTCTGCCCCTTTCCAGTGGAGCCAAACCCCAGGCTGTCGCAGAGCGAGGTCCCAGCCTGTGTTGCCATCATGACCAGGACCCTCCCGGCTTATTCCCAGACACGTCTGTAGCACACGGTGCTACGCTTGCCCTTCAAAGAACATCTGCCCAGCCAGCAAGTCGTGTAAAAAGAGTAATTTTCATCAACTGTGATTCTCCTACACTCTGAAGAGATTGTTCAAAATAATGACAATGTTGAGATGACCCAGTTCCATCCTCATTTGCCCAGAGCTCCACTGACATTTTGTGAAAACAGGTATTTCAAAAGGGTAGATCCTCAAGCATGGCCTGGGATCCTCAAGCATATTCACTGGGAACGTCTACCGTGTTTCTTGCACTGGGAAAACGCTTTGCTGTCATAGAAGACGCCAGCCGAAAAAAAATCTCAGGTCCCTTGATTTTGTTTGGGTCAAGAATTTATGGATTATTGACAAATTTATCTTGAATTTCTCAAACAAAAAAAGAAAGTTTAAATATGGAGAAATAATCAATTTGTGATTTGCTCTGATACCATCTCTGTGTTTAGTCTGCCCAGAGTCTTGAACACATCCAGGAAGGGTGAATGGAAGGAAATAGATCATGATTTACAGTTCCTGGAACTGTAATTGGGTGGAGACTGCAGCGAGGGTTACTGTCATGGTAGAATGTCCACCCGTGGTGTGAAGGGCAGGAGAAAACCAAGTTTTGTTATGAAGTGGTTGCCTCTGCAGCCTGGGGCGCGTAGGCTTCATGCGTTTCTAGGATTTGGATTGTTGAGATTGGTTTGTCCTGCTCCTCCATCCCATTGGGAGAGTTTTTTAAAGGAGCACTTAGATGGGCGCCTACCATCTGCATACCCAGGTGCCGTTCCTGTGTCCAGATGTTCCAGTGGTGAAGAGCAGACCTGTATTCTGCCTTAGACAAGAGAATTTCACTTGTACTTTGAAACGTATTTCACATGTGCTTCGTAAGCCTACATAGGCTCCTTGGAATTTTTTTCTGCCTGAGTCATTGCTCACAGGATTTCTTTAGATTATTTACCAGGTGACAGACAGCAATCCCAGAAACAATCACTGCTTCCCAGTGAGCTCAAAGAAACAAGCCTACGGTTTGGTCAGCCCAGCAGCCGCGGTGCCCTTCCAGAAACAGCCTGCGGATCAGCCCCCATTTTGTGCCTCTGCAAGTAAATCCCCCAGTGACGAGGCGATGGTGTGTTTTCTCCTAATATTCCCATATCCAGCTCTTATATGGACACTGTCTGAATTCAGCTTTGTTACACAGCTTAAACTCAGTCCGTCAGTCCTCAAAGATCTTGTTGAGGTCAAACTCTGTGGAATTTCAGCAACAGCTCTCGGGGAGAGAAGCCAGGCACTGTGGCTCTGGCCGATGGTAGAAGAAAGAGCCCGGTCTTCCTGTTTCTCTTTCACAAACCCTGAAGTTCCCTGGACAAAGTTGGCCAGCAGACATGGCAGGGATTTCCCTTGTCCCTTCTGAGACTACAGTGGGTAATAATGTGTAGTCTGGAAGATGCATAAATTAACCGAGCACGGGAAGGTGCAGCCCCATGAACGGCCCGGGACTTTTTAGAGAGATGTGGCTCGTGGTCCAGAAGGCTCCTGTGACCAGAGCCACTTCAGAAGCACGTTTCAGCCGGTCAAGGGAGCGGTGACAACAAGTTCAATTATCTGCAGGTAGACACGGTTGTTTGGATTTCCTTCCAAGATGGACGAATTGGCATTTCTGTGCAACGAGCTTGTTATTTAGAATGGGTCCACTTGTTACCAAAACTGCTTTGACCCAGTGCAGAGCACTGTGCGGTTTTGTTTTCAGCATTTCCAGGTGGAATGTAGTTGAAATACTTTTGGCCTTTGTCTGTATCTGCTGACTTGTTCATGAGAAGCAGCATCCCCACCTATTGATGGACTAAGAAACAGCAAAGTTCGGTGACTTCTAACATGACCCAGAACTAAGCATGTGGCAGCTGATTATCTGATGTGTGAGTTGGATCTCAGCTCAGCAGATGTCCAGCCGAGATTGTCACTAGAATCCGGCTTTACCACTCCCAGTTGCCGCTTGAGCCGTATACGATCCCACCTACCCCTGGCTCATGGATACAAACGGGGTCTGCTTCAGAAGCAGTCCCGTCACAGCCAGACAGGGCATCCTCCCATTCAATGGCAGGGATGACCCAGAAATGTCCCCACCGAGTAATGACAGAAAGAGAAATGCAGCAATCTTTAGTAAGCAATGAGGAGAGTGACCAGAATCGATGGATTCTGCCCAGGGCAGTCATATTCATTTGGGGTAACTGTGGCCCCCAGGGGACACTGGCAATGTCTGGAGACTTTCTGGTTTTTCCAGCTGGGACAGGGGCTCCTGGCATTGGTGAATACGGGTCAGGGAAGCTGGTTAGCATCCTGTGTGCACAGGACAGCCCCCACAACCTGCTGCCCCAACGAAAGGTTGAGAAGCCCAGCCTCAGCATCCTTGTGGGTGAGAGCAGGTCTCATGTAGATAAAGGCCAGGAGGTTGATATTTTGGAGATGGGGATGGAGTTTTTCTTCTTCATTGAGTTTCTGGTGAGTCCTTTAGCAACAGGATGATGACCGACCAACAGCTCAGTGTTCCCCACGTGCTGCGGGCAGCCCCCCACCCCCACCCCACTGTGACTGGGCCGTGACTTAAAGTGCAGGTCCTTCTAAGAGGAGAGTGGGGCCAGCTCTTCACCTCTATGACGGTCAGGTATGGAGGTTCATAGTGAGTATGGAATCATAGTACTTCTCACATTCTTAGAATATCATTATATTTTGCTTTAAGTTATTTCTGCATTTTTGCAGGTTTCTAATTTTGCCACCATAATTACCCTGAATAACGTAAACTACATTTAAGGTTCTACTGAAACCAGTTTACCTGAGTAAATCAAACGACAAGATTGTTCACTTTGCATTTATTTTCAGCTGCATTTTTAACTTGAGTCCCTGCTATATGCTGGGTACTCTGCCAAAGGTTGTGGGAAGTGACAGCTAGAATCGGTCCTAAAATTAGGACTAAAATTAAGACCAATTCTAGCTATCGCAGTCTCCAACACAGTGCCCAGCTTAGAGCAGGGGCTCAATTCACGTGGGCTGAATGACAACCTGGATTCCCAGGCTTGTCCCTCCCTCTCGACTTCGGCAAACAACACTAGAACGTCCAAGATCCTTCACTGGGGCAGTCCGGCCTCGGGCGGGAAGACACCGACCCTCTTCCTTCTCACGCGCACGGCACTGTTTCAGGCTGGACTTGATGCAGCGCATTCTGCCGGTGCCCCCAGCCAGTGCTCTGATGGTTGAATGAGAAAAGCTATTATGTTCCCTCAGCGCTTCCTCTTCCTTTTATCAGACACATTGTAGGTGAACAGATGTGCCCTACTTTCTAATAACTACAAGCCATTTTATTGGGACAAAACAGCTAAGTAATCTAATGGAAAACTAAAGTCCGCCTTTGTTTTTATAACCAACCCAGGGAGACTAGTGGTGGGCGATGAAGTTGTATAGGGCTTCAAAATAGCATGACGGATGGCTGCATTGCTGTCCGCACATTAGGGCACCCTTCATTTAAAATAAGATTAAAATAGAAGTGACTATTAAGTGTTGGAGGTAATCGTGATCCAGGAGGATTAAAAGGAAGGGGAGAGGTGTATTTGAAAGAAAAAATAATATTCCTATTCCATCAAAGATGCTGTATTCACTTTATAAGAATTGAGAGAGGGAATTATTTGTTTTTATTTTATTCTTAGGACTTTGTTGCTTAACATAATTAGGTACATATTCTAGATAGTGCTGATTTGTATAAATGGAAGGATTCCTGGCATTATATTGGTGGGGGAATATGTAAATATATACAGTTGGCCCTTGAACAACACGGGGTTGAATTGTGAGGATCCACGTATGCAGATTTTTTTCAGTAAATATACTGGAAAATTTTTTAGAGATTTGTTACAATTTGAAGAAACTCACAGACAAACCACATAGCCTAGAAATATTTAAAAAGTTAAGAAAATGGTATGTCAGGATGCATAAAATATACATAGATGCTAGTCTATTTTATCATTTTCTACTATAAAATATACACAGATTTATTATACAAACTTAAAATGTATCAAAATTTATGTGCTCAAGCATAGACCATACGTGGCGCCATTTGCAGTTGAGATAAATGTAAACAAACATAGATTCAGCATTAAATCATAGCTGCAGCAAATTAACTGTGGCGAATATGGCACTACCGTAAGAATTTCACAGCAGCCTTCCATTGCTGCTGTAGTAAGCTCAGGTGTTGGAAGGATCCGCTTTAAACGTCCTGTGACACTCCTCGTCTCCATGTGAGGAGTCTGTCTCTCCAGGGAATTGGGAATAGCAGTAAAAAATGGTATCTTGTGGTTCTCACATATTTTTCACCGTGTTTAGTGCAGTTCCATAAACCTTGAATAACACCATAGAACCACTAAGAAGTCCCGTGCCACTAGGGACGCTGTGAGTGCTCCCAAGAGGCAGAGAAAAGTCATCACATGACCAAAAAAAACAAAAGTTGAATTGCATGATACGTACCCCAGGTTGAGGTCTGCAGCTGTGAGTGCCCCCCTTTTCAGACAGACGATCCATCTTGTGAACAGATGGCATAAACTCACTATATCCATAAATACAGTCCCATACACTAAATGTATTTTCTCTTCCTTATGATTTGCTTAGTAACATTTTCTTTCCTCTAGATCGTATTATTACAGAATTATATACTGTATTCTTAATACAGTATATAATTGTATAATTATTCTTAATACAGTATATAATTATACAAATACAAAATATGTGTTAATGGACCGTTTATGTTACTGGTAAAGCTTTAAGTCAACAGTGGGACATTAGTTAGGTTTTGGCGAAGTCAAAAGTTATATGTGCATTTTCAACTTCTTGAGGGGTCGGTACCTCTAACCCCCATGTTGTTCAAGGGTCAACTGTCTACACATATCATAGCTAATTCACTACAGAAATGTTAGCTTGTGTCACTAGTATCTCCCCTTCTCATAAGCTTAATACACATACCTTGAGAGAGCTCTTGGCCATCTCTACTAATGACTGAAGTTTTTATTTATTATAGATGTCATAATAGGCATAAAACTACATTACATCATTCGAGTGCCAATTTTGCCACCTTGACCCTCTTTTGCAAAACACCAACGTCAGTACACATATGAAGAGGAAACTGCCCGAGAACTGAAGTTCCTGAGACCAGGAGCTGCAGGCGTTAGATAGAATATGGTGACGAGAGTTACGAGGATGACGAGAGTAAATACTTCATACTCAGTACGTGCCAAGCACTGCTATAAGCGCTCTGTATGTGTGAAGTCATTTAATCCTCACAGCATCCCACGGTGTAATTATTTTCATTATCCCCATGAGGGAACAGAAACTCAGAACGGTTCAACACATATGCGAGAAGTCGCAGCCGGTCAGTGAGAGAGCAGGTTCCCGTCCAAGCAGTCAGACCCCGAGTGCACACTCTCGACCCCTGTCCAGCAGACTCACTCGTCATAAGGCGGGGAGCCCCAGTGTTCTGTTTCAGCCAGATGCTCTATGCATCTCAGAGTACCCAAACCATGAAAGAATGAGGCAGTATTCAGAGCAGATGGGGCTGGGCAGTAAGGCTGGGCTTCAGAATAGCTGGAAAGCTCAAGTCATGGGACCTGCAAGAAAAATCCATTGTTTGATAAATAGCCAAAGTCCCTAGGCTGTAAGGGGAAGGTGTGCCAGGTGCAAGTGGAGCTCTATGTAAAATCGCACCTGAGTCTCCTGGTCTTATGAGTCTGGGTGTACCCCAGTGAAAGGTCCTGCTGCCACCAAGTGGGCCATGGTTCAGCTGTGTAAGTGCTGAGCGGCAGCCGGACCGCTTCCTCTAACTTCACCTCCAAAGGCACAGTGCACCTGGTTCCTCCAGCACTCAGCTGCGAGGCCCCTAGCCAGGGTCCCGGCCCCCGGCCCCCGGCAGCTGCTCCAGCTTCCTTCCCCACAGCATTCAGGATGGTCTGCGTTCATGTAGACCTCTGTTTTCAGTCTGTGCTCCGAGGTCACTGGCAGCACTAGCCCCGGCTCCTGTGGATCACAGCCTGCTCGTCCTCAGGGCAGCACCTGGGCTTGTTGCAGAAGCTACATCTTGAAAGAGCCCATGGCCTAACGCTGGGCGCTGCAGTGAGCCGCACGGGGCCGGAGAAGGAGAGGACTCAGGGGAGCTTGTGTTCAAGTTCACTCCAGAGGATCCAGTGCCAGGTCCTGCAAAGAATTCTAAGCCATTGAGAAAGCAGTGGATGGTTTCACCATGGGGCTTCCCAGTATCACGTGGGGTGTTAGCTGCACCCGTCTTGGGGAACAGAGGTGGCTGTGCAGCTGAGTCAAACCACTGTGGCCAAACCTGGGAAGAGAGAGGTCCAGGCCAGTCCTGTCTTTAGGGATCAAAATGCATTTTTCATAGAAATCATGTGAAAATTTGAAGCAAAGAGAAACAGCAGTTGAGAGTTGAGCTATGTGAAGGAGCAACATGAACCATCTCAAGAACAGCAGTGGTGCAGAGACAGGCAGAGGCTGTAGATGCCTTCACAGCCACAGTGGAAACAGAGAAAGGAGCGTTCACAGGCACAGAGGCCGGGACTAGGAGCAGTTAAATAAAATAGAAAATAGAAAAGAAAGAAAGCAACATTTAGATGGACAAGGAAGGAGACGGGGCAGCTTTGGTAACAGATTGCATGACTGAGGAAAACGGTGGCATAAATTTCTCTTCCACCAGAAGAGAGAGACTCGAAGACGGGAAAATGACTGTATCGCCTGCCAGAATAGATGCTCTGTCCAGCCTGTGTCTCTGCACAGGCATTCTCTAATCAAAGAAGCTCCTCAGTGGAATTGGTTGGGCATTTGTATCTCCTCGAAACACACACTGGGAAGCTGCCTTTCTGGATGATTTAACCCTTTGCCCGTTTTCCCCAAGAATACTCACCGGCGGCACTTGCGGCTGCAGCGTTTGCCCCGAGATAACTTTGCCGCGAAATATCTCACTTTTATTATTATTTTTGCACCGCTCTAGTATACCAACTTTGGAAACAAAGGACATCATTCTATCGATAGCATTCTGTTTTTAGTAGTGGCATTTCCATTTACAAAATATAGTCATAATCGATTGCTGATAATGTCAAATCCTAGAAAACGTAGCATTCCTACATGGGATGTTAACTTCGTTCTCAAACAGTTGTTGGCCAAAGATTCATTTGATGAATCCAATTTTTCCAAAATAGACAATTCTGATGATTCAGATGATTCTGATATTAGTTCTGTTTAGAAATAACTCCAGTAACAGTTTTTAAATTTTATTTTCACATGGAAAATCAGATTTGTTTCAGCCTTAATGAACATGTTTATGTAAAATCAAATGAGCGCTGGCAGCGAGCTGCACTTTTGCTTTTTCGAAACGAGAAAGGCTTAATGTGATTGGCTTATGGTTTTGTTTCTCGTATGCTCAGCCCCTCCCAGCAGGCATGCGGCGGAGGACGGTCATCAGCAATAAGATGTAGCATGTGCCTTCTGCCCACTACCGGGTCCCCGAGCCCATCTCACAGGCTCCCACCCACCAGCCAAAACTTGGCTCTCAACTCTCCCACTGCAAACCTCTCCCCGGTCTTTCAACACAGGCTAGTTTCCTATTGTTTAGGAATGCAACACATTACCCCACATCTAGTGGCTTAAAACAACCTGAGCTTATTGTCTTCCAGCTCTGGATGTCAGAATTCTGAAATCTGTCTCACTGGGCTAAAGTCCAGTGTCCCCAAGGCTGGTTCCTTCCGCGGGCTCTGGGGGCTGAGAGTGGATACACAGCAGATGGTGGCCAGGCTGGGTGCCCGACAGAAGTCTGACCCACACCTGCAGCCAGCCCCTTTATCTACAATACATAGCTCGGGAGGCCAGCAGCTGTGTCAGGCTTGCAGGAAGCCAGATTGCTATCTCTAGTGACAGCCCAGGAAGCTGAACTATAAATTCTGTGACAGTCAGCCCCACATGGCCAGGACTTGATGAATGACTGACAGCTTCCTAAGTTCTGTCCCTGCTTCCAAGTCAGGACCAACCAGAGAACACAAATATGCACCCAAAGCCCACAGGATGCCCTGATTTTAGTTCCCCGCCTCCATCTTTTGCAGCCAGCAGCCCCCCTCACCCACATCATCTTCCCTATGGCACGTTCCCCCTGCATGGGTTGTTCACTGTCTGTGTGCACGGCCCTGTGAGGGCAGCCACTCCAGGGCAACAAAGGCTTTGCTTTTGCTATAGTTCCAGCACCTCAACAAAGTCGGGCACATGGCAGGAGCTCACTCAATTTCAGCACACAATGAAGGGGCTCCTTATCTTCATTTAGCATAAATATTTGGTAGTGAAAGGCTAAGTGTTGATTAAAAGAAAAATATATGGCCGGGCACGGTGGCTCATGCCTGTAATCCCAGCACATTGAAAGGCCAAGGCAGTTGGATCACCTGAGGTCAGGAGTTCGAGACCAGCCTGGCCAACATGGCGAAGCCCCGTCTCTACTAAAAATACAAAAATTAGCCAGGCATGGTGGCGCGTGCCTGTAATCCGAACTACTCAGGAGGCTGAGGCAGGAGAATCATCTGAACCTGGGAGGCAGAAGTTGCAGTGAGCCGAGATTGTGCCATGCACTCCAGCCTGGGCGACAGAGAGAGACTCCATCTCAAATAATTAATTAATTAATTAATTAAAAATAAAGACAAGAAAAAATATGAATCAGGAGCTTTCCTTCAAATTCAAATTTTTAAAATCGGGGTTTATAATATAATTCTTCAACAGAGCACTTCGTGCCTTTGGAATCCATTTCTTTCTGCAGCAATCCCCTTGTTCAGGAAGCTGGTTACTTTTTTCATTCATTGAGAATTTTTTTTTTTTAATTGGACGCTTTTACTGCAACAGACGCAGGGCAAGGTGAGAACACAAACCTGCTCCAGGGAGCTCACAGCTTAGCCATTTAGGAATTGTGTCAATGACAGAACCAGAAACTATACCAAAAAGTGGAGTGCATCTCCGGAATCTGAAATTAAATGAGCTTTACAGTTGGTTTGGCTCTTTCTCTTGGCCTGTTGTATCTTCAAACACATGGTACCAATATACGTGCCTGTTCACTGACTGTTGCACTTGTAAATTTCCCTTCAATTGTCTGAAAGCTCGTGCAGGAGAAGAAGACCGCACAAGCTCAGTGGGGCTGGGTTTTCCTAGAAAGAAGCACATGAGTTAAGATGCAGCTACTCTCCCTTTTCGGTAGCAAATTTTTGTTGTTATGGTATTGAAAGTACCTTAGTTTGCTTTAGCAACAGAATCTGATAAGAAATAAAGTGAGATCCTTAGAACTGTGCAAGAATATGTGTCACCCAGCTGTTAACTGTAGTGACGCGGCGTGACCACGCAGGCCTGGAGCGCGGGCCAGCCTTCCTGAGGAGGCTCCAGTCTGTACTCACGTGAGACCGTTGAAAAGAACGTGGTGTTTCTGTGCCCATCTTCACACTGTGTGTGTAATTTGCCAACCAAAAAAAGAAACGGAATTAAGACAGATGTTCGGCATGAATAGAGCTTATTTTTAGAAGGAGAACTGATGAGCTTGGAAATTTTAACTTTTTCTACCAGGATAAAACAGGAGTTCTTTCTCTCTGTCATTAGTTTAAATTAATTTTACAGGAGAAGGTGTCTGTTAAATTTTACAAATGATTACATGCTCTCCTACCTTTGTGTCAAATACGATACTGATCCTTTCGGCAACTCAAGGGAAATGGCCTGCCTAGTGGGAGTGTTCTGCAAGCCTGTGAGCTCATGCCACTGCCCGCGTAGTTACTGCCTCAAAGCCATCTGCTCAGGTTGCTGAGTGTCCCGGGAGACGGTGTCTCCACTGATGGAGAGAGACAAGAAAGACAGGGAAGGTAGAGAAACGCAAAGACCAGAAAGGTGTATCGAGAGCGGTGAAGTCTCCTGTTGCCGCCTTCGGCCAGCAGGAGGAAAGGTGTTATCAAGAGCAGCGAAGTCTCCTGTTGTCGCCTTCGGCCAGCAGGAATGGCAGTGTTTGTTTGGCACATGGCTGCATGTGTCCGTGCTCAGGAAGATCATGGTGGTGTGCCATCCATGTTGAACCCAGAATTGCTTCGTGGATATTCAGACCCCTAGACTCAGCATCTCTAAGGAAGGTGGAAATATTCAGCCTGCTCGGTGGCAACACCATGGAAAGTTTATTTACCGGCTGTGGTGGGTGGCCAACCCCTGGAGAATGCCCTTCTCTGGAGGTTGTAGGAGTCCTTTCTAACCAGCTGTTGCCAGATGAGAAAAAGAAAGCTGAGCGAGCTTGTCCCCCGCCCCACGACACCACTCCTACTCCGTGGCGCGTCAGCATTATTTGAGCGTCAGCCTGGAGGGGAGGCCTTGTTCATCACCACGCTTGCTGAGAAGGCCTCCCTGTTTTGTTGCATAATAAAGATTATAAAACAATATTATTCTCAGAATGAGGAACGCCGTCCACCAGAGCTTGCTCTAATAAGAGTAAGACCAACACGGTCAACCCCAAGAAACCGACCCCATAGAGAAGAAGTGCGCTGGCAGGCACTTGGGGCCCACTCCCTGGTGCTCCTAAACAGTGTGTCCAAACCCCGGCTGCCCGCAGCAGATCCAGGTCATGTACTCCAGGACTGTAGCCACACCTCACTGCCCACTCCTGCGTTAGCACTCTCCAGCCTTACCTTGCTCAAATAGCTCACCCTCCATGCAAAAATAAAAACAAAAGCAAAAAAAAAAAATTTTTTTTTCAGAAAAAGTTACAGGGAAAAGCAGCCAGCACTTCCTGACAGCATCCGGGACGGAAACGCTGGGTCAGAACTGCCTTGCCACTTCATCTCAGAGCCTTGGCTTGATTTGGATTAATTCTCCCGGGTCAGGGGAAGGCGGGAGCCCAGGAGGGTCGTGTGAGAACCTATTCCCGCCACGACTCCCTTCCAGGATGTGCCCTATAATCCCAGCTACTCGGGAGGCTGAGGCAGGAGAGACCCCAGTCTGTGGGACTTCCCTTCCAGGACGGGGAGCGCCATTTCCCATGCAAACCCACCCTCCTCGCTGCCCTGTGCCTCAGAGGCTGGGAGGCCAGGAGGCAAGGAAGCCAGGAGGCTGACTGTTAGGGACCACTTCCATGCCTCTGGCTCCTGGGCAGTTCTGCTAGTGCGAGACAGACACCACAGGACAAGAGTGGGAAGAGAAGTGTCGGGCCGAGGCCTTTCTGCCCACAGCCCCTGTCAGGGCGCACCTCCCCACCCCATGCAGCCCCTTCTGGTCCTGTGACTGACCCTGCGCAGCTCTTTGGCATTGAGAGCCAGGACTGCCCCCAAGGCATTACACTGTGCCTTGCTGGCCGGCCAGTGACCCTCCAGCCACTCTACTCCTTTGCAAACGATCCTTTAATTAAGGCCTCTGGGTTGACCCAGTTGGTGTGACATCTGAGGTTTTTTTTTTTTTTTTTTTCTGGGGCTTTAACTGAAACACGCTCTACTGCTGACATTAGTTTTAAACATCACACTGCTTCATGGCACGGACTCGCAGTGAGGATTCAGACAGGACCGAAAGCAGCATTTCAGGGCTGTAAACGTGGCAGGTCACAGCTGCTTAGTCCCTTGCCTGGCGGTGTCAGGGTAATTCTATTTTATCTCTGTAATAGGAATAACTCACTTGTACCAAGTGCTTTCTGTGTACCAGGGAGAGTATGAAGGGATCGATTCATATTAATTTGTTGAATCTTAACAGTGAGCCAGAGGAGTGCCTGGTGTTTTCTAGTTTTACAGATGAAGAAAGCTAGGTGTAGAGAGGCCCAGGGAGCTCCTGCAACCCCACAGGGAGTGGACAGGGAGGCCAGGTCTCAGCTGGGGCTCAGACTGGCTCAGCGGCTGGGCCGCCAACCACGCAGCACGTGGCCTCCCCAGGAGCAACGCCTTCCTCCACCTTTCCAGCCCTCCACGGGAGCTGAGCCTGCAGACACCCACATTCAAGTACCAGCAAGTGACATGGCCACAGGCCAAGCCACCCACACCCACAGCAGTGTTGTCGCCTGAGACAGCAAACGTGACTTCCCCTCAGGAGCAAACCAGATGTTTGCTGAAAGACCGCTGGCTCTACCCTGTGGTGAGAAACAGCAGCACTCGTGGGCCCCTTGGAGTCTCCTCCAGATGAGCTCCTGTCCCCACAGGACCTCAGCCTGGGAGCTTCTTTCATTTTCCTCCATTTCCCCAAATGCCACCTCAGCGAACAGCTGGTGTGTGGTGTTTGGTTGTTGACAGAGGTGCTTTGGGGGTTCCACCAAGCAATTACATGATTTTGAAAGGCGTAACTAATATGTTGAAAATGTAATGAAAGTCAACATGCATGCTTAAATGTGTATCAGATTCTAGCAAATGACCAGGACACTGGCTCCGATGGGTTGAAATCCAGTGTGCCTCACATGTGCACATACATGCTAGCTTTTATTACAATTTAAGATAGTTTTTAAAGTAAGCAAGAGTTTAAGGTAATCTGTCTTTGAAAACTGTTTACAAATACTTATCATTGTAAGTCAGAATTTTTCTGAAGACTCACAACAAAAGAACACATAGAAATAAAATAGATACTAGGGTTGAGAGGGCAGCCATCTGTAGTCCCAGATTCTTTAAAATAATAGTCACGTTGTCCTGCAATTTCAGCTTACAAAATAGTAAGCTGAAATTTTGGAATTCTTTATTTCATATTTTGAATAGACAATATATTCTTGTGGTTCAAAATTTTTAAAAATTCATGTGGATACAGCAAAGTTTCCCTCCCACCCATGGGCCCCCAGGCACCCTGTTCCCCTCCTCACAGGAAGGCAAGGCAATTAAATGTTTCCTCCTTCCTTCCAGGGTTATTTTATGCACCCACAAGGAAATGGATGCGTCTATCTGCATTCTTCTCTCCATTTTTAAAACAAGGGATGGCGTAGGATGCACCTGCTCGCGTCGGCCTTTTTTACTCCTTGTATCTTGAAGATGGTCCGTGGCGGTGGAGAAAAAGCTCCCACTTTCTTGTTTACTCTGCATCTTGTTCCACTGTGAGAGTGATAAAACAGATTCATGCTAAGAACACATCCCTTTATCATGAAATCATATTTGCGAAAAAATCTTCTACTGAATTCTTTTATAAATTTATAAATGTATTTTAACCTTCTCTAATTGCAAAGACAGGATCCCGGCCCCGATAGACGGGATGCCCACAGGCAGACAGGAGCAGAGGAGTTTGGGTACCTGACAGCCAGCTTCCCTACAAGCAGTGCAGGACCAGCCTCCCAGGACCTGCTTAGGCTGTGGCATGTTAGGGAAAGTCCCCCACCCCTCCTTGAATGATCGTTTTAAAAGTCTCTACTTGAGAATGATGCATTTATGTTGGCAATAGAATTAGTCCTAGTGTCCTAGCTAAAACTTCAGTAGAATTAAATGCAGCAGAAGGAGAGAAATTCTATGTCCAGAAAGGGACCCTAACTCTTCTGCCTGTTTACAACGCAGGCTATTAGGACTCACAGATCATGGGCCACTGATGCAGTCACAGCTGAATGGTGGCCGTGGCAGAGCATCCTTTGAAACTATAATGGGGTGAGAACTGGCACTATGGTGAGTTTTTATAACGGTGACGGGGAGTGGACGAAGGGTGACCAGGGGACAGATTATGAGCAGTGAGTCAAATGCTACCCAAGCGTTTGGTTCTCTAAAGTAAAGAAATAGCCAGGTGTAGTTGCTCATGCCTGTAATCTCAGCACTTTGGGAGGCTGAGGCAGGAGGATCACTTGAAGCCAGGAGTTAGAGACCAGCCTGGGCAACACAGCAAGACCCCATCATCTCTACAAAGAATTTAAAAATTAGCTGAGTAGGGTGGCACACACCTCTGTAGTCCTAGTTATTCTGGAGGCTGAGGCAGGAGGATCACTTGAGCCCAGGGGTTTGATGTTGCAGTGAACTATGCTTGTACCACTGTATTCCAACCTAGGCAACAGAGTGAGACCCTGTCTCCAAAAAAAATTAACGAAATAGAGTTTTATGCAAAGCTCTGCCTAGAGACTTTGACATGATAGAAGTTAAAAGCAAGTCACCCTCATATTCTAGTAGTAAAATGACTGCACGGTCTCCAAATAGAGACTATTTTAAAATTAGGTTGAACTAATGTGAGAATAGTACAAATCATGGTTAGGAAGGTGTTTCCAATCGCTTTTCTTCTGCTCTGAGTGTTGTTTGCAAAATACATGTTGCATGTTGCCAATTTCCCATGAGTGTGGTGCCCTCCTCCCACTGGTCCCGTCCCCACAGCAGGGGCGGCAAGGGCGGGACTTAGGCACCTCCAGAGGGATTAGCCACCAGGGACCAACAGCGACTTCCTGTTTCCAAGGTAGGCTTAAATCCCAACACCCTGTCCTCAGAAACCATATGTCTCCATGGGGTTGAAGCAACTTTATCTGTTATCCTAAGACATCGGATACAGATGCTGGGCGGGGGAGGGGAGCTTGCATATGTCTAAACAGCAAGGCAGGTCTGGCCTGCGCACCATCCCCAGCATCTCTTGGTGAGAGCCATGCGCCTCACCTCATTTTGTGGCTGGTTTGTAATTCCCGGAACAAGGCAGAAGGTGCACAGTGGCTGGAGGCTTGTTGTGGATGGTGCCCACTGCGAGGGTGGGACACAGTCTGTTATTTGGTGGCACTTGCATGAGCTCCCTACACGTGTCTCCACCCAACCTTATAACACCTTAAAATTCATGTCTGAAGTCTTGTACTCCTTTTTTTTTTTTTTTTTTGAGACAGAGTCTCGCTCTGTCACCCAGGCTGGAGTGCAGTGGCATTATCTCAGCTCCCTGCAACCTCTGCCTCCCAGGTTCAAGTGATTCTCATGCCTCAGCCTCCTGAGTAGCTGGGATTACAGGCACACACCACCATGTCTGGCTAATATTTGTATTTTTAGTAGAGACCAGGTTTTGTCATGTTAGCCAAGCTGGCTGGTCTTAAACTCCTGACCTCAAGCCACCTGCCCACCCCGGCCTCCCAAAGTGCTGGGATTACAGGCATGAGCCACCTTGCCCAGCCTGTACTCCTCTTTGTAGATGTAAATCTTACACTAGTTGTCAAAGAAAGGACTTGCCATGAATCTCCAGACAATCTCAGGTTATCTCTTGGTCGGGTGTGAGATTGTAGTGATTGGGCCACCTGGGGCCAGACTTTATCCAAACTCAATGGTCCACCAGCAGATACCACCCGAAAGCCTAAAGTAGACCCCTCACTGCCATGTGCTGTGTTTGTTCCAGATCATTGATAAGAGCAAGAGAGACCCCTCGGAAGAGATTGAGATCCTCCTGCGGTACGGCCAGCACCCGAACATCATCACCCTCAAGGATGTGAGTGGTCCCCGTGCAACAGCATCTCCACTTCCTTCTGTTTCTTCAACTGACACAAAACTCCCATTCACTCAGAGCAAGCTTTCTCACATCTCATGCCTGTCTCAGCTGGTTTCCACCACCCACATATCTCAGTCACTTGGAGCTGACTTGCTGGACTGTGTACTCAAGTCTTTTTGACAGCCACCGCCCCAGTCATGGAGGGAGCAAGTAAAACAGAGGAAGAGAGAGCTTGTGTGAATTACAGTCCACAGGCGGAGTCTCTCATAGAGGCCCATGGGGGTGCAGGGTTTGGGATCCGGGAGCACAGACAGGAGACAATTTTCCTCCTCACGCTCCAACTCCAAACTGATTCTAGCATTATGAACCTAGAGTCACAGGATATTGGGCCTACCTCAGTTTCCCTCATGCATAGTGACTGCTGCGTGCAAACGGTCTTAACATGCAAGCTTGGCATAAGAATAGCCCGAACAGGCCGGGTGCGGTGGCTCACACCTGTAATCCCAGCACTTTGGGAGGCGTAGGCAGGCAGATCACTTGAGGTCTCCTGAAGGCAGATCACTTTGAGACCAGCCTGGTCAACATGGTGAAACCCCATCTCTACTAAAAATACAAAATTAGCCGGGTGTGGTGGCGCACACCTGTAATCCCAGCTACTCCGGAGGCTGAGGCAGGAGAATTGCTTGAACCTGGGAGGTGGAGGTTGCACTGAACCGAGATTACACCATTGCACTCCAGCCTGGGCAACTGAGAGAGACTCCATCTCAAAAAATCGAAACATAAAAAGAATAATCAGAGCATATTGTTTTTATTTAGTTTATGAGATAAAAGCCAGTATGGAGAAAACTATCTTTTTCTATTGCTTCTCTGAAGCAACAGCACGGCTCTGATATGTAACTTCGCCCTGGACTCTGCCTAGCCTCTCTGTGCTCCCAGCGCCTGGCCACTCAGTGCTGTCCATGCGGTAGCAGCACAGACATCATGGGAAACTGGTTAGAAATGCGGAGGGCCAGGCCCCACCTCAGTCTGCAGGACCAGAACATGCATTTTAGCAAGATCCCCAAGATTGGATTGGATGCACGTTACAGTTTGAAAAGCACTGCCTTGAGGCCCTGCTCTTGCAAGGTGGTTTGCCAACATTTGCATTTCTTAACGTCTAAATATCTCCTGGCAGGCCAGGCACTATGGCTCACGCCTGTAATCCCAGCACTTTGGGAGGCTGAGGCAGGCGGATCACTTGAGGCCAGGAGTTTGAGTCCAGCTTGGCCAACATGGTGAAACCCTGTCTCTACTAAAAATACAAAAATTAGCTGGGCATGGTGACGTGCACCTATAATCCCAGCTACTCGGGAGGCTAAGGCAGGAGAATCGCTTGAACCCAGGAGGAGCTGGAGGTTGCAGTGAGCTGAGATGGCGCCACTGCACTTCAGCCTGGGTGACAGAGCGAGACTCCATCTCAAAAAATAATAATAATAAATAAATAACAAATATCTCCTGGCAGAGTCATGAAGCCATTCATCTCAGCTAAGGACACGCCCATCTTGTATGTCCTTACTCAGTCCCTGCTTAGCAGCAGATTATTAAAGCCGTTTTCTTCCTAAAAAGAGCACATATGGTATGACAGGAATGGCCATTTGCTTCTACCCTGCAGAAGCCTTGTTTGCACTCCCATAGGACCCTGTGGTCCCAGCCTCTCCCCTCTGACTTCCCTCTCCTGTCCCCTCTGGAGTAGTTGCTCTTTCACAGCAACCAGCCGTGGTGACGTGTGCGCCCCTTCTCCACTCCGCAGGTCTATGATGATGGCAAGTTTGTGTACCTGGTAATGGAGCTGATGCGTGGTGGGGAGCTCCTGGACCGCATCCTCCGGCAGAGATACTTCTCGGAGCGCGAAGCCAGTGACGTCCTGTGCACCATCACCAAGACCATGGACTACCTCCATTCCCAGGGGGTAGGAGCCATGCCTGGGGCAGCCTTCGGGGAGGAGGGAGCTTCAGGGCAGGAACCAAAACCACAAGGGTTTATGGGTTCAAGAGCTGAGAACGCGGATTGTCCTGGAATTCCTTCCGTGCCACCATCGTCTCTCTTGTGTCTGGAGGCTCAGTGACGGTGCAAGGGAAGAAAAATTCTCTTCCCAGCCGGGTGCAGTGGCTCACACCTGTAATCCCAGCACTTTGAGAGGCCAAGGCGGGCAGATCACGAGGTCAGGAGTTCGCGACCAGCCTAGCCAACATGGTGAAACCCTGTCTCTACTAAAAATAACAACAACAAAAAAAAAATTAGCTGGGCATGATGGCACACACCTGCAATCCTAGCTACTCGGGAGGCTGAGGCAGGAGAATTATTTCAACCCAGGAGGCGGAGGTTGCAGTGAGCTGAGATAGCACCATTGCACTCCAGCCTGCGTGACAGGACGAGACTCCATCTCAAAAAAAAAAAAAGAAAAGAAAAATTCTTTTTTCCCTCTGCCCATCTTAGTTCTTCGGTGGAGGCCCTATAAACAAGACTGGCCAAAGACAGGTTAACAAGAGAAAAACAGAAGTTTATTAACATGTGCATCTCACATACACACGGGAGCACCCAGCCATGAATAACTCCAAGGAGTTGTTAGAACTTGAGCTTATATAGCATTTTAACAAAAGAACAATAATTTTGCTGGATGCAGTGGCTCATACGTGTAATCCCAGCACTTTGGGAGGCTGATGCAGGTGGATCACCTGAGGTCAAGAATTTGAGACCAGCCTGGCCAACATGGCAAAACCCCATCTCTACTGAAAATACAAAAATTAGCCAGGCTTGGTGGCACACACCTGTAATCCCAGCTACTCAGGAGACAGAGGCATGAGAATCGCTTCAACCTGGGAGGCAGAGGTTGCAATGAGCCAAGATCACGCCACTGCACTTCAGCGTGGGCGACAGAGCAAAACTCTGTCTCAAATTTAAAAATTTTTTTTTAATTTTATTATTATTATACTTTAAGTTTTAGGTACATGTGCACAATGTGCAGGTTAGTTACATATGTATACATGTGCCATGCTGGTGTGCTGCACCCATTAACTCGTCATTTAGCATTAGGTATATCTCCTAATGCTATCCCTCCCCCCCTCCCCCCACCCCACAACAGTCCCCAGAGTATGATGTTTCCCTTCCTGTGTCCATGTGTTCTCATTGTTCAATTCCCACGTATGAGTGAGAACATGCAGTGTTTGGTTTTTTGTCCTTGCGACGGTTTACTGAGAATGATGATCTCCAATTTCATCCATGTCCCTACAAAGGACATGAACTCATCATTTTTTATGGCTGCATAGTATTCCATGGTGTACATGTGCCACATTTTCTTAATCCAGTCTATCATTGTTGAACATTTGGGTTGGTTCCAAGTCTTTGCTATTGTGAATAGTGCCACAATAAACATACGTGTGCATGTGTCTTTATAGCAGCATGATTTATAGTCCTTTGGGTATATACCCAGTAATGGGATGGCTGGGTCAAATGGTATTTCTAGTTCTAGATCCCTGAGGAATCGCCACACTGACTTCCACAATGGTTGAACTAGTTTACAGTCCCACCAACAGTGTAAAAGTGTTCCTATTTCTCCACATCCTCTCCAGCACCTGTTGTTTCCTAACTTTTTAATGAAAAGTGGTTTTGATTTGTGGTTTTGATTTGCATTTCTCTGATGGCCAGTGATGGTGAGCATTTTTTCATGTGTTTTTTGGCTGCATAAATGTCTTCTTTTGAGAAGTGTCTGTTCATGTCCTTCGCCCACTTTTTGATGGGGTTGTTTTTTTTTTTCTTGTAAATTTGTTTGAGTTCATTGTAGATTCTGGATATTAGCCCTTTGTCAGATGAGTAGGTTGCGAAAATTTTCTCCCATTTTGTAGGTTGCCTGTTCACTCTGATGGTAGTTTCTTTTGCTGTGCAGAAGCTCTTTAGTTTAATTAGATCCCATTTGTCAATTTTGGCTTTTGTTGCCATTGCTTTTGGTGTTTTAGACATGAAGTCCTTGCCCATGCCTATGTCCTGAATGGTAATGCCTAGGTTTTCTTCTAGGGTTTTTATGGTTTTAGGTCTAACATTTAAGTCTTTAATCCATCTTGAATTAATTTTTGTATAAGGTGTAAGGAAGGGATCCAGTTTCAGCTTTCTACATATGGCTAGCCAGTTTTCCCAGCACCATTTATTAAATAGGGAACCCTTTCCCCATTGCTTGTTTTTCTCAGGTTTGTCAAAGATCAGATAGTTGTAGATAAGCGGCGTTATTTCTGAGGGCTCTGTTCTGTTCCATTGATCTATATCTCTGTTTTGGTACCAGTACCATGCTGTTTTGGTTACTGTAGCCTTGTAGTATAGTTTGAAGTCAGGTAGTGTGATGCCTCAAGCTTTGTTCTTTTGGCTTAGGATTGACTTGGCGATGCGGGCGGCTCTTTTTTGGTTCCATATGAACTTTAAAGTAGTTTTTTCCAATTCTGTGAAGAAAGTCATTGGTAGCTTGATCGGGATGGCATTGAATCTATAAATTAGCTTGGGCAGTATGGCCATTTTCACGATATTGATTCTTCCTACCCATGAGCATGGAATGTTCTTCCATTTGTTTGTATCCTTTTATTTCATTGAGCAGTGGTTTGTAGTTCTCCTTGAAGAGGTCCTTCACGTCCCTTGTAAGTTGGATTCCTAGGTATTTTATTCTCTTTGAAGCAATTGTGAATGGGAGTTCACTCATGATTTGGCTCTCTGGTTGTCTGTTATTGGTGTATAAGAATGCTTGTGATTTTTGTACATTGATTTTGTATCCTGAGACTTTGCTGAAGTTGCTTATCAGCTTAAAGAGATTTTGGGCTGAGACAGTGGGGTTTTCTAGATATACAATCATGTCATCTGCAAACAGGGACAATTTGACTTCCTCTTTTCCTAATTGAATACCCTTTATTTCCTTCTCCTGCCTAATTGCCCTGGCCAGAACTTCCAACACTATGTTGAATAGGAGTGATGAGAGAGGGCATCCCTGTCTTGTGCCAGTTTTCAAAGGGAATGCTTCCAGTTTTTGCTCATTCAGTATGATATTGGCTGTGGGTTTGTCATCGATAGCTCTTATTATTTTGAGATACGTCCCATCAATACCTAATTTATTGAGAGTTTTTAGCATGAAGGGTTGTTGAATTTTGTCAAAGGCCTTTTCTGCATCTATTGAGATAATCATGTGGTTTTTGTCTTTGGTTCTGTTTATATGCTGGATTACATTTATTGATTTGCATATGTTGAACCAGCCTTGCATCCCAGGGATGAAGCCCACTTGATCATGGTGGATAAGCTTTTTGATATGCTGCTGGATTCGGTTTGCCAGTATTTTATTGAGGATTTTTGCATCAATGTTCATCAAGGATATTGGTCTAAAATTCTCTTTTTTGGTTGTGTCTCTGCCAGGCTTTGGTATCAGGATGATGCTGGCCTCATAAAATGAGTTAGGGAGGATTCCCTCTTTTTCTATTGATTGGAATAGTTTCAGAAGGAATGGTACCAGTTCCTCCTTGTACCTCTGGTAGAATTCGGCTGTGAATCCATCTGGTCCTGGACTCTTTTGGTTGGTAAGCTGTTGATTATTGCCACAATTTCAGAGCCTGTTATTGGTCTATTCAGAGATTCAACTTCTTCCTGGTTTAGTCTTGGGAGGGTGTATGTGTCGAGGAATTTATCCATTTCTTCTAGATTTTCTAGTTTATTTGCGTAGAGGTGTTTGTAGTATTCTCTGATGGTAGTTTGTATTTCTGTGGGATCGGTGGTGATATCCCCTTTATCATTTTTTATTGTGTCTATTTGATTCTTCTCTCTTTTTTTCTTTATTAGTCTTGCTAGCAGTCTATCAATTTTGTTGATCCTTTCAAAAAACCAGCTCCTGGATTCATTAATTTTTTGAAGGGCTTTTTGTGTCTCTATTCCTTCAGTTCTGCTCTGATTTTAGTTATTTCTTGCCTTCTGCTAGCTTTTGAATGTGTTTGCTCTTGCTTTTCTAGTTCTTTTAATTGTGATGTTAGAGTGTCAATTTTGGATCTTTCCTCCTTTCTCTTGTGGGCATTTAGTGCTATAAATTTCCCTCTACACACTGCTTTGAATGTGTCCCAGAGATTCTGGTATGTTGTGTCTTTGTTCTCGTTGGTTTCAAAGAACATCTTTATTTCTGCCTTCATTTCGTTATGTACCCAGTAGTCATTCAGGAGCAGGTTGTTCAGTTTCCATGTAGTTGAGAGGTTTTGAGTGAGTTTCTTAATCCTGAGTTCTAGTTTGATTGCACTGTGGTCTGAGAGATAGTTTGTTATAATTTCTCTTCTTTTACATTTGCTGAGGAGAGCTTTACTTCCAACTATGTGGTCAATTTTGGAATAGGTGTGGTGTGGTGCTGAAAAAAATGTATATTCTGTTGATTTGGGGTGGAGAGTTCTGTAGATGTCTATTAGGTCTGCTTGGTGCAGAGCTGAGTTCAATTCCTGGGTATCCCTGTTAACTTTCTGTCTCGTTGATCTGTCTAATGTTGACAGTGGGGTGTTAAAGTCTCCCATTATTATTGTGTGGGAGTCTAAGTCTCTTTGTAGGTGATTCAGGACTTGCTTTATGAATCTGGGTGCTCCTGTATTGGGTGCATATATATTTAGGATAGTTAGCTCTTCTTGTTGAATTGATCCCTTTACCATTATGTAATGGCCTTCTTTGTCTCTTTTGATCTTTGTTGGTTTAAAGTCTGTTTTATCAGAGACTAGGATTGCAACCCCTGCCTTTTTTTTGTTTTCCATTTGCTTGGTAGATCTTCCTCCATCCTTTTATTTTGAGCCTATGTGTGTCTCTGCACGTGAGATGCGTTTCCTGAATACAGCACACTGATGGGTCTTGACACTCTATCCAATTTGCCAGTCTGTGTCTTTTAATTGGAGCATTTAGTCCATTTACATTTAAAGGTAATATTGTTATGTGTGAATTTGATCCTGTCATTACGATGTTAGCTGGTTATTTTGCTCATTAGTTGATGCGGTTTCTTCCTAGTCTCGATGGTCTTTACATTTTGGCATTATTTTGCAGTGGCTGGTACCTGTTGTTCCTTTCCATGTTTAGTGCTTCCTTCAGGAGCCCTAAAAGAGCTCAAATTTTAAAATTTTTTAAATTTTAAAAAGAATAATAATTTTTAAAGAAGACAAAGAAAAAGGACTGTGTTTCTAAGGCAGCAGACTGTGGGAAGCTAAGTCTATGGGAAACTAACAGAAGATGAGGGCTAGTTAGGAACATTTGTTATAGAGATTATTCTGGAAGCTTCTCCAGGCTGTAAGCATCTAGAGGAGTTTCCCTTCCATCCTTCCAGGCAGAGAGGACAGGAGGGACACCTTTACCCATTTATATCCTCCTTTTAGGTAAAGAAGGGGAGGGCAGAGAGCTTTGCTTATATCTGCATCTTTTCAGTTGTTTTCAGCTCCAAATAATCCTTATGCCAAAGCAGCATATTTTGGGGTGGCTGACTCTGCTACCCTTTGAGGGTCTAAAATCATTTTTACCAACTTTAGCCAAAAAAATACTTTGGCCTTAATCAAAAGAAATTAAGAATTTTCGTTACTTGCAACGGGTAAAGAATTCATTAACCGGAGCGCAGGGACGCTGAGGCAGGGATGACGGTGATGCCTGAGGTTCACGTGGGCCTCACCGTGATCCAGGCTGCACTTCAAGCTCTTCATTCACTGACTCCCTAACCCTAGATCACACCCACTGTGCAGGCGAGGGGCACAGGAGTTTGAGTATCTTGGCCAAGGTCACACATGAGTAGGTGGCCAGTGGGGTTGGACTCCCACTCTCTGGTTCCAGGCAGTGCTCTTGGTCCCAGCCCTGGCCTCACAGGGAGGCAGCTGCACCGTATCACATGTTTCCTCTGTGCGCCATCTCTTCCCAGTGTTTCTCCTGAAGCAGGAAATACTGTCTTAGCCAGCTGTGTGCGTAGTCCTGAGTTTTCAGAATGCAGTCATCTCCAAACGGGAATATTCTTCCAGGACCACACACTGGGGTCTTTTCTGTGTGGTCACCCAGTCTTGAGCATTAAGCACTTACTTCCAGGTTTTCCCAGTACAGTCAAACTCAGGGGAAGCCCTTTGGATGATGTTTTCTGCAGATCTGCTTGTATTTAATGAGGGGAGGTAATGGAAGTAAAGCCACAGTCTTTGATTGCCTTGCCATCAGGACCTCTGTAAACCAGGCCTGACTGCTGGAGTGTGTCCCTTTAATTCCCTTCTACATCCTCCCACTGGATTTCATTAGGACAATTGAGATGTTCAGGATCCAAGCTGTACAAAGGCACGCCACACGTCCTCACAATGGCCCTCTGTCCCCTCAGAACACATTGCTTTGTGCCCTAAATAGCTGCTTTGCTTTGAGGTGTGCTGGCCCCACCATCATTGCAGCCAGCGCAGTCCTCCATGGGAGGCCTCAGAGCATGATTGCAGAGTGACTGCATGATCGCGTGGCCCTGGTCCGTCTCCCCAACGAGTTGCTGCACCCAGGACAGCAGGTGCCTGATCTGTGCTGCTCACTGGTGCTGCTCCAACACCTCACAGTGCATGGGGGTGGGCACACAGGGAGTAGTTATTGAATGAATATCATCTTTAAAATGCTTTTCATTCCTATCTCCAGAGCTCACCACATTTCCTTTTATGTGACAGCTCCAGTAAGCTGCGGCCTCAACTTGGAGAGGTGCTCACTTATTTACTCAAATATTCATTCACTGTAAAAGCAGGTGACACCAGGAGCTCAGAAGTGAGTGACCACCACAGGAGAATGGGAGAAGGTGGGGGGCCCTCTGGAGAAGACAGCAGCTGTTGACACTGTTGGCCTGTTGCCTGCTTGCAGGACCTGCTAGGAAGACAGTTCCCAAATGCACCCTCCCCTCCAAATGCACCTGCCCTCCCTCTCCTGCTCAGTCCTCAGCCCCCAAGTAGGCACTGTGCCTTCTGTCTTGCAGGTTGTTCATCGAGACCTGAAGCCGAGTAACATCCTGTACAGGGATGAGTCGGGGAGCCCAGAATCCATCCGAGTCTGCGACTTCGGCTTTGCCAAGCAGCTGCGCGCGGGGAACGGGCTGCTCATGACACCCTGCTACACGGCCAATTTCGTGGCCCCGGAGGTGAGCATTCCCCGACTGCAGACCCAGGCCTCTCTATCCGCAAAGACAGGCTCTGCCCCCTCCCACTGCAGAGCCACCGGACAGCGGGGATGTCAGAGGCGGCTTGAGCTGCGTCAGCAGTGGTGTTGGGAAACAGAAACGAGAACCTTCAGTCTCTTGAGCCAGGGGCCAATCTTGCTTAAACGTAGTTGTTCTTATCATTCTCATTTTCCCATTTGAAAAAACTTTTCAACAGTAACATTTTTATGTAAAATTGTCTTCTGTAGACAATTTGGATGAAATCTGCATATTTATTCCAAGTTAGAGAGATGATGCAGTAGTCTCCTTATACAACCAGGACGCAGAGCTGCGGTTCACCTGGGATGGGAAATGGATCCGTCATAGCGCAGGGAGCAACTAAGTTTACGGATTTTCTCTGCACCCCAATTCTCACTCCAGATTGGTTCCCCGACAGCAGCAAGTCAGCAGCTGTCAGATTGAGAACCGCAGGGCTCCGGGGTGATTTGCCACTGAAAGCTTACGTTGTTCAGTGTCTGTGTCTGCTCCCAGCCCCGCTCGGAGCAGCTAGCAGGCACCTGGTGAACTTCTCTCTTTTCACATTTCCCGGGAACAAGTTCCATTAGGTTCTGAATTCAAGGATGTGTTTATAAATCTAAGCCCAATTTCTTGCCTTTGAGAAAAGCCAGTGGTAAAGAGAGGAAGGGAAGGGCTGTGGCTGATGTTGCCAATGGGACAGGGGAGGAGGGAACTGGGAAGGAAGGCGGACTTCAGAGTCTGTGTGGATCCCGTGGGTTCTTGATGGAACTGGACCAGAGCTGCTCCGATGGGAGGGGAGTCAAGCGAGCAGCCAGGTCTGAGGCGCCTGGCATCTCACTGTGGGTCTTGGAGTTGTTTAAGAGGTCACCCAGGGCCACTGGTCCATTGCAAAGATGCTTCTGCGTGCTGAGACGTGAACGGATGTGCAGCCAGGGGCTGGACTGAGAGGCTGTTTTAGGTTATGCAGGGGTCATCCAGACACTTGAGCAACCTGTGGCCCCTTTAAAAATAACCAAGTTTGGCTGGGTGCGGTGGCTCACGCCTGTAATCCCAGCACTTTGGGAGGCCGAGGCAGGTGGATCACCTGAGGTCAGGAGTTGGAGACCAGCCTGGCCAACATGGTGAAACCCCGTCTCTACTAAAAATACAAAAATTAGCCAGGTGTGGTGGTGTGTGCCCACAGTCCCAGCTACTCAGGAGGCTGAGGCAGGAGAATCGCTTGAACCCGGGAAGTGGAGGTTGCAGTGAGCCGAGATCACGCCACTGCACTCCAGCCTGGTTGAAAGAGCAGGACTCCGTCTCAAAAAATAAAAACTAAAAAAAATGAAAGTAACCAGGTTATAAGCCTCTGTTCATGCCTTACTTAATCAATATTAATATTGATAATATTATGGGGGAGGAAAATGACGTTTTCCTCATCCCTCATAAGTTCTTAGCTGGACCAGACCCCTGTAACAAAAGACAGATTAACAAGAGAAAAAGAAGTTTATTAACACACATCTTCTCATTTATGCATGCGAGATGCCCAGAGAAGGAGTCATCCTCACAGAGGTGGCTTTGAATCCAGCCTACATGGTATCTGCAACAAAGAACAGAGAATTTTTAGAGACCTGGCAAGACAAAGGAAGAGGGTTAGGGTCTCCAGGGGCTGCAGCTTGGGGAGGTGCAGGGCTGGCCTATGGAGGCTGGTCCCAGGTGGGACCACATGCATCCAAAGCTGTCCCTAGGGGAAGCCTTTGTCCTCTCTGGTTGGGGGTAGGTACCTTTTGTCTTAATCCATGTCCTGATTTTAGACAAATGGAGGACACAGAGCTCTCCTGCATCTGCTGCTTCTTATGTATCTTCAGCTCAGCGCCCCTCACGCCTATGCAGCATATTTTGGGGTGGCATATTCTGGTCTCCCACAATATTGATTTTATTGATTGTAGAATGCCCTAGGTTGTGATATTCCTTTGCCATTTACAAAGCACTTTTACCAACTTTTTTTACTTTCACTCTCATCCACCATACAAAGTAGGCAGGGTAAAATCTATTAACCATGTTTCACAGAGTCAGAAAGCACAAGCTCCATGTGTGTAAGTGACTTCTGAAGGTCACCCCGCTGATGGATTAGGAAGTGAGGCTTGCACCATGAGCACCACATTCATTCAGCATGCGCTGGCTGGTCCCCTCCATGGTGCAGGCTCACACATGGTAGCAGCGATACAGAGAAAAGGACAGGCTCCTTGCTCTCATCTCTAAGGAAATTGAGCCGAGCTCTCCCGACTCGATATTTAATGCTAAATCCAGTCATCTGCAGTAATCCATGAGCACCATTGTGGCTTCCTTTGTTGTTATTCAACTGTAACTATATCAGAGGATTGCCCTCTACTGAAGTATGTAATCCTAGGATGCATACAAGTTTTGCTGCTTTAACAGTTCTTCAAAAAAATTAAATGTTATCACGTAGCCCAGAATGGAACTTCTGGGTATATACCCAAAAGAATTGAAGGCAGGGACGCAAAGAGACATGTGTCCACCCATGTTCATAGCAGCACTATTCACAACAGCCAAAAGGTGGAAGCCACGAGAGTGTCCCTCGGTGGATGAATGGGTAAGCAAAACGTGGCATGCACACACAGCGGAACATTGTCCAGCCTGCAGAAGGAAGGAACTTCTGACCCCTGGAGGAAGCTTAGGGTGTTATACTAAGTGAAATGGGCCAGTCACAGAAAGACAAACATTGCATAATTCCACTCCTATGAGGTCCCTGGAGGAGTCAGATTCACACAGACGGACAGTAGAAGGGTAGGTGTTGGGGGCTGGGGGACAGGGAGTTGTTGTTTAATGGGGACAGAGTTTCAGTTTGGGAAGGTGAAATGCTCTGTGGATGGATGGTGGTGATGTTGGCACCACAATGTAAATGGGCTTAATGCTGCTAAACTGTGCACTTAAAAAGGGCTTTGATGGTCAATTTTATGTCATACATATTTTACCGTAACAGAAAAATCCTTCTGCCTTAAAAATTAAGGCCCTCCTTTTCAGCCTGTCTGTCATGTGTCTGGAAAGAGTACTAGTTTACCATGTGGCTGGCCTGGGAGGAGTCCCACTGCAGTACCTTAGGGTTGGCTTTGCCTTAAGAAACAGTGGTCACACCGAAGACATGGCACCGCCCTCCTCCTGGTCCCCAGCTTGCCGGCGTAGGATGCCGCTGGAGAAACGTGCTGTCAATCTGAATGTCCTTAGTGAAGGGCGTGCCGGTGTCCTGTCGTTCCCTCCTAGGTCCTGAAGCGTCAAGGCTATGATGCGGCGTGTGACATCTGGAGTTTGGGGATCCTGTTGTACACCATGCTGGCAGGGTAAGCAGTCACCTCAAACAGGTGTCAGGAGGAGACACAGGGCAGCAGCCTCAGTGGCTGATCTGTCAGGGGACCAGGGCCAGCCCTGTCCTAGTGTGCGCATGTGGGCAAACCCAACGTGTATGCAAACACTCCCAGGCCTTGAGTGAACACTCGCAGACTTTCTTAGCCCCTCAGGACAACTGAACAACAAGGACAAGAAATGTAGCCACCCATTTTCTTTAAACTCAGCTCATGAACAAAACATCAAGTCTTTTGCCAGCATAGTCCCCATTCTCTCTGCTGCACCTGCCACTGTTTTAAAAGGTAGCAACAGATGTGCCTTCCAGACATCCTCTTAAACCGAAAGCCCCATAGCAGCTTCAGGGTCAAACAGCATCTGTACCTGGGTTTCGTGGTCATGAGTCATGCACGGGCCGGTTCATTGTGGTAAGACACGTGGTGTTACAGAAAGTGGCCTGGGCCTGCCATCCAGACAGCTGACTTCCATCTGAGCCCCACTCGCCACTAGCCGTGACTCTGGGCTAAACACTTTAACCTGTACCAGCCTCCCTTCCCTCTCCCCTGAGTGAGAAGAGGACACACCATGGTTGCTTCTAGGCAGGAAGGTCTAGGATCTTACAAGATCCGCTGGTTCCTATTACGTTTATTAAATACTTGAATGGAGGCAAAAAGAAAAGAACCCTAGACCATCGAATCCTGTTTGCTGTAGCAAAATGGCTTGAATGCCCTCATGAGAATGAATGAGCTTGGCCTGCTTTTCACTTATTTCATCATAAGTCAACAGGTAGTGTCCACAGCAGAAGGAGAGTAAATCAGGCCCTGAAGCCGCACCCTGAGGACTGCAGTAGCAAAGGAAGGAACCTCAGTTTCTTACCAATACCACAGTCAGGTTACTTTGTGACGCTTCTAATACTCACTTTGCCTATACGGAAAACTAGATCACACACTTTCCCACTAGAGGAAGCGCTGGCAGCACACGTGTCCTTCCTTTCCTAGGAGTGTGTGGGTGTGTTTTAAGGTGGGACACCATGAACACCTCCCACGCGCTTGGAATATGGCCAGAGCTGCACCAAGCATGTATGTGTATTTGTGCATACACTCTGCATTTGCAGTGGAGGCTCAAAAAGTTAACTTGTCAAAGAACACAGAGTTGGGAATACATCCACCGTGGGTCTCTCAGACTCCACGTCTCAGGCTCTCTCGCATGATGCCACACCATCACCGTGGAAACCACGGCACCAGGCAACTCACTAGGCCACCCCATCCCAGTTTACCTGGGTCCGGAGGGGATACAGCACAGGTCTCACAGGGCTCTCCCACTTGCCCATCAACCTCTAGCCACCCAATTGCTAAGGAAGGAAAACGGGCATAGTGTTAGAGGTAAGTTCCGCTTTCCCATGAATCCTGGCTTCAGAGCAGAGGAGGGAGAAGCAAAGTGCTATTCCTTTGAACAGCCAAGGGGTGATATCAACTTGCAAACTTTATTTTAGGTTGTAAAATACAAGCTCATTACCACAAATTTGTCTAATTATACAGATTTACCCCTTTTGCAAATGGGCCAGACGATACCCCTGAGGAGATTCTGGCGCGGATCGGCAGTGGGAAGTATGCCCTTTCTGGGGGAAACTGGGACTCGATATCTGACGCAGCTAAAGTGAGTACATGTCCCAGCGTTGCTTTTAAATATTCAGATTCTGAAATAGCCATATGATTTCTGAGGAAGCCAGGGGATAGGTTTTATGTAAGTAGTATAGGTATTTTATCCTCAGCATATTTTTTTTTTTTTCTTGAAATGGAGTCTCGCTCTGTCTCACCCAGGCTGGAGTGCAGTGGCACAATCTTGGCTCACTGCAGCCTCTGCCTCCTGGGTTCAAGTAATTCTCCTGTCTCAGCCTCCCAAGTAGCTGGGACTACAGGCGTGTGCGACCACACCCGACTAACTCTTTTGTATTTTTAGTACAAAAAAGTTTTGTACTAAAACTTTTTTGTTTCACCATGTTGGCCAGGCTGGTCTTGAACTCCTGACCTCAAGTGATCCACCCACCTCAGCCTCCCAAATTGCTGGGATTACAGGTATGAGCCACCACACCTGGCCTTATCCTCGGCATCTTTTAAGCCTTTCATCTAAAAACATTATTTTCAAAAACATTTTTAGCATTTTCACATTTTCCACTATCTTGGTATCTTATGCAGGGTTCTCCAAAGAAACAAACAGAACATGCGTGCGTGTGTGTGTGTGTGTGTGTGTGTGTGTGTGTATAGAGAGAGAGATTTATTTGTAAGAAATTGGCTCACGTGATTGTGGGGACGGGGAAGTCTGTGACTGCAGGGCAGCCGGCAGGCTGGAGCCCCAAGGAGAAATGGATGGGGCAGTTGCCCACCACAGGCTATCTGCCACAGAATTCCCTCTTCCTCAGGGGAGCAGTCTTTTTCCTAAGGAGGCCTTCCACTGATTGGATGAGGCTGACCCACATTGTGCAGGGTAACTGCTTTACTCAAGTCGACTGACTTAAGTGTTAACCACATCCTGAAAAACACCTTCACAGCAACCTCTAGACTGGGTAACATAACCCAGCCATGATGACATATAAAATTAACCACCATGCTTTTAGTGATATTGCAGAATGATTGCCCTGCATGTTCATAAACCAAACAAACAAGTAGAGCTCTTGTCCAGAGGTATACTTCTGTTCTTGTAAAATACTTTGAATTTGGCCTTGTCTGCAGTCCACACAGTTTATGACCGGCCTTATTTCGTTTGCCCATCAGACGCTTTTTTACTTGGCATCATCAAATTCCTCTCTAATCCAATAGTAAATCATAATCCAGCCACTGGTAAGCAGCACCAACAGCTGTTCCCGTGTTCATGTAAAAGGGCTGAAAGAGAAGGAGTCAGGGGCTCTGATTCCAATTCTGCTGTTGACATCTCAGTGCAACTTCATGCAGTGAGCGTGGAGGTGATGATTGTAGAGATGATGGTGGAGGTAATGGCGGGAATGATGATGGAGGTGATGGTGTAGGGATGGCAGAAGTGGTGGCAGAGGTGGCGACAGCGATGATGGAGGTGATGGTGAAGGCATGGTGGAGGGAATGATTGTGGAAATGATGGTGGAGATAATGGCAGGAGTGATGATGGAGGTGATTGTGGAGGGATGGTGGAGGTGACGATTGTGGAGATGATGGTGGAGGTAATGGTGGGAGCAGGGATGGAGCTGATGGTGGAGGTAATGGTGGGAGCAGGGATGGAGCTGATGGTGGAGGGATGACAGAAGTGGTGGCAGAGGTGGCGGGAGTGATCGTGGAGGTGATCATTTTGGAGGTGATGGTAGGAAATGATGGAGGTGATGAAGGGATGGCAAAAGTGGCAGAGGTGGTGGCAGTGATCATGGAGGTGACGGTGGGAGTGGTGGGAGATGATAGTGAGAGATGATGGTAGTGATTGTGGAGGTAATGGTGGAGGTGATGGGGATGATGGTGAGGCTAATGAGGGTAATGGCAGAGATGATAGTGGAGGTGATGGTGAAGATAATGGAAGGTAATGGCAGAGATGATGGTGGAGGGTGATGGTAGAGGTGATGGAGGAGGGATGGCAAGGGTGACGGCAGAGGTGACAGAGAAAAAATGGTGAGGGTGATGGTGGAGGTGGTGGTGAAGATGATGGCGAGGGTGATGGTAGGGTTGATGGAGAAAGGATGGCGAGGGTGATGGTGGAGGTGGTGGTGAAGATGATGGTGAGGGTGATGGTGGGGGTGATGAAGGATGGTGAGGGTGGATGGTGGAGGTGATGGAGGAAGGATGGTGAGGGTGATGGTGGAGATGGTGAGGATGATGGTGGAGGTGGTGAAGATGATGGTGAGCGTAATGGTGGGGGTGATGGAGGAGGATGGTGAGGATGATGGTGGAGATGGTGAAGATGATGGTGAAGGTGATTGTGGTGAGGGTAATGGTGGGGGTGATGGAGGAAGGACGGTGAGGATGATTGTGGAGGTGATGGTGAAGATTATGGTGGGGGTGATGGAGGAATGATGGTAAGGGTGATGGTGGAGGTGGTGGCAGAGGTGATGGCAGCTGGCATTTAGTGAGCATATCCCAGATGTCAGACCCTGACAGTCCAAATGCTCCTGTCCACACCCTCACTTTGTCTTAAATGAGTGTAGATGTCTTAGTTCTGGTTCCCAAAATAGAGCCTCAGACTAGGACGTGGGTGCTGGTGGTGTGTCTGGAAGGCCATCTTGGAAGCTGGCATGGGAGCAGGGAGAAGGTGTTGGAAAAGGAGCAAAGTCAAGGACAAGGGCACATTGTCAAGATCGCTGCTGCAGGCAGAGGTCTCTGCCGCCTCACAGGGCCTCACCAACCCTTCCTGCCCTTCACCACCAGTCCCTACCACCACCACATCCCCCGTCTTTCCCCTGTGCCTCTTCCTTTCTCTTACTTAGCACACAACAGAACCTCCAGTCCTCCAAACACCAGCAAAGCTACAAATTAGTATGTCTTTCTCCACATCCTACAGGTATGAAGTAAAAATACTGCTTCTCTCAGTGTCATGACTATAAGATCGTGAAAAGAGTTATTAAAGCCCTAAAGGCTTTTGTTTTTACACCTGAAAATGACAACACTCATTTTTCTAGGAGATACTTGTTTCAAGAAATTACCAAGGTCAATGTTATCAAATATCAAAAGGCATTAGATTTTTCTGTATAAAAAAGATATTGTTATTGTGCATAGTATTTCTTAGTTGTTTCATGACCCAAAATTCTAATGAGTAATTCAACTTCACATTCTATATGCATTCTTTTTTGTTTGTTTGTTTGTTTGAGATGGACTCTTGCCATGTAACCCACTCTGGAGTGCAATGGTGCAATCTCAGCTCACTCCAACCTCTGCCTCCTGGGCTCAAGTGATTCTCCTGCCTCAGCCCCCCAGGTAGCTGGGATTATAGGCGCATGCCACCACACCCAGCTCATTTTTGTATTTTTAGAAGAGACGGGGTTTCACCATGTTGGCCAGGCTGGTCTCAAACTCCTAACCTCAAGTGATCCACCTGCCTCAGCCTCCCAGAGTGCTAGGATTACAGGCATGAGCCAACGCGCCCAGCCGCATTCTAATTCATTTTATTACCTCTTCAAATGTGGTGGGAACACTAAGGAAGGAGGGTAGGCTAGTGGAGAGAATATGGATTCTCATCTTGGATCTTCCTCAGGCAGTAATGTCTTCATCTGCAAATTAGGAAAAGTAATATTTGCCCCATTTACCTCAAGGATGATTATGGTGATTAGAGCAGAAGCATCAGGTTTGTCCGCAAATGTAATTCACACTGTAACCAAGTACTCTGCAAATGTAATTCACTGTAATAGAATGTGCACTGTATTGTATGTGCATGTGTACACACATGTAGAATCTTGTTTTAGAGGTTTTTACTGCTACGACTTTACAATGAAATGGAAAAATACCATTATTGCACATGAACCCACTGGACATATCTGATGGCTCCAGATTGTAGATTTTGCGGTTTCTGATTATTTGTAGTAAATATTTATGGGTAGTCCTGATAAAAAATGTAAGTATGTGCATCATTATGAATTGATTTCTACCTGTGGAATATTAATTATTTCAGCTTTTCCCTTTGGAAAGATATAATTGTTACAAGAAACAGTGTTTCATCGATTTACATGCATCATCTAATATTTCCACATTTAACTTTTTAGACATGAAATATTTAATAAAAGATAAACCTTCAGTGAACTTCCAAGTTTGGTAATATTTAAAGCTAAAAACCATTGACATACTTCTAAACCTGAAAGTGAACATGACCCCAAAATGCAAAGACCCACACTCAGCATAGTGGTTGGGTGTTGCCATAGAGGGAGAGGAGTTCTGCTGGGGAGGCTCTCTGACCCAGCACAAATGATCCAACCATCCCCCCGACTCTCATGACCTTCCCTGGCAGGACGTCGTGTCCAAGATGCTCCACGTGGACCCTCATCAGCGCCTGACGGCGATGCAAGTGCTCAAACACCCGTGGGTGGTCAACAGAGAGTACCTGTCCCCAAACCAGCTCAGCCGACAGGACGTGCACCTGGTGAAGGTACCGGCAGGCGACAGTGAGGACAGAGTGGTGGGAATGGGAAACCCAGAAAAGAGCCTGATACCTTGCAATCACTCCGAAGAAACCACAGAGTGCAGAGAAAGAGCCCATAGCAGCCCCAAACTGCACCGCCGGCCCACCTACCTTCGTGCACTTCACCAGACACGTGCAGTATTGCACAGGGCTCCTACCTGAGTAGGTGGCAGCCTCTGCTGACGTGGTGGCAGCTGGTGTGGCTGTTCCACTCAAGTTCAAAGCCTCTATTCTAGGCCACACATGCAAAAAAAGTCCCCTTCATAAGTGACTTACATTCAGGCAGCAGTAGCCTCTCAGGCACCCCATCCTCTGGGTGGGACTCCTTTTCTGAAAAGTGTAGACTGTCCCACCCCAGCAGGAATAGGCATGATCCAGTTAAGAGCCGCCCCCTCCAGATCCATTCTGAGAATTTGGATTCACTCCAGGATATGCCTGTTCCTCCAAATGAGTCCAGACTCCTCAACAGTGGCCAAAGTCCAGGGTGACTGGCCCTGGCATTCGCTGTGTCCCCTAGGACCCAGCGAGCCCCAAAACAGACCTGGCCTCACTGTCAGAATGCAGGGGATCACGTGACCTCAGCCTGGGGGCTCCACAAGCGTCCAAAACATTTTCCCCCAAGGCACAAGCACAGTGCCAGGGTGGCATGGGGTGGGGGGGGCAGGTGCAGGAGACAGGGCCCCTGTCTCCTGGGGCCCACGTGTGCTGGCCCCTGGCGGCAGGCTAACAGCACTCCATGCTCCAGGGACCCTGGGGAAGCTCTGGTTTCTCCCACGTTGCCTGGGGGCAGCTGAGGCCCATGGAGGCCCCGGGCTCCGGCTCAACCCCTGGAGTGAGGCGCCGCGGCTCTCACCCTTGTCTTCTGTTTTGCAGGGCGCGATGGCCGCCACCTACTTTGCTCTAAACAGAACACCTCAGGCCCCGCGGCTGGAGCCCGTGCTGTCATCCAACCTGGCTCAGCGCAGAGGCATGAAGAGACTCACGTCCACGCGGCTGTAGCGGGTGGGACCCTGGCCCCAGCGTCCCCTGCCAGCATCCTCGTGGGCTCACAGACCCCGGCCTCGGAGCCCGTCTGGCACCCAGAGTGACCACAAGTCCAGCAGGGAGGCGGCGCCCGCCCTCGCCGTGTCCGTGTTTTCTTTTTCAGCCCCGGAGAGGGTCCTGACCTGGGGGCTTCTCCAAGCCTCACTGCGCCAGCCTCCCCGCCCGCTCTCTTTTCTCCCAAGCGAAACCAAATGCGCCCCTTCACCTCGCGTGCCCGTGCGAGGCCGGGGGCTTCTTTCAGAGCCCGCGGGTCCTCTCATACATGGCTTCTGTTTCTGCCGAGAGATCTGTTTTCCAATTATGAAGCCGGTCGGTTTGGTCAGACTCCCGACACCCACGTCCCAGGTACCCGGTGGGAAAGTGGCAGTGCGAGGGCGCAGCCATTGGTGGTTGCAGGGCCCCAGAGGGCTGGGGTGACCTGGCATCCCGGGGCTCCCCACGGGCTGGATGACGGGGTTGGCACTGTGGCGTCCAGGAGGAGATGCCTGGTTCTGCCCAAAATAATCCAAAGAGCCGTTTCCTCCTCGCCCTTCAGTTTTTGCCTGAGGTGCTGGGTAGCCCATCCTTTCCTCTGTCCCAGATTCAAATGAGGAGTAAGAGCCCAGACGAGAGGAAGGCAGGCTGGATCTTTGCCTTGAGAGCTCCGTGTCACCAGGATGGAAGGGGGTGCCTCTCGGAGGAGCCTGTGTCCACCTCCAGTCTCGGCTTTCCCCGGGGGGCCAAGCGCACTGGGCTGCCGTCTGTCCCCAGCTCCCGTGGCCACACAGCTATCTGGAGGCTTTGCAGGGAGTCGTGGGTTCTCGCACCTGCTCAGCCCTGTGTCGGCTTCCTGTGTGCTCACCTAAAGCTGTGGTTTTGCTGTGTTCACTTCGATTTTTCTGGTCTGTGGAGAAACTGTGAATTGGAGAAATGGAGCTCTGTGGCTTCCCACCCAAACCTTCTCAGTCCAGCTGGAGGCTGGAGGGAGACACAGGCCCCACCCAGCAGACTGAGGGGCAGAGGCACAGGTGGGAGGGCAGCGGAGATCAGCGTGGACAGGAGCGATGCACTTTGTAGATGCTGTGGCTTTGTGTTGCGTTTTGTGTCTCTGTTGCACAGATCTGTTTTTTCACACTGATCCGTATTCCCCTGGGTGTGCACACAGGGCGGGTGTGGGGCATTTAGGCCATGCTGTGCTCTACTTCATTGAGTAAAATCGAGTGAGAGGTTCCGGGCAGCAGGATCGACGCCCAGTCCAGCCGGCAGAGGGAACACACGGGTCCTTCATTGTCCTGTAAGGGTGTTGAAGATGCTCCCTGGCGGCCCCCAAGCAGACTAGATGGGAGGAGGCGCCGCTCAGCCCCTCACCCTGCATCACTGAAGAGCGGCGCCTCTGCAGCAAGCAGGGCTTCAGGAGGTGCCCGCTGGCCACAGCCAGGTTTTCCCTAAGAAGATGTTATTTTGTTGGGTTTTGTTCCCCCTCCATCTCGATTCTCGTACCCAACTAAAAAAAAAAAAATAAAGAAAAAATGTGCTGCGTTCTGAAAAATAACTCCTTAGCTTGGTCTGATTGTTTTCAGACCTTAAAATATAAACTTGTTTCACAAGCTTTAATCCATGTGGATTTTTTTTTTCTTAGAGAACCACAAAACATAAAAGGAGCAAGTCGGACTGAATACCTGTTTCCATAGTGCCCACAGGGTATTCCTCACATTTTCTCCATAGAAGATGCTTTTTCCCAAGGCTAGAACGACTTCCACCATGATGAATTTGCTTTTTAGGTCTTAATTATTTCACTTCTTTTTAGAAACTTAGGAAGAAGTGGATAATCCTGAGGTCACACAATCTGTCCTCCCAGAAATGAACAAAAGTCATCACCTTTTCTGCTTGCTACACAGGCAACGATTCCCCCATCAGCTGCCCGGACCCTTTGGCCTGGCTTGGTGTGCAGGCCTGTCTGTTTGCTTAAAGTCAGTGGGTTCTGGTGCAGGGAGTGAGAAGTGGGGGAAGTGAAAGGGAAAGCATCCGTGAGAAAGCGGCCACGGTTTTCCCTCCTTGTGTGCCCATGGGGCACCAGCTCATGGTCTTTTTCAGTCATCCCAGTTTGTACAGACTTAGCTTCTGAACTCTAAGAATGCCAAAGGGACCGACGAGACTCCCCATCACAGCGAGCTCTGTCCTTACATGTATTTGATGTGCATCAGCGGAGGAGAACACTGGCTTGGCCCTGCTCCGCTGAGTGTCTGTGAAATACCTCTACTTTCCCTCCCATATCCAGAACAAAATGATACTTGACATCCTTCCACAAAAGTCAGCCTAAAGAAGTTATGGTATCATATGTTAAACTAAGCTTTCAAAAACCTTAGTGAAATAGCAAGTGACTGCTTTCAAGCAGCAGTCGACATGTAAATGAAGGTGTTCTTAGAATTCGCATTTTGCCAGCTCAGCGCACCTCCACAACGAATGAAATGCTCCGTATGATTTGCACAAATGACATAGACCTCCCCAAAAGTTAACTGGCTCTCCTTCCTCACACAGTTCATCATAACCCAACCCCCCACCCCCGGGTCATGAAAATCACAGAACTTATAAACACATTGAACCCTAGATCTCAGGCTTCCTGACCTACCGCCAGTGGCCCCTTGCTGGCCACCCTATAGGGTCCTCCTTCCCTGGCAGCCCCCCATGTGGGAGAAATACCTGATTCTCCCAATCTGCAGTGGGAGAGCTTTGCTGAATTCCATCCCAAAGTCAAACATGGGCAAGAGGTGAGGATTTCACTTTTACCCTCAAGTCCGATTTGTCTGTGATTTTAAACTAACTGTGTATGTATTGATGTTTGGAAGATTGTTTGAATTTTAAAGTGATAATAGTACTTAATGTTATCCAGTATTGTTCATTAAATGGTGTTATCCTAAAGCTGCACTTGGGATTTTTACCTAACGCTTTACTGATTCTCTCAAGCACATGGCAAAGTTTGATTTGCACTCCGTTCATTTCTGACACGTTTTGCTGCCTCCTACCTTTCTAAGCGTCATGCAAATTCGAGAATGGAGAAGGACGCTGCCGGTCCCTGAGCGGTGTGGAGAGGGCGGAAGGTGGACTCCAGCGCAGCTTGAGGGGCTGAGGACGGAGGCTGCAGCATCTGTGTCGTTCTACTGAGCACGCTTCTCTGCCTCGCTCCTGACTCAGCACTTTGTTCACTGGCTCAGCAGTTATGTTTACACATCATTTTTATGTTCCTGCTTTGTAATTCATGTTTGAGATGGGTGGCCACTGTACAGATATTTATTACGCTTTCCAGACTTTCTGAATAGATTTTTTTGAATAAACATGGTTTTATGAAGTGTAATCTTTTTCTAGCCTAACAATAACCTTTGGACTTTCTGTGTTGTTACCAATAACAGTCTGGATAGCTCCCCACTCCTCTGGCCCCTCCCGCTGGCTTCAGGTCATGACCACCTCTGCTGCTACCATATGACTCCTCATGGGGAGGTGAAGCAGCATCACGACCACTCCAACTCAGAGCCCTGTGCGTGGGTGTGTGCAGGTGGGTGAGCTCATGCATATGTGTGTATGTACATATGTGTAGGTGCACATGTGTGCGTGTGTAAGTGGGTGAGTTCATGCATGTGTATGCACGTGTGTGTGTGTGCTTGTGTGTGCACATGTGCGCATGTGTAGGCGGGTGAGTTCATGAGTGTGTACACATGTATGCTTATGTGTGTGTGCACAGGTGTGTGGGTGGGTGAGTTCATGCATATGCATGTGTGTACGTGTGTGCTTATGTGTGTATATGTGGAAGTATGATTTCATGCATGTGTATACATGCATAAACGTGCATGAGAGCACATATGCACATGTGAACATATGGATGTATGTTTATCTGTGTGTGCATTAGGGCCTGTGTGTGTGTGTGGGGGATGCACCCCTGAGAGGAGCCCAGCTGTGTGATGGATCTGGGGCTGGCAGGAGACAGTGGACGGTCATCTTGTGCAGCAAAGCAGGTGCCCAGCACATGGCCCTGGGAATAGGATTTTTACCTCACTGTGTCTCCTGTGCTTTGCCACCTGGCCTCAGCATGCCCATCCCTTCTTAATACAGACATAAAGCCAGTCTGCACTGTTGGTCCTTGGCTCTCCAACCTAATTTCTTCTTCCTATTTGGTAAATTCCTAACCAGCATGTGTCAGCAAGCAGCACACACACACACACACAAAACACCATACTGACACAGGCACACACACACACCTTTGCTCCTGTAGTAGGATGCCCCATTTTCTGAGCTGCTCTCCCAGCAGGGTGAAGGGGGCCTTGCTGAAATCTGTGAGACTCACTGTGTAGGCAGGAGCCCTGGATCCCACTGAGGAAATTGCAGGACAAACAATAGATGCAGAAGAAATCCTGCCTCCTGCTGTACCCAGAAGTGCCCAAAAAATGCCTACTGAAAGAGGCATCATTTGAAAAAAATGCCTCTTACATCCTCTGTGTATCATTTTCTATATCTGCCATAGCAAATCTAAAACAGCAGCATATTCTACTGTCTTACAGCTCTGTGGGTCACACGTCCAAGACAGGGCTCTCTGAACTAAAACCGGTATGTGGGCAGGGCTGCCTCCTTCCAGAGGCTCTCAGGGAGAATCCGATTTTCTTCCAGCTTCCAGAGGCCATCTGCGCTTGGTGGCTCGTGGTCCCTCCCTCCCTCCTGCAAATTCAGCAGTGGCAGGTGGAGTTCTCACACCCTCTCCTCCGCCCAGCCCTCCTGCCTCCCTCTTCCAATTCTAAGCCCTGTGAGCACACTGGCCCACCAGGATATTTGGGAAACTCTCCCTATTTTAAGGTGGTCTGATTAGCACCCTGAATTCCACCAGCAACCTCAGTTCCCCTTTGTCACAGCTTCCAGGGATTAGGACGTGGACTTTGGTGGGGGGGATGGATTATCCCGCCTGCCGCATACATGTAGTTGAGCGTGGCTCTGCGTACACTTGTCCACCTGCACATATTTTTTTGGTTGGGGAAGACAAGCTGTCCAGACTGAAGTAAGTCTCTGAGGCTTGGCCCTACTTGCAGGCTCACGGATGCTGGATGAAGGCACAAGACTTCTAGGTCACAGACCTAGCAAACAGCTAGGCCCAGCAAACAGCATGGGCCCCGCACACATCGGTCCCTGTGGGCCCCAAGCCTTATGGGTTGGTGGACAGTGGCCCAGGTGGACATGCTGCACACGTTGAATTTGCATCACAGATGAGGACCCTGACTTAGGAAACCCTAATTGTTCATGGAGGGATGCAGGCAAACCCACCCCCCATTGCCCTGGAAGGGGACACCCGATTACAGTGGACAGGAAGACGCCTGCCCTTGGCCACAGAGAGAGATGCTGCCTCTGCCTCCCAGGGCTGTCTACTACACAAATGTCCTTGGAAAGACAGTTCAGAGCCAAAGCAGCTAGAGACCGCAGAAAGGCAAGAGACCCATGGAGAATTGCCTCCCAGTGGCTCAGTGTTGTAACGCTGGACCCCAAATGCTGAACTGAATATCGTCTAAGAATCCACTGACAGGCCTGGAGAGGAGAGTTGGACTCACACTTGGGCTGTCACCTTTATCTGTGGAGAAACTCAGCTTAATGCTCAATCTCAGATGCATCTGAGGACATAAAGATATTTTTATAGAACTTAAAAGAATCCCCCATACACCTATCATATGTATAATGATAGATATAGATCTGTCATCCTTACATGGATGGAGGTACATATATGTACCTATATGTACATATGATAGGTATAGATATAAATTATAGACATATAATATATAGATATATATGTATTTGTTGTTGTTCTCAAAATTCAGCTAATTACTTGTCCTGATTAATGCCAATCTGGGACATTAGCAGTATTTGCAGAAAACAAGCGGGGCTTATAAAGGAGCCAGGGAGCCCTGACTCCCACTTCCCAATGCAGCCCCGCGGGCTGTGAGTGAAAATTACTGCTTCCCCCAAATTTAGGGCTCAACACATTCTTGACATTGTATCTGGCCCACGACCTTTCAGGTACAATAACTGTGTCTTGTTTGTACAGGTGGATCTGAATGCAGCCCATAGCCCTGGAGATCTGGAGCTAGCTCTGCCACCCAGTGTGGCACGGGTCCTGGAGCTGGCTCTGCCGCCCTGCATGGCGCATATGCTAGAGCTGGCTCTGTCCTGTAGTTCTGCCTGCTTAGGCCTCATAGGGATGAAGGTGCCTCCCTCCAAGTGAGGACAACAGGTTACACACCTGCCACGTGAAGCTGTCATCTGAGGACAGCTTCCTCGGGCCGAGCACTCTGAGCGCTCTCTGCAATTTGCATCGGCCTCTTTGGCTGCGGACTTCAGCACTGCCCAGGGCTCTCCATAGCCGGCGCAGCCACACTGTGGGTGTGAGAGGCGGTCACTGCTGGAACCTGAGCACCTGCTTGCAAATAACGGGTGCTCAGAAAACATGCTGCCTTGCAGAAAACACCAGGATATTCTGGCACACATTTGTCTGGGGATGTCAGCCTGTGACTCCAGGTGAGGGGGCCATTCTCAGATGGTTAAACGTCAATATGGACAGTCTGGACACCCCAGGATCAGTCTGATGGGTTTCCGAGACTCTTCAAGGATGGTCAAGCAGCCCTAGAGATGGACAGTGGGACGCCAAGGGCCTCCTGGGGGGCAATCATGTGTCCCTTTGATCAGACCTGCCCAAGGCCCTTAAATCCCCTCTTCCTCCGGGCCCCTTTCTGTCTTCCAGATCACGTGCCAACATCCTCCCCGGTGCAGGAATAGTCAGAGAAGAGAGCCTCGAAAACCCCTGCCTCTCTCCCCATCACCACCTCAGCTTGACCTTCCTGCGGTGTCCAGCGATCTCCTCTTCAATCAGCCCCGTGCTTTCTACCTCATTACTTTTCGACCTTATTACCTTTCTACCTCATTACCTACAAGTGTGATGAGAAAAGTCCAACCTTGAAAACAGCGGGCTCTGAGAGTGCCAAGCTGGAACACCACACACTCTGCCTCCACCCTGTCACTCACCACCACCAGCCCCAGGTCTCACCCGTGTCAGTCCACTAAGCCCCTCCCCTTCACCACTCTGCAGGGAGGGCCAGGCACACTGAGCACTCCCGGACCAGGCCCAGGGGCCCTCCTGAGCCTGACAACCTCCTTGTGTCAATTGTAGGAGGTTTATGGAGCCCACACTTGCCACTGTCATTACCAGTTTGTCACCAGCAAGGACCATCGGGGGAGTAGCTGGCTCAGGCCACATCAGCTCGGCGTGATCTGCTGCTCAGATCTCTAGGGAAGCCAGCTCAGGGGGTGAGGGTGGGAGGGCGGAAGGCTGGATCTTCACAATAAGGGGCCAGGGCAGGGCCAAGCACCATTTATGGGCACTGCCACTGCCAAGATGCTGGGGTTGCGGATTTCAGGTTTCAGCTGTGGCACAAATGGACAGTGTGTGAGCCTTGTTCACTGACCCTGCTGCCTTTACCTCTGCTACTCCCAGGGCCCAAAAGCACCGGTGTCAAAGACAAGCCAGGGGTCCCTGGTGACCCTTGTGGGGCCTTTAAGGTGAGGAGCTGGAGGTGCAGAGGAGAGTGTAAAAGACTAAAAGGGTGGAGCGTGTACCCCCAGCACGTGTCCGTACAACAGACTGATTGTGCAGATCTCTGCTTCTGAGTTTAGCCTTAGAATGATCTGGTGTTAATTCTCACCGCAACCTCCACCTCTCGGGTTCAAGTGATTCTCCTGCCTCAGTCTCCCAAGTAGCTGGGATTATAGGTGCCTGCCACCATGTCTGGCTGATTTTTGTGTTTTAGTAGAGATGGGGTTTCACCATGTTGTCCAGGCTGGTCTCGAACTCCTGACCTCAGGTGATCCACCCGCCTCGGCCTCCCAAAGTGCTGGGATTACAGGCATGAGCCACTGTGCCCGGCCTAATTCTAGATTTATCTGGACTCTTAAGTCATGTTTCATTTATACTTTTTCCACTTAATTTTATGAATATGAAGCTTCATAAAATAATGCAAAAATTAATGCAAGCCAGACATTAATTTATACAATATCACCACGAGCCCAACAGTCTCACACATTCTACTGCATTTGGCACCCATCTGACATTGAGTTTTCTTCAGCTTCCTCTTTCAGCATGACAGTAATTAAATTATCTATTTTGTACCAAGTATTTATAAAGCTGGAAACTAGATATGCACCTGAAACTATAATTCATTTTGTAAGTATTGGAATTAACTCCAGTTCTGCACCTGAAACTATAATTCATTTTGTAGTATTGGAATTAACTCCAGATCTGCACTTGACTTCAGCACTGACTCAGTTTCTTTGTCCAGTCTCTCCTAAGAACAGAATGCCCCTCAGTATCCGCTGTAAGAAGCACAGTGACTGAGTTAACTACTCGTGCCCTTGTGGGCCATCTACTGATTCATGGTAGGTGCGGCCCTAGTCACAGAAAGGAGCGTTTTAGCAAGGCTCCTGCGTGATTCTGATAGGATTGCCCAAACACAGCACCTGCCCAGTGAAACGCCATCTGCTACGGACTGAATGTTTGTGCCCACCACCAAGTTTGTACGTTGAAATCCTCACCCCCAAAGGAATGGTATTAAGGGGTGGGGCCTTCGAGGAGTGATTAGATCATGAGGATGGCATCTTCATGAATGGGATTAGTGACCCGATAGGAGAGAAAGAGACTGAAGCTCATTCTACTCTCTACCATGTGAAGATACTGCTAGCAGTCAGCAGTGTGAAACCAGGAAGAGGGCCATCACCAAGACCCAAACATGAGGGTGTCTTGATCTCGGACTTCCAGTCTCCAGAACTGTGAGAAATCAGTGTTCTCCTAGATGCCTCCAGGGAACATGGGCAAGAGTCTGACCCACTGGCCGGGTGCCCCATCGCCTGCCAGCCCCCTTCCCATCATATCAACGGGTGTGTCACTGCTTTTCAATCCAGCTCCACACCCAGTAATCTGTCCTCAATTCTCCACATTTCCCTGAAGATGTGTTGCTTTCTCATATCAATTTCTATATTAGTTACGGTTCCTTGGTTACAAGCAATAGAAAGTAACTATCCTAATCAAACAAACGAAATGTATTACAAAGTAAAGTAGTTAAGATTAAGTTTCAGGGGTGAAGAAAGATTGGTTAATAGGCACAAACATGCAGTTAGGTAGAAGGAATAAGTTCTAATGTTCAATAGCAGAATACAGTGACTATAGTTATCAACAGTGTATTGTATGTTTCAAAATAGCTAGAAGACTTGAGACGTTCCCAACATATAGAAATAATAAATACTGCAGGTGATGGATACCCTAAATCCTCTGACTTGGTCATAACACATTCTGTGCATGCAACAAAACACCACACCTACCCCATAAGTGTGTATGAATATGTATCAGTAAAAACATGGAAACAACCCAGATATCCACCAGTGGATTCATGGAGAAACAAAATGTGCTATCCATGCAATGGAATATTATTCAGCCACAAAAATAAACGGAGTGCTGATAAATGCTCCAACATAGGTGAGCCTTGAAACACTACACAGTGAAGGAAGCCAGACACAAAGGCCACATGTGGTGTGATTCATTTACATAAAATGTCCAGGACAGCAAATCCACAGAGACAGAAAGCAGATTGGTGGTTGCCAAGGAGAACATTAGTGGAGAGGGAATAGATAGTGACTGATAATGGGTGTAAAGTGTTTTTTTTGGTGGGGGTGCCAAAAATGTTCAAAAATTAGAATGTGATGATGGTCACACACCCTGTAAACATACTGAAGGTGGTACATTTCAAATGGGTAAATTGTATGGTATGTGAATTATATCTCCATAAAACGATTAACCATTCCCTGAAAAAAGATTAGGTTTCACTGTGAGCAGCAGGAAGCCCAAAGTGACAGCAGCCTTCTGAGGTCTAAGTTTGTAGATCTCTCAGGCGAGCCTCAGGGCAGGCTGGATGGCAGCCCAGCTCCTCTGAGCCCTCCCGGTCCCAAAGGACCTCTAACTCACAGGCCTCATCTTCATGCTTCCAGATGCCAGCATCTGCATTCCGGAAAGCCTGCTGGATGAGGCGACAAAGGAAGGTGAAAGAAAGGGTGTGGAGCAGCTAACTCTAAGAATGGTTCCTGAGAGAGAGAGAGAGAGAGAGAGAGAGAGAGAGAGAGAGAGAGAGAGAGGGAGGGGGAGGGGGAGGGGGAGGGGGAGGGGGAGGGGGAGGGGGAGGGGGAGGGGGAGAGGGAGAGGGAGAGGGAGAGGGAGAGGGAGAGAGAGTCATCTCATGGGGCCACCTTTGTATATGCAGTCAGTCACTGACCGAAACATTGTGTCGTGCATGACTGTATATATCTATATCTATACAGATAGACAGATAGATAGATAGATAGATAGATGCATATACAATGGTGGTCCTATAGGATGACAATACCATATCATATTTTTACTGTACCTTTTCTATGTTTAGATATGTCTAGATACACAAATGCTTATCATTGTGTTACAGTTGCCTACAGTATTCAGCACAGTACCATGCTGCTTAGGTTTGTAGCCTGGGAGCAATAGGCTACACCATAGAGCCTAAGTACACAATGGGCTATACCATCTAGGTTTGTGTAAATGCACTCTCTAATGTCGACACAGTGATGAAATTACCAGAACGTGTTTCCATCATTCAGTGATGCATGAAAGAGAGAGAGTGTGTGTGTGTAGCTAACGCAGTTAGACTGTGTTTAGCTTGCAGAAAGTGAGGCAATTTGGCTGTTATCTGGGCCTGATATTTTCACACCAAATCATACATGCCAGCAGATACATGGCAAGGTCCCGGGCAGCTTGGTCATTTTAAAGGACCTCAGAATTTCTTCCACCGTAACTCCATTTACTCTCAACAGCCTCCCACTCAGATACCTGGTGCTAAGTACTGTCATCAGGTTTCAGTGCCGTTTTGGTCAGAGATGTCCAACAGACAAATCCTGCGTAATCCTTTCCATTTCAGCTCAGACATTATTACCTCCATACAATCCGGACTGCCCTTTATACAGCCTCATACCGGATCGAGGAAGAGACTGAAGTGAAATTGTTCTTGTGTGCGCCTCTCTCCCCCTAGCCTGGAGCACCCCTGAGAGTTGCAATCCTTTTCTTCTTTCTATGCCTGGCCCGGTGCTGGGCACAAATCATTATTTGTAAATGAGTGAATAGGTGGGGACTGGGCTGGAATTTACGAGTTCCCTGTTCAGCGTCCACTACGCATGTGGCCATTCAAAATTCTACATGGGGCCTCGGGTGGCTGGGGTGGCCTTGTTGAACGTGGCCTGTTAACTATATAAATTCACCTCTTTATTTTTTTTTTTTAATTGAGACGGAGTCTCGTTCTGTCGCCCAGCCTGGAGTGCAGCGGCACAATCTCAGCTCACTGCGACCTCCTCCTCCCGGGTTCAAGTGATTCTCCTGCCTCAGCCTCCTGAGTAGCTGGGATTACAGGCGCGTGCCACCACACCTGGCTAATTTTTGTATTGTTTAGTAGAGATGGGATTTCACCATGTTGGCCAGGCTGGTCTTGAACTCCTGACCTCAGGTGATCCGCCCTCCTTGGCCTCCCAAAGTGCTGGGATTACAGGCGTGAACCACCACCCCGGCATAAATTCATCTCTTTTCCTTCTGGAAACTTCACTACGTTGCGGGACAAGTAAGTTCTGTGTGTTTGCAATTGTTACAAAATGCCAGCAGAGGGCAGTGCTTGTACAGCTAGACCTGCAGGCCATGCAGAACGCGCTCAGCCCTGCAGCTCTGGGAGCCCTCTCAGGACCCGTGCACTGCGATGGCCAGAGCCCCCATGGGTCACCGGTCAGACAGGGTCCTGCCACTGGCTCCTCATACAGCCCAGGGCAAGCGATTGCCAACCTGAAGTTCACAACAGGACCAGGAGTCCGTGGGCTCCATCAGTATTAAGAAAAGCTGATGAAGGCCAGGCGCTGTAGCTCACATCTGTAATCCCAGCACTTTGGGAGGCCAAGGCAGGCAGGTCACTTGAGGTCAGGAGTTCGAGACCAGCCTGGCTACCATGCTGAAACCCTATCTCTAATAAAAATACAAAAAAAGCCGGGCATAGTGGTGGGTGCCTGTAATCCCAGCTACGCGGGAGGCTGAGGCAGGAGAATCACCTGAACCCGGGAGGCAGAGGTTACAGTGAGCTGAGATCACACCACTGCACTCCAGCCTGGGTGACAGAGCCAGACTCTGTCTTCAAAATAAAAAAGAAAGAAAGGAAGAAAAGTTGATGAGAATCATAAGTTCACACACCGTAAACCTGCAGAGGTGAAAAGTCATGTCTATTTGAGTTTTGTTTGGTTTTATATTAACCCAGTATACTAACACTGGATGTCTCACATGAAGGAGAAATTTAAATGTCTCCTTTAAACTGTCCTCTTTAGAGGGGACAAACATGTTACATAATAAATACTTCCTTATAAGACAAAGTCTTTATATAACAGGTCTGTTAGGAAAAAACTTAACTTTACAAAGGATCTTCAAGGGTGAAAGTGGTTGTGAATCAGTGACTCGGGTAATAAGAAGAGAGTCTTAGGCAATGTGTCTGAAATGAAGCCCAGCAGCTGTATTTCACAGCATCACGTAAGACTCTGTCGATCCACTCTTATTTTTTTTTTTTTTTTTTTTTGAGACGGAGTCTCCCTGTCACCCAGGCTGGAGTGCAGTGGCGCAATCTCGGCTCACTGCAAGCTCCGCCTCCTGGGTTCACGCCATTCTCCTGCCTCAGCCTCCCGAGTAGCTGGGACTACAGGCGCCTGCCACCACGCCCGGCTAATTTTTTGTATTTTTAGTAGAGATGGGGTTTCACCGTGTTAGCCAGGATGGTCTCGATCTCCCGACCTCGTGATCTGCCCGCCTCGGCCTCTCACAGGGATTACAGGCGTGAGCCGCGTGCCCGGCCTGAAGAAGCACTATTTAATACCACCTGCAGCGCAAAGGTGACTGAAAACAAGAAAGTGCTGTCTCTAGCTGGGGCTTCCTCGAGCTTCTGCCCGCTGTGCGCTGCACGTTGCCACCTGGATGTGAGACAGCACTTCACACCGGCCCTTCCAATCCTGCGTCCACATCTTCACCCAACCTCCGCCTGGACATGCTACTGCTCCTTCATTCCCTAACTCCGCTGAGACATTCCCATACATGCCATTTGCAAGTGATAAATCCCAAGATCCTGGGGTCCGAAGCTTCCGTCTTACCCCCCAGCACACCGTCAGCGGTCAGATCCTAACAGGTGTTCCCCTGCAGAGTTCTTGACTGTGCGCTTTTTCCCCATTCCCATCACCTCCAGCTTGTCTCTGCAATCGACACGTCTCATCCAGGCAATTGTAGTAACCTCTTGGCTGGCATCTTGCCACCACGTTGCCTCTCTCAATCTCTTCACATAGCAGCTTAAAATTCTGTCAGAAAATAATTGTGCCCGTATCACCTGACTATGTTAAACAACAACAACAACTTCAGCAGCTCTTGTTCTTCAAGAGAAAAATCGAAAACTCTGGGCTCTTTGGTCCAGCATACAAAGCCCCTGTGACCTTGGCCACATCAGCTCTCTTTGGTGAATCTCTAGGCACACCCACCTTAAAGGTATGCTCTCACGCTGTGCTGTCTGACTTGCTAGCCACTAGCCATATTTGGTATTTAAACTACTTACAATTTAAATTACTTGAAATTCAATAGAATTTAAATTTTAATTGTGTGGCCACACTCTCCACATTTCAAATGCTCGATAAGCAGGCTGCTGGTACATGAAAGTCCACAAGCAGGAGCTTCTGGACATTGGCAGCTAGACCTGCTTCAGCCACCCTGGTCACAGCGATCATCCTGCTCCCTGGCTTGCAGAGGTGGCTCGATGTGGCTACCACCTCCCTGCAAGTCTCACATGGATAGCTGCTCAGGAAAGCTCAAGTCACAGGGGAAATTAATGCTTCAAGGAAGTTTGAGATTCCAGCTTTCAAATAGCTTGAGTACAAAAAACCCATCTGTCCTATCCACCACACTCCAGCCTGCAGCCGCTCAAAGTCTCCACACAACTTTCTTCCTATTGTTCACCTCCAAAGTAACAGTGATGGCAGCCATGACATCCCCACCCAAATAACACAGCTGCTCTTCACAAACAATGAAAACATGCACATCGTCTCCCAAAGACAAAACCCAAGTCTCACCAGTCTCTCTTTACAGCCCTGGACAATCTTTCTCTTCCAGTCCAGTTCAGACTGAACACCTATAAACCATGAGCAACGCAGGAAGTTGGCCACCATCAGCACAATCTATATAAGGTAACAGGGAAATGGGGGTGGTGGAAGAAATCAGTTCCTCTAAGGCCCAGGATGAAAATGTGAATAGCTACTGTCATGGGTTGAATCAAGGTTTCACCCCTCCAAAAAAAATTATCCTGTTGAAGTCCTAACCCCAGTACCTAAAAATGTGACCGTCTTTGGAGACAGGGCCTTTACTAAGGTAATCAAGTGATGATGAGGTCATTGGGGTGGGGGGACCTAATCCAGCATGACTGGTGTTCTTATGGAAAGGGACATCTGGACACAGAGAGGGACATACACACAGGGAGGACGATGTGAAGAGACACAGGGAAAAGGTGGCCCTCTATAAGCCAAGGAGACAGGCCTCAGGAGAAATGTGCCCTGCCAGCACCTTGATCTTGGCCTTCCAGCCTCCAGGGCTGTGAGAGCAGCCTGCTGTTTAAGCTGCCCACCTGTGGGACTTTGTGATGGCAGCTGCAGGAAGCCAACACAGCTGGCACAGCCCTCAGCCCCTGTGCAGGTCCCTGTACCCGTGATGTTCCCAGCTGCCCCTCTCACACCGTCCTCGAACCTGGCCCCAGAGCTGCTTGGGAATCTTTGTCTGTATTTCCCTGTGGTCCCAGAAGGTGGAGGGCCCCTGCCCTTGGGTTGCTGCTGTCTTCTGTTAATGTTTCCCCACTGGGCTGGTGGTGCGGGGGTGCTTCCTCCCTGCCGCATGGAGGAACAGTGCCCTGACATCCCCCTTGCCAGTCAGGAGAGGCCGCCCCATGGTGTGGCCCCTGCCTGTGATGGCACAGTCTTGAGAGCCAGGGTGGCGGAACAGCATTGGTGTCCCTAGGGGAAGCATTCCCCCAGCAGGGCCCCGGAGCACAGAGAAAGGAAATAGTTTCTTGGCAAGTTGTTGGGTATCAATGTGAGTAATTCCACTATCACGTACAGTCCTTCAATCTCCACTTGTAGAGTCTGCAAGGGGAGAAAAGGCACCAGATAGTACAGTGGCTCAGAGCATGCACTGCTCAACCAGGATGCACCCCAGTCCCACCAGGGCTGTGAGGACCCCTCAGTAGGCCGCATCTCATTCTAAAGAGGCACAGTTCCTGAACATGGTGAGACCCATGAATCCTGGAAGTATCAGCCCATTCATTCCCTTGCTCCAGGTTTGGGCAGTTGGGACGAAGTAGCACATAAGGGGTGGCTTAAACAGCACACATGGACTCCTTGCCATCCTGGAGGCTGGAAGTCCAAGCTCATGGTGCCAGCAAATGTAGGTCCTGGTGAGGGACATCTTCCTGGCTTGAAGAGCCACCTTCTCACTGTGTCCTCCTATGGCAGAGAGAGATGGCTGTAGGAAGAGGTTTCTCTTCCTTTTCTACAAGGGCACTAGTCCCATCATGGGGCCCCACCCATATGATCTCATCTAAACCTAACCCTCCCCAAAAAGGCCCCACCTCCAGACACCATCACGCAGGGGGCCAGGTCTTCAGCACATGAATTTTGGGAGGACCCAGATACTCAGCACATAACACGTTGCTGTGAGGTTCCTGGTCAGAAACAATACTGTGTGATTACCATGTGGAGAAGCACCGAGTTAACCCACAGGTGTTACTGGAGCAGAAGCAGCATGTGGTCCACATACTGGGGTCCACACATGTACAGAGCTCTCTCCAGACCAGACCAGGCCTGGGGGACCCTCCTACTCATCCAGTCAGCGAGGGCCCCTTCCTTGCTGAGGCCACAGGGAAAGTGCAGTGGGAGGTTCTCCAGGGGCCTGGGCACCTGCTTACACAGCACACACCTGTGCTTGCCCCTCACCCCCACCCCCGCCCCCACCCCCGCCCCCAGCCACTGGATATCACCTATCCACTTCCGCCTCCTGAGGGACACCTGCTGGATATCACCTATCCACTTCCGCCTCCTGAGGGACCCCTGCTGGATATCACCTATCCACTTCCGCCTCCTGAGGGACCCCTGCTGGATATCACCTATCCACTTCCGCCTCCTGAGGGACCCCTGCTGGATATCACCTATCCACTTCTGCCTCCTGAGGGACCCCTGCTGGATATCACCTATCCACTTCTGCCTCCTGAGGGACCCCTGCTGGATATCACCTATCCACTTCCGCCTCCTGAGGGACCCCTGCTGGATATCACCTATCCACTTCTGCCTCCTGAGGGACCCCTGCTGGGTACATCAGCTCGTTGGCTGGGCGAGTCCGAGAGCAGCATTTTGTGAAGGGCAGGCAGGACACTGGGGTCCCCGGACCAGGCATTTAGTCTTCCAGGGCCCAGGAGAAATACATTTCTCAAAAAGAAAACAGCTGTTTGCCTAAAGGGCATGATTTTCCAAAATCTCAGAGGCTGACCATGTGGTTCCCATATTGGAGCTGGTCGTGGATGCTGGTGCCTCCACCATGCAGACGCTTCAAGCTTCCTTGTCCTTGCAGGTGACAGAGTTGCTCCAAGCTCAAGTTTTAGCCGAACCCTCATACTAGCCTCCCTCCCTGAGGCTACTAGGACATGCGGGGCCCTTTGTTCTGCTGCCTCCTCTGCCTGGAGCACCTTTCCCATGCCTCTGCCTCTGCTCCTGATTTAGATGTCACCTCCTCAGAGAGGTGCCCTGATTATCCTGTCCACAAGAGCGACCTCACCCACCATCAAAGGTCGGCTCCCTCCCAGCTCTCTGCCACTGGCCCTTCTGTCATTAGCATAATTTTGGATGCAGTAATTCTCTCTCTCTCCCTCCCTTTCTTCCCCCACCCACCTCCCTCTCTTTTAGCCTATTTCTCCAGTTGGAATGTGAGCACTGCAGATGGCTTATCTGTTTGTGTTTTCTTGAACTCCAGATACACTCAGGCAACGGGCAGGCCCTTGGCAGGGCTGTGGGCTGGATGAAAGGCGGCGCGATTGGCCATGAGTGAGAAAACACAGACACGCGTGTGAGCCACATGAAAGGTCTGAGCTGAGCTGGACTTCTTAGGAAAAACTTCCTCCTCCTCTTGCTCCCACCTCTCCCACCTCAAAAAACCACTGGAAAACTTGAATTTCCACACACAGGACTGGCAGGGCATGAAAGTAGAAAAATGTATACACTTCGGCAGTCACAGGTTAAAACTGTGGATCCAGCTGGGCGTGGGGGCTCATGCCTGTAATCCCAGCACTTTGGGAGGCTGAGGTGGGCAGATCACGAGGTCTGGAGTTCGAGACCAGCCTGGCCAACATAGTGAAACCCCGTGTCTACTAAAAAGACAAAAAAAAAAATTAGCCAGGCATGGTGGCGGGCACCTGTAATCTCAGCTACTCAGGAGGCTGAGGCAGGAGAATCGCTTGAACCGGGAGGCGGAGGTTGCAGTGAGCCAAGATCACACCATTGCATTCCAGCCCGGGTGACAGTGCGAGACTCCGTCTAGAAAAAAAAAAAATTGTGGCTCCAGCCATTATGAACTGTGTGGGGACAAATCAGCATCTTAGGAGCTTGATGACTTGAAACGTGACATGCAGTGAAGGCAAACTTCTTCCTCCTCCTGAGAGATGTCAGGGCTAGGGAGCTGTGAAACGAATGGAACAGAGCCAGTGCCCAGCCAGCCCCAGTTCCCTCTCTCCTTCTGGGGACTTGTTGACAGTATCTCGTTACTATTGCAGGCAATGTCCCCTTCTGCTGAATGATCCAAGGACACCAAACTTTGCCTGATCGACAGGGGAGGCTGCTAAGCTGCACCTGCTCCCTGTAAGAGTGGAGTCAGGCCAAGGCATAGAGGCACACAAATACTAGCTTTCAGACTTGCTAGGACTACGTCCAGTCTCATCACAGCTGTCCACGTGGAAGTCTCTTTGAGGTCAAGCAAACAAATTCAACACAGTCAAACTTTAAACCATTCTGTGGGTGAAAGGTTTCTGAAGAATAGACAGATCTTATTCTGCAGTTTAATGTTTCTGGCTAATCTATGTAATTGTGTTATATAGCGCATTCACCTCAACTATGCCACACTTCAGCAGGCTACTCACTCCCTCTCTCATATCACATTTAGAAATGGGTCCAGAGAGGCCTGGACAACACCCTGAGAATGCAAAGTTTTCCACTCAAGTTCCAACCACTGGGATGGGCGATAGCCCTCTGCTAGGGCTGGTCTAGGTGCTCCCTCCCTGGGTATCAGCTGAATTCTACCTGGTGTTGGCAGTGCGGTGTTCCAAAGCAAAGTCCCACAGATACTGTACTTTCCCAAGCACACAGATTCTCTCTGAACCACAGGGCAGCTGCCAGGGGATAGGGGAAGAGCGGTGTAGACAATTCAAAGCTGTCTTTCCTACTTTTTTACCAATATAAACTTAAAACCAGGTATTGTGAATACTCACCTGATTTTCGGTTCATATAGAGGTGTTTTTTGAGTAGACAGTTGTCAAATTTGGTGTTTCTGTGAGGAAGACAATCAGTGGAGGCTTCTATTCGGCCGTCTTGCCCCATCTCTTCCCCATGGACAGTTTTTTAAATAGTTCAGTACATGCGAGTGAATGCCACTGAGAGGTGACAGCGTGCTGGCAGTCCTCACAGCCTTCGCTCGCTCTCGGCGCCTCCTCTGCCTAGGCTCCCACTTTGGCGGCACTTGAGGAGCCCTTCAGCCCGCCGCTGCACCGCAGGAGCCCCTTCCTGGGCTGGCCGAGGCCGGAGCCGGCTCCCTCAGCTTGCGAGGAGGTGTGGAGGGCGAGGCGCGGGCGGGAACCCGGGCTGCGCGCAGTGCTTGCAGGCCAGCGCAGGTTCCAGGTAGGTGTAGGCTCGGCGGGCCCTGCACTCGGAGCGGCCCGCCCTGCCGGCCCCAGGCAATGAGGCTTAGCACCCGGGCCAGCGGCTGCGGAAGGTGTGCTAAGTCCCCCAGCAGTGCCGGCCCACCGGCGCTGCGCTCGATTTCTCGCCGGGCCTTAGCTGCCTCCCCGCGGGGCAGAGCTCAGGACCTGCAGCCCGCCATGCCTGAGCCTCCCCCCGCCCCCGTAGGCTCCCGTGTGGCCCGAGCCTCCCTGATGAGCGCCGCCCCCTGCTCCACGGCGCCCAGTCCCGTCGACCACCCAAGGGCTGATAAGTGCAGGCGCACGGCGCGGGACTGGCAGGCAGCTCCACCTGCGGCCCCGGTGCAGGATCCACTAAGTGAAGCCAGCTGGGCTCCTGACTAGTGAGGACTTGGAGAAGCTTTATGTCTAGCTAAAGGATTGTAAATACACCAATTGGCACTCTGTATCTGGCTCAAGGTTTGTAAACACACCAATCAGCACCCTGTGTCTAGCTCAAGGTTTGTGAATGCACCAATCCACACTGTATCTAGCTACTCTAGTAAGGACTTGGAGAACCTTTGTGTCGGACACTCTGTATCTAGCTAATCCAGTGGGGAGGTGGAGAACCTTTGTGTCTAGCTCAAGGATTGTAAACGCACCAATCAGCACCCTGTCAAAACAGACCACTCCGCTCTCTGTAAAATGGACCAATCAGCAGGATGTGGGTAAGGCCAGATAAGAGAATAAAAGCAGGCTGCCCGAGCCAGCAGTGGCAACCCGCTCAGGTCCCCTTCCACACTGTAGAAGCTTTGTTCTTTTGCTCTTTCCAATAAACCTTGCTACTGCTCACTCTTTAAGTCCACACTGCCTTTATGAGCTGTAACACTCACCGCGAAGGTTTGCAGCTTCACTCCTGAAGCCAGCGAGACCATGAACCCACCAGGAAGAGCGAACAACTCCAGACACGCCACCTTAAGAGCTGTGACACTCACCGTGAAAGTCTGCAGCTTCACTCCTGAGCCAGGAGTTAACTCTAGCTCAAGAATTTCCTAAAATAAAGGGAAAGGTTCCCAAATACTCAAGAATCAAAACACACAGCAGTGATTCATTTTCTCACCAATGTCACATGGCAGATGGAAGAGCTGATTTAAAAGCTTCATGTCACCCAGGTAGATAGGAGGATTTATTGGCAATTGAAAATGCTGGAATACAAGTCAATAATAATGATTTTACAGATTGTTTCTAACATTAATATATAGGCAGTAGGTTTTCATTGTAATAAACAGCATTATGTAGAATAGCTACAATTACACCCTGCCGGGCATGGTGGCTCACGCCTGTAATCCCAGCACTTTGGGAGGCTGAGGTAGGTGGATCACTTGAGGTCAGGAGTTCGAGACCAGCCTGGCCAATGTGGTGAATCCCCATCTCTACTAAAAATACAAAATTAGCCGGATTTGGTGGTGCATGCCTGTAATCCCAGCTACTTGGGAGGCTGAGGCAGGAGAATCGCTTGAACCTGGGAGGCGGAGGTTGCACTGAGCCGAGACCATGACATTGCACTCCAGCCTGGGCGACAAGAGCGAAACTCTGTCTCAAAAAAAAAAAAAAATTACACCCCAAAATCTAAGACATGTTTTTCGATTTATGCAGTCACTTTTTAATTCAATGTTATTACAACTCAATTGAAACAAGTAGGTGAACTGAGGTAACTTGAAGTGATGTAGCTTTGAAAGGGATGTTTTTGCTTCAAAGTGAATCAGTTCTTACAAAGATGAACCCATTTTGTCAAGGTGAATATAAATGTTAAATGAACATAATTTTTTGGCAGTCAATTCAGCTTTGGAAAACTTTTCAGTATATCTGGAACAACTTGGGTATCTGATATACTTTTAAAACCTGTAATTTTTGAAATTCAAATATAGATCAAGTATTGCCAATGAAATTTAGCACCTGAATTGAGATGAATCATAATTGCAAAATGCACATCAGGTTTTGAAAACTTAGCACGAAAAGAGGAAAAGAAAATATTTCAATAATAACTTCTATATTGATGACATGGTGCAATAATATTTTGGATATAGTGGGCTAAATAGAATATATCATTAAAATCAATTTGACCTTTTAAAAACATGTTTAATGTGTCTACTAAAAACGTGAAGTTCCAGCGTGGCTCCCATTATAATCCTGTTGGACATATTTGGGCTCAGAACCTGATGCTTCAAAGTATGCACTTTTGCATGCTGGGAACTTTAAAGGAGATTGGAAGGGCCCAGAAACAAGGTCCTCCTGTCTCATGGCCCTCTCTTTCCTGCAAAGCAAGCCATAAAACCTGGAATGGTCCCTCTCTCCCTTCTCCGTTGAAGACCCTTATTCCAGAGGGGTCCTGCCCAATACCCAGGAGGAAGGAGGTCCTGAAAAATCTGACACACACACCTTGCTGGGGTTCCCCACTCAGTTTATGACCGTTACCCTTACGTTCCATCACATCTCTACTGGCTATCCTTTCTCCATCAAACCTAAGCATAAAAATACAGTTTCCCCAGATCTTTGGGTCTTTATTTCTGAAAGCTCCTGTGTCACATAAAACTTTGGTTGCGTGCATTTGTGAGGCTTTTCTCTTGTTAACGTGTCTTTTGTTACGAGGTGTTGGCCATGACCCTAATGATGAGTGGGGGGAAAGCATCACACCTTTCCTCCCCTACTTACAATAAGGATTCAGAGCCCCCTGCTCTTCCTACCAATGGTGGGTGGAGACAGGGGCTCAGTGGTCCCATCAAATGTTCCACTGGCTGGATAGGTTAGGTTACTTTCCCATAGTTTGCTTTCACTAGTTTCTGTTATTTCTCATTTATTTCCTGTAAACTGAAGGATAGAGTTAAAGATTTGATTAGATTCAGGCTCAAGATTTCCCACAGGAATACCCCTCAGTGGGGCTGCTGGCTTCACAACATCCTCCCGGCTGGCACCTGGAGCTGGCCCCCTTCCCTTAGTGAGGCTAAGGTCCAGTGGATCCCTCCTTGTGAATCTGCATTTTCCCCTTGAGGACCAACAAATCACCCCGGGCATTATACCAACTGCCTGGTGCCTGTCTGCATTTCTATTAACCATGGACTGAATGCTTTCAGCATCCCTCAATGATTTTTGTCTGAAGCAGTAACTTCACTTGGGATGGCAAAGTGGTGTTCTTTTCATTCTACTATTCTTTCACATTTATTATCTGGAATTACTCTGAAAAGAAGAGCTTTCCTTCATCACCAGGGCTAGCTGAAATAGTTCATACAGATAAAAGCTCTCTTCCCTTTACTTACCCAAAGAATTAGTGCGCTGATTAAGACAAAAGACTTTGGTGGTGGGGGGAGGGGGATTGTTTTGTTTGCTCTCTTTCTATGTATCTTTTTAAAGGTTTTTTAAAACTGTTAAGTTTTGGGCCGGGCGTGGTGGCGCAAGCCTGTAATCCCAGCACTTTCTGAGGCCGAGGCAGGCGGATCACAAGGTCAGGAGATTGAGACCATCGTGGCTAACACGGTGAAACCCCGCCTCTACTAAAAATACAAAAAAAAAAAAAAATTAGCCGGGCATGGTTGCATGCACCTGTAGTCCTAGCTACTCAGGAGGCTGAGGCAGGAGAATCGCTTGAACCCAGGAGGCGGAGGTTGCAGTTAGCTGAGATCACGCCACTGCACTCCGGCCTGGGCGACAGACCAAGACTCCGTCTCAAAATAATAATAATAATAAACTCTTAAGTTTCTACAGATAGTTTATTGGAATATAATTTGCACCCATTTAAAGTGTCCAATTCGATGGTTCTTTAGCATATTCACAGAGCTGCACAACCCTCACTACAATCAATGTTAGACCATTTTCATCACCCTAGAAGAAAGCAGGTCCCTGTTAACAGCCACTCTCTATTTTCCCCCAAAAGTCCCTGTCCCTGGCAACCACCGACCTATTTCCTGACTCTGGATTTGCCTACCTTGGGCATTTCATGTAAGCAGATCATACAATATGTGAGCAGATCATACATGAGCAGACCACACAATACATGATCCTTCCTGTCCGGCTCCTCTCACTTAGCCCTGTGTTTTCAAGGTCCTTCTATGCTGTAGGAAACACCCCTGCATCCTTCCATGCATGGGTCCATACTTCATTTCTTTCTATTGCTGAATAATATTCCATTGTAGGGATACTTAATCTGTATTTCTCTATTCACCAGTTGGTTCAACATTTGGTTTCTGCCGATCTGATTTTCCCCCAATTCAGTTTTCACCACACACAGAACCAAACGATTGTGTAAGAGAAGCAGATAAGAGGATCTAGAGAGAGCTCATGACGTTTCTGACCTTCTCCAAGGTTAGAAACCAATAGGGATAACATCTCTGCCCTTTACCCTCTAAGAGAATAGATAATGCTTTGAGGGTTAAAGGGTACAACATTTAGAACCTCTCCCTGATAAAACAAACAAACAAACCCATATGTCTGCTTAGTAGCAAAAGAAAGAGAATAGTAGGTAGGAGTTGCCATAAAGTAGAATAAAGGGAAAAAGGGAAATTCATATTTGTCCAATATATGATTGGCAGTATCAGGCCTTTTATGGCGATTATTCCTTTTAATTCTCATAAATACTCAACAACTTATATGATGTGACATTTACTGCTTTCATTTTATAGATTAAAAAATTGAGGCCTAGGGAGTGTTAGTTACTTGCCACATACAGGCAGCTACAAAGCAGTCGAGCTCATCCAGCCTGGGGTGAGGCTCTGAGCCCTCCCATGGCACCCCCCAGCTTGGAAGGCATGGAAGCTGTCGTGGTGCACAGCGGTCGGGGTGCACAGCCATCAGGGCGTACAGCCACCGGAGCCCCTGGGAGGCTTAGTCCCACAAATCCACCTTCCAAACGGGCTCTATGTTCAAAGAAGTTTGGGAGGACCAGGCGCAGTGGCTCACGTCTCTAATCCCAGCACTTTGGGAAGCCGAGACAGGTGGATCACTTGAGACCAGGAGTTCGAGACCAGACCAGCCAACATGGTGAAACCCTGTCTCTACTAAAAATACAAAAAGTAGCTGAGCATAGTGGCACAGGCCTGTAATCCCAGCTACTTGGGAGGCTGAGGCATGACAATCACTTGAACCTGGGAAGCAGATTGCAGTGAGCTGAGATCACGCTATTGCACTCCATCCTGGGTGACAGAGTGAGACTCTGTCTCAATAAAAATTTGGGAAATGCTACATGGTGAGAGTTCCTCTTGCGGTATCACAATTCACATAGCTTAGTAAAGGCTCTCAGAAGAGCTGCAGAAATTAAGTAATTGCCTGATTCAAATAAGTCTCCTAAATACATTTGACCATGAAAACCTCCTCACTATTTCTCCCTGCTCCCAGCTCCTGGGGACAGAGGGGTTGGGTAAGCTGCCTGTATAGTATGTTGAGCACTTTTCCCCTCATGACCAGCAGCGGAGAATCTGTGGGCGACAGTCCAGCACTTGGGATTATCCAGTTCCCGTCAAAGGAGGATTTTGGCTTCTATTGATGATTGCTGCTTGAATCCCTCATTTCAATAGGGATTGCAAAATAGTGATGTTTCCACTTCCTTTGACCCTTTGCCATTTATTTGCTAGCAAGTTACTGAGTTGCTAAACAGAGTAAAGATTCCTTGCCTGCAAAACCATTTCTTTGTGACTTCTCCATCCACAGTGGAAGGACTGAAACCAACCTAAGACAAAAACAGGGAGCAGGAGGGAGCAAAGCTGCTTACTTAACAGCATGTACCAAGCCCTGGGGCAGCATGTGGATTCATTAGAGGTGGGACAGGAAGGGCTTAGCTAAAATATTGTGCATTCATACTTGACTCGTTATATTGGTTTTTGAATCTAGGTGACACTGGTGACTTGGGGTCAAGGGCCCGAGTTTGTTAGCTTATTGGTGTACTACAGTACATTCTTTAAATTACTAAGCAAATGGAATTAATGTGTAACCTAAGAACCAAATAGAGGCAGGTGTTGGGCTGAGAGAAAATTGGGCAACAGGACAGAAACAAAACAATGCATCTTAACATTTACAAAACACTTTTATCCTCCACTAAATAGTTCCTTCTAAATTGCCTTCACCATCGTAACAAACCTGCAGGAAAGACAAACGGGCTATTTATCCCCATTTCCAGAATGAATGAATGAATGAAATAAAGGCAATATGATCAGGAACCGGTGGAATTCAGTGTTTTCACTCACAGAACGACTCCGCTTTTTTCTTTTTTCTTTTTCTTCTTGAGACAGAGTTTTGCTCTGCCGCCCAGTGCAGTGGCATGATCTCCTCTCAATGCAACCTCCGCCTCCTGGATTCAAGCGATTCACCTGCCTCAGCCTCCTGAGTAGCTGGAACTATAGGTGCGCACCACCAATTCCCGGCTAATTTCTGTATTTTTAGTAGAGACAGGGTTTCACCATGTTGGCCAGACTGGTCTTGAACTCCTGACTTCAAGTGATCTGCCCACCTTGACCTCCCAAAGTGCTGGGATTACAGGCATGAGCCACTGCGCCTGGCCTTTTTTTTTTCTTTTTTTTTTTGGTCTATGTTGATAACTGGATGAGAGAAGTTGGTTTATTACAAGTGGAAGCTTTTCTTCAATCATAGGAAGCTGATGGACACTGTAAGATCAAGGAAAGAACAAATGGAGGTAATCAGTTTAGAGACAATCAGCAGCCTCCTTGGAGGAGTGTGGGCCTCGTGAAAAGGTAACACAAGTACTACATGCTGAAATGGAAAAAAAATACATTTTCGTGAGAAAGTGAATGAATTAAAATTAGACTGTTAGAAAAATACTATAGATACATGAAAAAATTCATAACCATGCAGGAAATGCATGACTGCCAACATTTTTAATGACACAGTTTTGATTGAAATTATGGTTAAATTAGTAATACATACATTCTGTTCTTGACAAAAATTGGAAACATTAATCCTAATCAGTGAACACTTAATAACTACCTTCCCCTGAGATAATTACAAAAGAAATAGAAATTCTGCAGAGTATCATTTTCCTTATTCTCTAGAAAGAAATAAAAGCTCTTTAGATAATACGTTTATTATCCCAGGGCACAGAAATCTCTGGCCCAGGGACGAAAACTGAAGTTAAGCAGTTGCCATCACGCATTGCAAATGGCTCTACAGATCAGGAAGGATGAAGATTCCCTTTGTGGACAGGCTGTGCGCTCCCCAGCAAGTCGGCCGGAACCAGTCATGCAGCCCCATGCGGAGGCTCTGCAGAGGGGACCCAGCCCCTTCTACAAGCAGACGCACTGTCATCGCATACACACAGTGTATGTGGACTGCCTGCACAACACTGACCCATAAGGGGTGCTCTGTTAACAGAGGCCAGCTTCCTTCCAAACTGACCAGAAATCTGTCCAAACTCACAGATCCTGTGTCTACAGGGAAGCGCCAAGTGCGGCCTATTCTGATTGTCGTTTCTGAACTTTGATGGGCAGGTGAGATTGGGGCTCACTGCTGGGCCTTTACACTCACTTCCACAAACCTGGGGTTCAGAATAGCCAGTGATGCTTTCATTTGTGCATTCCACACACCGTCCAAATATGGACAAACCATGTAGGACTGGCCTTTCTAAAGTTTTACGAAATCATGTACATGGGTCTATCTATTGCTATGTTCTTATGCTTTAGATCACATTCCTGCTTCATATTTGAAGTAAGAGATACATGGCAACATGAAACAAATACTTTTTGTGGCAACATGGGGGAAGTATGGCTTTGAGAGTCGCAGAGAACTTAGTTCAAACCCAAATTATCCACTTACGTATGTCTTTTGTCTTTACATACTCCAATTTGTACTCCTTCATGGAACGGAAACTAGTGGAAAGCTCAGAGGTCCCAATTGAGGCCCAAATGTGGGAAGTAAAGCCTCTTGACCCCAGCCCAGTGGTGGCAACAGTGCATTAGGGGCAGGTGCCCTCAGTAGAGTTTCTCCAAGTGCTAGACACTGACCAGCAGCCTCAGAGTCACCTGCAGTGCCCATTAGCCACGCAGCTTTCAGCCCCAACTCCAGACCTTCTGAGTCTGAGGCTGGGATCTAGGAATCTGCCAAGGATTCTTCTGACAGCTCAGGTTTCAGAACCACCATCCATGAGGAAAAGAAACATATTAAGGGCTAAGACAGAGCAGCTATGAGATCCAGGAACCTGTTAGCACATGGAGAGTCTCCTTTTCCACCAATCTTGCAGAGCAGTTTGGCTTCATTCAAGAAGCCACTCAGTTTCCTTATACCTACCTTCTGGGTTGATGTGAGAAGGAGAAATAATGTACAAATAGTGCCTAATGATCAAGAAAAGGTAGCTATTAATAATATTATTATTAATAATCAAGACTCCCTCACTTTTCACAGGTTGTACATTCCTAACCCCATCATGAAGCATGTTCATGTGGAACAGAACAACCTTCCTGGTGTTCAAGACTGCAATATTGTGTAATGAGATACACTTTCAGTGACGATCAAGGTCAGCTGTGACCAATAGAGACCACGATCCTAACAGAAAATGAACCCCACTCAATCAAGGGCTTACCATTTTCATTCTCAAAGGCATTTCTTCTTAACACCACTTATTTTGAATAGATAGCATAAGTAGACTGTACAAATTTCAAAAAGAACAAAGGAAGATACAATGAAAAGTCAGTGTCACTCTTGGTCATCCTTAGAGGCAGCCACTACTAACATTTCTCCAGTATCTTTGCAAACATGAATGTATATATTTTCTTTGTCCCTATGCACAATGAGTAGCATACTTTATACACTATTCAGAACCTGGGTTTTTTTCTTGAAAATAAAAAAGATATTTCATATCAGCACATAAAGAATTCCTTTATTCCTAATGGCTGTATACTAATCCACTAAACGGATGCACCATAATTTATTTAACTCTCTCCCTATGGGTAGATATGTAAACTCTAATCTTTCCATACTAAAAACAATGCTGTACACATGAAATTGCACAAACTGGCTTGTCTATCCTAGGAAATCTCTAGATGGGCTTGCTGGATCAAAGGGGATGTCCATTATTAACACTAATACACTGCGGGTCACTAATGTTGAGAATTCCTGTTCACCAAAGGCATTTCTTTTATTTTTTATTTTAGAGACAGGATCTCCCTCTGTTGCCCAGGCTGGAGTGCAATGGCACAATCTCGGATCACTACAACCTCCACCTCCCGGGTTCAACCGATTCTCACGCCTCAGCCTCCCGAGTAGCTGGGATCACAGGAGCGCATCACCACGCCTGGCTAATTTTTGTATTTTCAGTAGAGATGAGGTTTCACTATATTGGCCAGGCTGGTCTCAAACTCTTGACTTCAAGTGATCCACCTGCCTCAGCCTCCCAAAGTGCTGAGATTACAGGCGTGAGCCACCGCACCCGGCTACCAGAGGAATTTTGTTATATTTATTTGTTTTTTTTGGAGACAGGGTCTTGCTCTGTTGCCCAGGCTGGAATGCAATGGCGCAATCTTGGCTCATTGCAACTTCCGCCTCCCGGGTTCAAGCGATTCTTCTGTCTCAGCCTCCCAAGTAGCTGGGACTACAAGCACATGCCACCACGCCCAGCTAATTTTTTTATTTTTAGTAGAGAGGGGGTTTAACCGTATTGCCCAGGCTGGTCTCGAATTCCTGACCTCAGGTGATCCGCCCGCCTCGGCCTCCCAAAGTGCTGTGATTACAGGCGTCAGTCACCGCGCCCGGCCACCAGAGGCATTTTAAATGATCGTCCACATTAGAAACAAAACGAAACGAAACAACTTGGAAAAGTGAGCAAAAGCCTTCAATGTGTTCTTTTCTCTGCCTTTGTGATCCGAAAGTCGTGCTGCGGTTTATATACTCCTAGGCGAGGGTCGCGTGCTAATGATCCCTTTCTTTTCAATATGCACCCGCGGTGGGACTTACAGAACCTTTATTTTCAACACGTAAGCAGTCACGCTTCCTCGAGCCTAAGGCTTTGTGCTATTCTTAAATGCTTTCCTCCTCCGACGCTGCGGCTCCCTCCTGAGCCCGTAGCTGCAGCGCGTTGGTGAGGAGCGCCGGCCCTGGGTGCCGCCCGCCACCCTGGAGGGACCGGTCCGGGGGAAAGTGCTCGGGAGAAGCCAGGGGCCCCGGCTGCGGTCGCTGGCCCGGGGCTCTGCGCACTCCCCAGTGCCCGGAAACCGCAGGCTGGCCCAGCTTGCGGGCCGGGTCCGCCCACGTGGGTGTGGGAAGCGCAGGGGACGCGGGCCGCCCGGCCAAGGTGCCCTTGCCAGGAACCGGCGCAGACACAGGCCCTGGGCGGCGCGGGAACCCGGCCAGTCCCACCGCGCGCTGCGCCGCAGGGGCCCCACTGCAGGTCGCCCCAAGACCGCGCGACGCTCGGCAGGGCGCCCACAGTCCTGTGGGTCAGAGAAATGTCACCTCCACGTCCCCGCTGGCCGGGAGCCGCTGGAGCCTAGCAACCGCCTGCCAGCCCCGGCCCAGCCCCAGCCGTTTTACGGCAGCGGGCCCCGCCCCCGTGCGCCACCGAGGGCGGGAAGGAGGCGTGCGGCACGAGCCAGCCAGTCCGCGCCACCATCTCTGGCCCTGCGCCCTGTCATTGGCCGAGAGCCGGGCGGCGCGGCGCGGCCGTAAGGCGTGGCCGGGTGTCGTGAGGCGGGCCTTCGGGCTGGCTCGCCGTCGGCTGCCGGGGGGTTGGCCGGGGTGTCATTGGCTCTGGGAAGCGGCAGCAGAGGCAGGGACCACTCGGGGTCTGGTGTCGGCACAGCCATGGCGGGCGCGTTGGTGCGGAAAGCGGCGGACTATGTCCGAAGCAAGGATTTCCGGGACTACCTCATGAGGTGACGAGCGCCGCAGGCCGAACCCCGCAACCCGGAGGGGCTCCCGGGAGGCTGCGACCCGTGCAGTCCGCGACGAGGGCGGCCGCGAGGACGCGGTGGCCCCGGGCAGCGGGTGGGCCGGGGCCCAGGCGAGAGGGTGCGCTTGTCAGGGGGGCCCCACCCGGATCCCTCCCGGACCGCCACACCCCGAAGCGGACGGCGTAGAGAGCCGGTGACAGTGGGCGCCTTTCAGGGCGGGGGTGACAGTGGGCGCCCCTCAGGGCGGGGGTGACAGTGGGTGTCCTCTCCCGGCAGGGTGACAGTGGGCGCTCCTCAGGGCGGGGGTGACAGTGGGTGTCCTCTCCCGGCAGGGTGACAGTGGGCGCCCCTCAAGGCAGGGGTGACATTGAGTCCCCTTCAGGGAGTGGGTGACGGTGGGCGTCCCTCCTGGCCAAGGTGACACTGGGGACGCCTCTCCTGGTAGGCATAACAGTGGACGCCCTTCCCGGCCAGAGTGGCAGTGGGGACCTGGAGGGACGAAAGCGACGGCGCTCCTCAGGACAGGGTGACCATGGGGACGCCTCTCCCGGCAGGGGTGACAGTGGGCGCCCCTCAGGGCAGGGTGACCCGGCAGGGGTGACAGAGGCTCGTTCCTCTCCCATGGTTGGCAGTGGGCACGTCCCTCCGGGCCAGTTGACAGTGGCTCGCTCCTCCGGGCGGGAGTGGTTTCCTGGCCGGTTTCTACCAGATCCTCGGAGTGGGTCGCCGGTCACCTGCGGCCGTCCAGGTGTGCCAGAGGCGGCGACCTGGGTGTGGGGTGGGGAGACGCCAGCGGGAGGCGCTGCTGAGAGCGCGGCGCGGCGCTGTTGGAGCGGAGCTTCGGGTGCGCCCAGCGCGCTTCTGGGACAGCGGAAATAAAATGTGCTGGCCTTGGGTTCGCCTTTCGGTTTTCTCATTCTAAGGACTTTAAGCTTGGGAGGAAGTACAATTTAAGATGTTTTTATATACGAAATTCTGTCAACCAAAGTAAAGTGACGTGTCTCTAAGGTCATACTTTTTCTTCTTGTTCTATTTTCTGTTAACTCCTCCTTTCCAGTTAGAAACAAAGAGCATTCGCGGTTGGAAAGCCTGAAAATACACTTTCTATAATTTATTTGCACCTCTCATCTTGGGGCGCTTGCTTTTATTTCAAAATATTGAATATAACTTTGAAGCAGTTTTAGGTTATTTAGGAGTGTAATTTTAGTTAGTTTTTCAGTGTATGATTTTAAAACCTAGGTACGTGTACAGCTGCGGTTTTTTTTCGGTAGTTAATAGTGTGGTCAAGAGGTAAAGAGATGAAAGCTGAGGAGGAATAAATCCTGTTATAACCACACAAAAGGGATAGTATGAAGGCAACTTGATTTTAGCAATAAAAAAGTTTTAAATCCTGAATTTTATTGCAAATACTGTTTACTTCTACTTTTATAGAGCAGTAGGGTAGGAAAAATAATTCAGTCTGCCATATGGTAAACTTGTAAACAGAAGCTTCACTTCTGACTTTCAAAAAAAGACATTTCTATGCTTAAATAGAACTACTATTAATTAAGATGGGTGTTTAGCACTGTGGAGCACAGCAATGTATCAGATTAATGGTAGTAAAAATGTGAACAAGGTAGCAGTCTGAGGGTATGCTCTCAATCCTTGCTGTTAAGTTTCTCTACAGCTTTGAATATTACTTTAGCTTTTTACTAATGTGTTGGATACTGAGCCTTCCTAATAGGTACAGCTAAGGATAACATTGTGTGGTAAAATTAAAAATACAGTTATGACACCTAGCTATATAAAAATTATGCTGATAATTACTTAACCGTTTTCTTTTCTTTTTTTTTTTTTTTTTTTTTTTTTGAGACAGAGTTTGTCTCTTGTTGCCCAGGCTGGAGTGCACTGGCACTATTTTGGCTCATCCAAACCTCCGCCTCCTGGGTTCAAGTGATTTTCCTACCTTAGCTTCCCAAGTAGCTGGGATTACAAGCATGCACCACCACGCCAGGCTAATTTTGTATTTTTAATAGAGACGGGGTTTCTCCATGTTGGTCAGGCTGGTCTCGAACTCCCGACTTCAGGTGATCCGCCCACCTCGGCCTCCCAAAGTGCTGGGGTTAGCAGGTGTGAGCCACCATGCCCGGCCCTAACAGTTTCATTACATAGGAAGAATTTGTTAAATATATTTTCAAGGAAGAGAGTTCTGCTTTTCTAAGTGTTATATTTTCTTCTACTAAATGGGTTTCCAAGAGCCAGGCTTTTCAATAGGATACTTCAGTATATCATCTAACCTTTTTTTCTAAAATTAACTTTATGTAGCTTTAAATTTTTATACTTTCTCCAGTATTTAATTCAATTACACTTTGACTAAATAAGGAAAAGAAGAGAATTGCATTACTCGGAACAGTGTTGCCTGGTAGAGCACCACACTAAGATTCAGAAGAATGACTTACAGTCCAGGATCCCCAGCAAGTTGATCCCAGCAGACTTTATTTGTCCATCAAATGGGTTTAATGATAATGCTCTTTTTGGGTTATCAAGAAAATTAAATTGGATAAGGGATGTGAAAATACTTGGAAACTCCAAATCACTCTACATTTTATTATATCCTTCTGTTTTTGCAAGCGAAAACATTTTTTAAAGTTTACAGTTATTTAGAAAGTTAAAATCTTGTGTGAGCTATAAAGCTCTATGATCTTGAACTGAAATTATTTTTGAAAGGTGAACACGTGATGTGAAACATTCAGCTGATCTGTTTACCCTGCCATTCTTGGCAGCAGTGGGAATTCATGCTAGGTCTGCCAAACAGTGATTGAGGGCCAGTTTGAGGTCAGGTATCAACACTCTGACCAGAAGCTTTTTATTTTAGTGTTTCCTGCCCTAGAAAGAGAAACATTTCTTCCTAGAACATATCAGAGGAAAGTACTTCCTATTTGTTCTTCCAAGCTTTACGCTTACAGCCCGGCTTTTCTTTAGCAAAGGAGAATAAAATATAAAGCAGAAAACGTCATTGTATCTCTTTTCTTCTAATCAGAAACAAGGTTCCATCCCTTCCTCTTTTTACTTCATCAGTTGCCTGTTGTACACACTTTGCATCCTCTGCATTCTTTTTGTAGCCTACTGAAGGGGTCTAGAGGTTTTCTCAACTAAAGCTGTTCTAGAATTTTAAAAATTAATAACATAATTGAGTTTTTCAGCATAAATTTAAAATCATATTTTACACAGATTATAAATTTATTTCAATCATGTTTTATGAATCAAGTTGAACATTCTTACTAAACTGAATTTCCAAGTGTATTTATTTATTTAGAGACAGGGTATTACTCTGTCACCCAGGCTGGAGTGCAATGGCATGATCATAGCTCACTGTAACCTCCCACTCCTGGGCTTGAGTGAGCCTCCTGCCTCAGCCTCCCGAGTAGCTAGGGCTACAGGTGTGCACAATCATACCTGGCTAGTTTTTTGTTTTTTCTTAGAGATGGGACCTTGCTATGTTGCCCAGGCTGTCCTTGAACTCCCAGTGTCAAGCAGTCCTCCCATCTTGGCCTCCCAAAGCTCTGGGATTATAGGCATGAACCACTGTGCCCAGCCCATCCACATGTATTTTAAATGATTTTTTTTTATTTCACTGAAAGAGGTTATGAAACAGGCTCTCACTTAGGACACCTAAGAACCAAAGATAATGTGTGGACTTTGATTGGGCCTGGTGTGAAAAAACAGCTGGAAAAGGCATTACTGGGATAACGGAACACTTAAATAGGATCTCAGTATTAAATAATATTAAATAATTATTGACAATTGTTAATTGTGATAATAATACCGTTAAACCTAGGTGATGAGTTTGAATGATGGATTTGAAGCCCAGCTCTTGCTTTCCAGCTTTGTGAGCTTGGGCAAATTGTTTAGCTTTTGTGCTTTCGTAGCTGTTTAATGACATAGTATAGCGCTTGACAAAAGTAAGTGTTCAATTTATTTTTTATTGTAACTAATATTGCATGTTTAATCCCCAGGATTTCTGGTACTCTCTTTTTGGTACTTTCTTCCATCTCTTGTTACTTACCTTGATTAGGATCTTGAATCAAGAACTTCCTGGGTCTCTATTCCAATACCTTTTTCTTAAGAAACTATTCCCTCACCTTTCTTATTGACAGAATAGAAAAAGAGAGCTCTTCTTTGCTTTTCCTCTTCTCTCATTCTCCTTCCTGGATTTCTGGTTAAGAAGAATAAATTAGAATAAGCAAAACAGTTTTGAGGTAGGACATATATTTTAATGATTAACTCAATCAAGGTCTGTGCAGCTTTATTCTAGCGACTTATTCCTCTTCTCAAGTTTGTATATTACAGTAAAGGTGAATGGATACACACACACACACACACACACACATGTATTTGTATATGTGTGCAGAGGATGTTTTCTTAAGAAGAACCTAGATCATAGAGTGCTTTAAAATCAGTTAATCACTTAGTATGCTTATGAATCTGAAGTTAGTGGGATGTTTGCATTGAATATTCTCAAGTTGATCAGGTATTCTAAATTAATTTTAACTTCTGAGTCTCCAGGAAAGCTTTCAGAATTTATACTTACTACCCAGGTGAGAAGTTGCAGTAAAATAAAAGTGAATCTTTCCCAAACTTGTGGAATATTAGAGTTGGAACAGGCCTTAGAAATTCCAGTGCTTCATTTGCCACATGAGAAGGCTGATATCTGAACCAAACAGATAACTTCAGAACCTCTGGATACCAAACTTGTGAAGCTAAAACAGAAATGTCAACTTGGGATTTAAAGGAAAATAGTAATGCATAGAAATGGTTTTGAAAAGAAGGTTTTAGATATTTTTGTGCTCCATGTTTTCCTGCATATGTCTCCCTTTTCTCTGCCAAACTGCTTTTCACACCCGGTCCTTGGACTCTTTGAGCACTTCCCTGCCATATAATTGACTTTCAGAAATTGAATGAAGCTGGAAATGTTGAAGCAGGACTGGCCATAAGAATCTCTTAATATCTGGATAGTCCAGTCACAAAGATCTTTACTGTCATTCAGCTGACTTTTGGCTCGCTAAATATAGCTGAATATCACAAATTCTAATTGTCAAAACCCTCCCTCATTTTAATTTGAACTAGAAAACTAGACAAAATTTGGTAAGAATAAATTTCAGCAAACTGTAGAATTATGATCTAAAATATCTCAAAATTTTATCCCATTTTACTTTGAATAATGTTAGAAATATACTATGCTAGGCTGTCAGTTGGATCCTTTTAGTACTACATAAGTAAGTTATAAATTACTTAAATTGCTCTCAGTACTTTCAGAGAAAGCTAACATTACCATAATTTTGGAAAAATTAGACTGACCTAAAAGCAGCTCCTCTGCTCCTTTTCAAATCTCCTCCTGGTTCAGCCTGCCTGCCTCCACTTCTGCCTCCACCATGTCCATCAGGGTGACCCAGCAGCCCTACAAGGTGTTCAACTCTGGCCCCTGGGCCTTCAGCAGCTCCTCCTACATGAGCAGGCCCAGTGCCCACATCAGCTCCTTGATTGTCTCCCGAGTGGGCAGCAGCAGCACCAGCTTCCAGGGTGGCCTGGGTGCCGGCATGGGTCTGCCACTGCACTCCAGCCTGGCTAACAGAGCGAGACTGTCTCAAAAAAAAAAAAAAAGAATAAATAATAATAATAGTAATTATAACTGATATGCCAGGAAAGGAGGGAAAATGGAATCATATAAAATGCTCATTTAAAACCATAAAAGGCAGAAAAAGAATGGAAGGCAAAAAAAGAACAAAGAACAAGGACAACAAATAGAAAACAGTAACAAATATGGTAAATAGTAATACAACTATATCAATAATCACTTTGAATATCAGTAGACTAAAAGTACCAATTAAAAGACATATTGTACAAGTGGATCAAAAAATAAGACTCAATATACATTGTCTACAAGAAACCCACTTTAAGTGTAAATACACATATAGATTAAAAGTAAATAGGTAGAGATAGGTGTACCATGTTAACATTAATCAAGAAAAGGCGTTGGTAGCTATAGATGGAGCATACTTCAGAGCAAGGAAAATTACCAGGGATAAAGAGAGACATTACATATGATAATGGGATCAATGCTCCAAAAAGACAAATGCAATGGTTAATTTTAGGTGTCAACTTTACTGGGTTAACAGATACCCAGATAGATGGTAAAACATTATTTCTGGGCATGTTTATGCAGGTATTTCTGGAAGAGATTGGCATTTGAATCAGTAGACTGAGTAAAGAAGATGTGCCCTCACCCGTGTAAGTGGGCATCATTAAATCTGTTGAGGGCCCCAGTAGAACAGAAAGGTAGAGAAGAGACAATTTGCTCTCTCTTCTGGAGCTTGGACTTCCATTTTCTTCTGCCATCAGACATCAGAACACTAGGTTCTTGGGCTTTTGGACTCTAGGATTTACACCAGTGGTCCTTCAGGTTCTCAGGGCCTTTAGCCTCGGACTGAGTTACACCATTGGCTCCCCTAGTTCTCAGGCCTTTGGACTCAGACTGAGTTACAGCACTGGCTTTACTGATTCTCCAGCTTGTGAAACTTATTACTTCTATAACAGCATAAGCCAATTTCCATTAAAAATTATATATATATACACACACACACACACACACACACGTATGTGTATATGTATCTATAGCTATACATCTTCTATTAGTTCTGTCTCTCTGGAGAGCCTTAATACAGGTAACAATCTTTAATGTGTATGCACCATTACAGCATTAAAACACATGAGGCAAAAACTGATAGAATTGCAAGAAAAAATAGATGAATCCACTAATATAATTGGAGATTTCACCCCTCCATCATAAATAGACCCGGCAGGTAGAAAATCAGTACGGACATAATTTAACTCAACAAAACAATGAATCAACTGGATATGATGAACATCAGTAGACTGCTACATGTAACAGCAGCAGAATACACATTCTTCTCAAGCTCACATGGAACACTCACCAAGATAAATTATATTCTGGCGAATAGAACACACCTTAACCAATTTAAAAGACTAGAAATCATATGGTGTGTGCTTTGGAATTCAACTAGAAGTCACTAACGAAAGCTGGAAAATCCCCGATACTTGGAGATTAAACAGCACACTTCTAAATAACTCTGGGTCAAAGAAGAAATCTCAAGATAAATTTTTTAATATTTTGAACTAAATAAAAGTGCAAACACAACTTATCAGAATTTGTGGGATACAGTTAAAGCAGTGATTAGAGAGAATTTTTATAGCATTGGATGCATGTATTAGAAAACGAGAAGGTTCTAAAATCAATCATCTAAGCCTCCACCTTACAAAACTAAAAAAAAAAAAAAAAAGCAAATTAGAATGAAAATAAGCAGAAGAAGGGAAATACAGTAGCTCTCCACCCCCCTTATCCACAGTTTGCTTTCTGCAGTTTCGGTTACTTGTGGCCAACTAAGGTCTGAAAATATTAAGTGGAAAGTTTCAGGAACAACCAATTCATAAATTGTAAATTTTGTGTCATTCTGAGTAGCATGATGAAATCTCATGCCATCCTACTTTGTCCTTGTTGAAACATGAACCATCCCTTCATCCACCATCTGTATGCTGTAGATGCTACCTACTTGTTAGTCACTTAGTCATCCCACCTAATCACTTAGCCATTGTTGTGGTATTGCAGTGCTTCTGTTCAAGTAACCCACATTTTATTTAATGATGGCCCCAAAGTACAAGACTAGTGATGCTGGTACTTTGAATATGCCAAAGAGAAGCCATAAAGTACTTTTTTTAAGTGAATAGGTGAAAGTTAAAATCCCAGCACGTTATTCTGTGGATATCAACACACAGATTTTGGAGTTTAAATGGAGACGGCGGTAAACCCCAAAATAGCCAACACAGTATTGGAGGAGGAGAACAAAGTTGGAGGACTGACATTACCTAACTTTCAAACTTACTATAGAGCCACAGTAATCCAGACAGCGTGGTACTGGCAAAGGAATAGACAGATCAATCAATGGAACAGAATAAAGTGCCCGGAAGTAGACGCCCAGAAGTAGACCTACATAAACCAAATCAACTAAATTTTGACAAAGGAGCAAAGGCAAAACAATGTAGTAAAGACAGTCTTTTCAGCAAATTGTGCTGCGACAACTGGGCATGCAATTGCAAAACAGAAACGAATGTAGACACAGACCTGACGCCATTTACAAAAATTCACCCAAAAAGGATCACAGACCTAAATGTAAATCACAAACTATGAAACTCCTAGCAGATAATTTAGGAGAAAACCTAAATTACCTTGGGTTTGGGGATGAGTTTTTCTGATACAAGACCAAAGACATGATCCCAGAAATAATTGATAAGCTGGACTTCATAAAAATTAAAAAGTTTTGCTCTGTGAAGGATGCTGTCAAGAGAATGAAAAGATAATATATGAGAAAATATTTGCAGAGGACATAACTGATAAAGGACTTTTCCAAAATATACAAAGAACTCTTAAAACTTAACAATAAGGCCAGGCGCGGTGGCTCACTCCTGTAATCCCAGCACTTTGGGAGGCCAAGGCAGGCAGATCGCTTGAGGTCAAGAGTTTGAGACCAGCCTGGCCAACATGGTGAAACCTCTACCTAATTCTCTACTAAAATACAGAAATTAGCCAGGTGTGGTGACGGGTGCCTATAATCCCAGCTACTTGGGAGGCTGAGGCAGGAGAATCACTTGAACCCGGGAGGCAGAGGTTGCAGTCAGCCAAGATCATGCCACTGCACTCCATCCTGGGCAACAGAGCAAGACTCCCTCTCAAAAAAAAACAAGCCAACAAAACCCACAAAAACAAAACTCAACAATAAGAAAGGAACTAAATTAAAAATGGGCCGAAGACTTAAGCAGATACCTCTCCGTGTTCAGATGGCAAATAAGCATATGAAAAGAAGCTCTGCCAGAAGATTGGACACCACTGTTCTACATCGTATGTCATCAGGGAAATGCAAATTAAAACAAGATACCACTAAACATCTATTAGAAAGGCCAAAAGGCAGAACGCTGACAAAGGCAAATGCTGATTAGGATGTGAATCAACAGGAACTCTCATTCGTTGCTGGTGGGAATGCAAAATAATACAGCCACTTTGGAAAACAGTTTGGCAGTTTCTTACACATTCTTTGGTATTTACCCCTAGGAGTTGAACCCTTAGATCCACACGAAAACCTGTATGTGGATTTTTATAGAGGTTTTATTCATAACTGCCAAAATTTGGAAGCAAACAAGATGTCCTTTGGTAGGTGAATGGCAAAATAAATTGTGGTACCTCCAGACAATGGAATATTATTCAGCACTAAAAAGTGAGCTATGAAACCATGAAAAGACATGAGGGAAACTTAAATTCATATTACTGCATGAAAGAAGCCAGTCTGAAAAGGCTGCATACTACCTGGTTCCAACTACACAACGTTCTGGAAAAGGCAAAATTATGGAGCTAGTCGAAAGATCGGTGGTTGCAAGGGTTGAGGTGGGGCACAGAGGATTTTTAGAGAGTGAAACTACTGTAAGACACTATGATGATGGACGCGTGGCATCGTATGTTCATCTAAACCCACACGATGTACAGCACTAACAGGGAACCTTAATGTAGATATGGACTTTGGGTAACAATCCTGTGTCAATGTAAGTTTCGTGATTGTGATAAATACACCATGGGCGGGGGATGTAGATAATGGGAGAGTGCGTGCATGTTTCGGGGCTGGGTGTATATGGAAGGTTTCTGTACTTTGGTTCAATTTTACTGTGAACCTAAAACTTTTCTGAAAAATTAAGTTTATTTTTTAAAAAAACAGAATACTTAATTTTTAACTGGAAATATAGTTTCTCCTCCATGAGAATTCAAAATCATAAGTGAACCCAAGAAAGTCTATGAGTTTTGTGTTTGTTTGCTTTTTTACTGAAAATAAAGGCAGCATACCAAATAAAGAGAAAATCAAGAATATTTTCTAAATGGTTTTGCATTACTGTCCCCAAATTGCAGTTTATATGTGGCTTATAAATTTATCTCCCCTTTTTTTTTTGAAACAGGTAATAATACATATTTGGAAGCATTTTTTTTTCTAATTTGGTTCTGCACAAATATGCTTTTCAGATATTTTGATTGAGTTGTTGATTCATGCATTCTAGAAAACCCTGACTTAGAATTGAGGGATGTTGAGTTGTAGTGTTTTGTATTTAACAGACATATTTAAACTGACTTTACTCTCAGATTGTTTTACAGTAATTAATGTGATTATATTCATGTAGGACTTTTGAACTGAGCAGGGTATGAAGGCAGAAGTTAATTCTCCCTTATTCTCATACATGTGTAATCTATACTAATCCTTATTCTCATACATTTGTAATTCTCCCTTATTCTCATACATTTATAATCTCCCTTATTCTCATACATTTGTAATCTGTTGTAAAATAGGGTATAATCAAGCTGTTGTATGATTTAAGGAGAGAGTCCTAAAGGAAAAACTAAGTTATGTCCAAGTTGAAACTTCACATTGTAAGTACGACATCCTTTAAAATATTTTTATAGGGAAAAAATGTGCCCTTGGTTATTCATAGTTACCTAAAGGGCCAGTGTTCAGATACTGACAAAGGTATTTGAAGGAGAGCAATGCCGTAGGTGACTGACTGTTCTAGCTAGATTATGCTGTCTCATCTGGTAAGGTTATCAATCTCTCTGCTATAAAGCATTGTGGTCAGTTTGTACTTGCTGTGAAATATAATTTGGATAATTATATTTGTATATATATGAATGATATATATTTCATAATATAACCTATCTGAAGCACATAGTAGTACCCCCTCATCTGCAGTTTCTCCTTCTATGGATTCAGTCACTCAGGGCCATTTGTGGTCCAAAAAAATATTACAGTATTGTGAAAGAGAGAGTAACCACATTCTCAAAATTTTTATATCAGTTCATTGTCATAATTATTCTATTTTATTATTAGTAATTGTTGTCAATCTCTTACTCTGCCTAATTTATAAATTAAACATTATCATAGGTATGTATGTATAGGAGAAAAACATAGTATATATAGGGTTCCGTATTATCCACGGTTTCAAGCATCCACTGGAGGTCTTAGAATGCATCCCCTGAGGATAAGGGGGACTACTGTATTATTAGCACCATCAACAATTATTTTCATGTTACAAATTATAATCTCTGTGCTCTCTAAAACAAAACAACTAGTAGAATTCTTTGGACTTGAGTCTGTTTATAAAGGATTTTATTATTTCATTTTTCCCCCTGCCGTACTGCTCAATTTTATTATTTTATTTCAATAACTCTTTCAGTAGCTCAACTTTGAGATTTTGCCCTAAGAGAAGAGCTCAGGTATATCCTGGCAAGAGAAATTGTTATTTCAGAAATAAAAGTAACTCAATATAAGTTTTTGGTGTATTTTTAAATTTAACATTCTGGAAAACAGCATTGACATTTTTACTATTCATTCATTCATTCAATAAATATTTTTTAAATTCCAGTTTAAATGCCAGGCCCTACTTTAAGTAGTCCAGTAGTAACAAAAATACATCCCTCCAGGGGTTCACATTCTGGTGCAATGTGTTAGTAAGCAGAAGGGAAAGTTTCATTGTTAATAGAATTCTGCAACAGTATGCATCTCTCCAACTTACCACTTTTAAGGAAATATTTCCTCGAAAGCTGTGCTGTCCAATTTGAGAGCCACTAGCCACAGGTGGCTACTGATCACCTGAAATGTGACTAGTTCAAGCTGAGATGTGCCGTAAGTGTAAAATACACACTAGAGTCCAAATAATTGTATGAAAAAGCATGTAAAAGGTCTAATGAATAGTTTTTATTGATTACATTTTGAAATTAAAATGTTTTTTGCATACATATGGATTAAATAAATATTAATACAAGTAATTTCTGTGGTTTCTTTTTACTTTTCTACTTTTCTTTTCCTTTTTTTTTCCAGACAGGGTCTTGCTCTGTTGCCCAGGCTGGAGTACAGTGGTGTGATCATACCTCACTGCAGACTTGAACTCCTGGGCTCAAACAATCCTCTGGAGGCACAAACCACCCATGCCCAGCTAATTTTTAAAATATATTTGTGTATAGATGGGGTCTCACTATGTTGCCCAGATTAATAGTGAATTCCTGGCCTCAAGCAATCCTCCTGCCTTAGCCTCCCAGAGTGCTGGGATTACAGGCATAAGCCACTGTCCCCGGCCTTCTTTTTAGTTTTCTTAATGTGGCTTCTAGAAGTTGTAAATTACGTACGTGGCTTGTATTTCTGCCTTGCATTATATTTCTATTGGACAGTTCTGCTCTAAGGATTGCACTTATTTTCCATAAAACTAAGATCTAATTTCATGAAGTCAAAGTTCTTATTAGAAATAATATTACTTGATCTTTTAAAAATAATAAAAGAATGTACACTGTTAACGTTGTAGTCCTGTTACTGAAATTTGAATACAGGTGTGAGGTTGCAGTAACCTAATAAGACCAAAATCATTTGATTTTTGTTTCTTTTTTTTCCATGTCTGTCCTGTCTGAACTTCGGTGACTCTTCACAAAATAGTACGGTAAGAAAATTATTTCCATCCATTTCAGGCTTTTGCAGACTTTCTGCATTAACAGAGTTAGGGGTAACAGGCTTAGCATCCTTTGCATATGAGAGCCTTTCTAGCCGCCATGGCTGGCAGGTTGTGAAGGGTGCCTACTGCACCCTGGCCTGTCCTGGGGAGCCTAGACACGAGCTCTGTGACAGCCATGCTCCTGGGGCTGCTCCCTACTCCTGTTTTTAGAAACAAGCATATAATTACTTCATTGATAACAGTCACAGTGGAGCCTAGCAACCGATGAAAGGAAATAGAGAAAGAAAAAGAGAAAGCAGGAAAAGAAGGGTGGGATGATTTTTTCCTGTAGGGTGGAGTTCATTTCCATGGCTTGATTTTCACACAGGAGATGGTGTTGTATAATTCTGTTGGAACTTTCTTTTCAGCACAATTAAGAATTATAATCAAGTAAAATGTTTTCCATTTAATCCAACATATGTTAATTTCTTTTTGAATTTTAATAAAGTTCCTTATTTTTCTCAAAATTGACTGCTGAATATCTGACAGCATAAATCAATTGTATTCTAAAAAAGGGAAGAGAGAACTAGAATATTGTACTAGATAGAAAAGATGCATTATAAACTTTCTAAGGTTAGGTATTTTAGTAAACTAGTGTTAAAATGATTTTTACCTTTCGTGTTCTTCTTAAGAAACATATTTTCAGTATAGCTCAACACTTACAGTCATAAGTGTATGTATAGTTCTTAACTTGCAGAACTGTTTCCTATAACCTAACACTCATCACACTTAAACTTTTTATTTTTTTAATTTTTTTTCTTTTTTGAGATGGAGTCTTGCTCTGTTGCCCAGGCAAGAGTGCAGTAGCACTATCTTGGCTCACTACAACCTCTGCCTCACGTGTTCAAGCGATTCTCCTGCCTCAACCTCCCTAGTAGCTGGGATTTCAGGTGCAAGCCACCACACCCAGCTAATTTGTGTATTTTTAGTAGAGACGGGGTTTCACCATGTTGGTCAGGCTGGTCTCAAACTCCTGACCTCATGATCCGCCTGCCTCAGCCTCCCAAAGTACTGGGATTACAGGTGTGAGCCACCATGCCCGGCCCATACTTAAACTTTTAATAACATCACTTAGCCAGGAATCTCCCAAGGCTACTTTAGGTTTAGATTTATTCCATTGTCCATTTCTGCTTTAGCCCCACCTATGAAAGAAGACACATTCACAACCAGTGGTAGAGAAACTGTGGTTTATATGCCCCTCTTAGAATAACTCTTCAGGCTCTGTTTATAGCCCTGGGTTCATGCATGATAAAGTAGACAGCAACACCACCATACAGTGCAGAGGAGTGGCAAGAGAGTAAACGGAAAAGGAGATGAAAATAGACCAAGTGGAGAAAGGCCTGGTCAAAAAAGGAGGAAAAGGAAGATCACTATGGAATAATAGAGAGTTGAAAAATGAAGTGACACCCAATAACAGGACGGGTAAGAAAAGAAGTAAGTAGGTAAGGGAGAGATAGATACTCTCCCTTACAAAAGTCTGGGGAATAAGGAAAAAAGAAAACTGGCCATATTGCATCTAAATGTAAGAAATTAAGGGTCATTGTTAATAGAATTCTGCAGGAGTGTACTTCTCTCCAACTTGTCATTTTCTTTTTTTTTTTTTTTTTTTCCCTGAGACGGAGTCTCGCTCTGTCACCCAGGCTGGAGTGCAGTGGTGCAATCTTGGCTCACTGCAACCTTCACCTCCCGGGTTCAAGCAGTTCTCTGCCTCAGCCTCCCAAGTAGCTGGGATTACAGTCACCTGCCACCACGCTGGCTAATTTTTATATTTTTAGTAGAGACAGGGTTTTACCATGTTGGCCAGGCTAGTCTTAAACTCCTGACCTCGTGATCCACCCGCCTCAGCCTCCGAAAGTGCTGGGATTACAGGCGTGAGCCGCTGCACCCGACCCAACTTGTCATTTTCAAAGAAATATTTCCTCCAAAGCCTTGCTGTCCAATTTGAGAGCCACTAGTCACCTCGTCTAAATGTAAGAAATTAAGTGAAAGTTGCAGTAGTGAGTATCTTAGATAACATGCAGTCTGAATGCAAGATAACTAATTAGCCAGCCCAGAATCTCAAGATTCTTTAAACCAACTGTGCCTAATTTACAGAGTTTATAACTCACATGTTAAACCCTGAAATACTTATGGTGATGGCTATGTGGGAACTTTGACCTTTTGTAGTTATCTAAATGACCTTGTGGCTTTCATGTTAAATAAACATTTTTAAATATTCTATTATGCCAAATCTAATTCCCATTTATTTTTCTTATATTTCCCTTGGTTTACCACTTTTTAGGGAATCTTTGGATTTTAACCCCTCGTCAATAGTAGAAGCAAAGTCTGAATTTAACCTAAACATTATGATAGGCAGAAGTCAAGCAAAGACTGTTTTTACTCTTTAGTGTTAGGATAACTAAAAGGGGTGTTTAGCCAACAAGATGTGGTTCCTTTCAGATTTGAAAATATTATTTCCAAATTCTAAATTAATGAAACAATTTTTCATCTTTAATGAACAAAAGCCACAAGCCTTATTTTATTTCAGCCTCTAAAATTAAATTGATTGTGGCTGCTGTCAAACACAGACGACTTCACTTTGGTATCCTTGGATGAGTGTAGTTGTGGAATGAAAAACTATTGGTTCATTTCTTTAATATTAATATAAGTTTTTGCTATTATGTCAAAAGTACTTTCCAATCTTAATTTCTTAGTGTCTGGGGTCCTGGGCATTGATTTCCAAGTTATTTTATCTTAGAATAGCTCATATGAGCTGAAAAACAATTTATTCTCTTATTAAGCTTCTTTCTTCAGAAAAGTACCCAATTTAGGGTCTGCATTTTAAGAATTATTAACAAATATCTTCATAAAAATTTGGGAAAAGGAGTGTGGATAGATTTAAACATAAAAATATGGAGAATAGTTCTAACAGGGTTTGAATTATAGCAACAATGGATTGTGTAAGAAGTGAATCTTATTTTTATTTTTAAATGTTCTAAATAGGACAATCAGAGATGACTTGGTTGTAGTGTGGAAACCAGTAGGGACCTTGGGAAGCTGCCAAACCCTTTCTAGCTCTGGGCTCAGCTGTAAGAACTGCTGATTCCTACAGGAACACTTGGACAATCCAATACCTAAATGTTAACCATCAATTAACCCAGTAAACCTGCAAGATGGAAACGAAGATTTGTTCTCACGAGTTTCACGTGATTATTTAAAGTAAGGGAAATTTCAGCTGTTTATAGTTCTGTCTTAACTTTTTCCTCTCTTCATTCTTTTCCTCTCATTTTTTGTAGCACTTCTGGGGCCCAGTAGCCAACTGGGGTCTTCCCATTGCTGCCATCAATGATATGAAAAAGTCTCCAGAGATTATCAGTGGGCGGATGACATTTGGTAAGAATGCAGATTTGGATAATTGGGAGGACTTTCAACATAGTAGAGCTCCTGCTTGCATTTCAAGATTGTAGCACTAGATGTTACAGTCACTATTAGAAAGTCACATACAGAATGTGATGGCATGGAAGAGTGTTACTTCTCTATGTCAGTAAGAAACAAGATTAATTAGAAATATTTATCTAGGAAGTAGTAACATCTTATTTGCCTTTCAGATTTAGCACACTGAACTGAAGACTGTGTCATCTGAATCATTCTAATAGTCACTTTAATGATTTATATTGTGAACTTTTTTGGGGGAAACTGTCATTAAACTGACTTGAAACCCTGATATTTGAACATAAAACTATTGTGGAGGGAATAAATAACAATTCTTTCAGATAATGAATGGATTATAAGCAACTCCAGGAGACAAAAAAAGTGTCTAGAACAAATTTCAGCCTACTCTTGCTCGGAAATATGTTCCTTAAATGTTTAAATAATTAACAAAAATGCATAGCAGTACAGTAAATTTTTTTATGAGCTTCCTATTGATACAGGCATTTAAGTAACAACTTTTATCTGTCAAAGGCTTTCGCAGAAGAGGTTCTTTTTTGATCAGGGCAATGGAACTGTTCATCTCTGTGGTCCTATCAACCCTCTCAGTTTTCTAAGTTATTGATTGTCTTTGCTCTGCTATTTTTGGCAGCCCTCTGTTGCTATTCTTTGACATTCATGAGATTTGCCTACAAGGTACAGCCTCGGAACTGGCTTCTGTTTGCATGCCACGCAACAAATGAAGTAGCCCAGCTCATCCAGGGAGGGCGGCTTATCAAACACGAGTAAGCAGATTTCAATTTAGTTACTTTCTTTTCAGGAATTTGAGGAATTGGGGAGAGTGAAACTAAAATCTTTTCTGAGGGAGTGCTGCGGGACTGGAGTGTGTATAGATGCGCTTTAGCAGTTGGGGAAACAACTTACTAAACCATGAAAGTTAACATGAACTAGGATACAGGCTGAGCATCCCAAATCCAAAAATCTGAAATGCTCCAAAATATGAAACCTTTAGAGTGCCAACATGACACTCAAAGGAAGTGCTCATTGGAGCATTTTGGATTTTGGATTTTCAGTTTAGGGATGTTCAACTGGTATAATCCAGTTATTCCGAAATCTGAAAAAATCTGAAACATGTCTGGGCCTAAGCATTTCAGATGAGGGATACCCAACCTATATTATTGTTTTTATAAGTTGTAAGTTGAAATAAATGTTATGTAAAGGTGTCTTTTAAAAGCCATCCAAAGCCCTTGCGATTGGCATTGAAATTTTGTTTCTCATTGAATTTTTCTTTTTGTTTCTTTCCAGGATGACTAAAACGGCATCTGCATAACAATGGAAAAGGAAGAACAAGGTCTTGAAGGGACAGCATTGCCAGCTGCTGCTGAGTCACAGATTTCATTATAAATAGCCTCCCTAAGGAAAATACACTGAATGCTATTTTTACTAACCATTCTATTTTTATAGAAATAGCTGAGAGTTTCTAAACCAACTCTCTGCTGCCTTACAAGTATTAAATATTTTACTTCTTTCCATAAAGAGTAGCTCAAAATATGCAATTAATTTAATAATTTCTGATGATGGTTTTATCTGCAGTAATATGTATATCATCTATTAGAATTTACTTAATGAAAAACTGAAGAGAACAAAATTTGTAACCACTAGCACTTAAGTACTCCTGATTCTTAACATTGTCTTTAATGACCACAAGACAACCAACAGCTGGCCACGTACTTAAAATTTTGTCCCCACTGTTTAAAAATGTTACCTGTGTATTTCCATGCAGTGTATATATTGAGATGCTGTAACTTAATGGCAATAAATGATTTAAATATTTGTTAAATGAGTATGATTAAATATCTTGCTGCATTCCCTAGGAAACTGCAGAACAGTGTATCTGAAAAGACAGTTATAGGTGAAAACGCAACTCCTTGAAAACTATGAAGATGGCTGGAGGAAATGCAGAGCTGGAAGGCCAGTGTTTTCTGGAAAGCATCGACAGTCCAGCTACGCAGAACGCATTCTTTCTCTTATGGGCAAGTGTTATTAATAGAAATGCCCCTCAGTCACTGAGACTCAGGCCAGTCACATGAGTGTTCTGGGCTTCTCTTTCCCTCTTTGTAAAAAGTTGCAGAGGCAATTTCTGTGGTGATCTAAGAATTGTGCTGCTTTCCAGAGATTGCAGTCCCACAGGAATGGGCTGATCCCGTGGTCCAGCGCAGCACTAGGTGCTCGGATGGAGGAATCAACTTTCAGGGGAAGGATGGAGCTGTTAACTAGGAGCTGCTCCAGAGAGGTCTGACCAAATGACTGAAAATATCCTAAGAGCATAGTCCTGACTTCTTATTTCACATTATACAGTTAAGTTAGAGTTTCCACACTACAACCAAGTCATCTGCCACCACGCCTGGCTAATTTTTGTATTTTTAGTAGAGACAGGGTTTAAAAAAAAATCCAACTTGAATCTGATTATAGTTTCCCATTCTCTATGTGGTAGCAGATGAGGGCAGCAGAGAAGCCCGTGATGAGCAGAGGGGAAGTCTGTGAGGCGCAGTCTCCCTCAAGGGTCCATATTCTGTCACTTTTGAGACAGGGTCTCACTCTGTGGCCCAGGCTGGAGTGCAGTGGTGCAATCACAGTTCACTGCAACCTCCACCTCCTGGATTCAAGTGATTCTTCTGCCTCAGCCTCCCAAGTAGCTGGGATTACAGGCATGCGCCACCATACCCGACTAATTTTTGTATTTTTAGTAGAGGCGGGGTTTTGCCATGTTGGCCAGGATGGTCCTGAACTCCTGGCCTCAAGTGATCTGCCTGCTTCCCAAAGTGCCGGGATTACAGGCATGAGCCACTGCACCCGGCTTCATATTCTGTCACTTTTATTTTCTTTTTAAGGTGCTATACAGTTCACAAAGCATTGTCATATGTGTTCTATTTGGGCCTCACACAGCACTGTGGAGCAGGCTGGTCATTTATTTATAGAGGCGGGAACAGGTTGTGAAGCTGTGAAACACCTGTATTTGGCAGGGCCAGGGCACACACCTGTCTGGGGACGCTGCTCCTGCCACACTGCAGCTGGGACCATGGCAGGACAGACACTGCAGGAACCCTGCCACGCCACAGCTCCGTCAGGCTCAGCTTCCACAGTTAAGTACAGCTGAGCATGGTGAAAAAAACTGGCATGAAGAGCTGTAGATTGGTTAAATTAAAACCACTTGTTCTACTTTATCATACAAGTAATAATACTTGCGAGACATTCTAACTCTACAGAGACACAGGGCATAGAGTGCAGCAGCTGAAGCCCCCATAGGTCTCCTCCACCCTTGGCCTATCCCTGTAGAGTCAGCCACTGTCAAGGATTTTTGGTTTGGGGTGTTTCTCTTCATCACCTTGGAAAAACTCCCAACCTGCTAGCCTTTACTGCTGGGTAAGAAGCAAGGAGATTTTCCACACCTGCATTTCAGAGATCGGCCAGCTCCCTGAAGGCACGGCCTTGTCGGCCAGCCCAGGTGGAAGCCTGCAGTGCACCAGGGACCAGGAGCAGATACTGCAGGTGATTCGAGCAGGAACAGGCCCTGATAAAAACCAAGGCAACAGTTTGGTTCAGTGGACTTTTCTGGTACTCCCGAGGAGAGAATATGGAGAGATAGAGGCCAGTAAGGTCATTCCTGCTGGCCAAAACCTGCATCCGAGCTGAGGGAATCCTGCGAGTGTGCAGACGCAGTCAAAGCAGGCACAGATGCAGGAGTGGCGTGGAGTCTGCTCCCTCAGAGCCACAGCTTCTGACTGTGCCTAAGAGAGAGTGACGAGGGACTCACCAGGGGAAGGACTGACCGGCACTTGGCCCGCTTAGAGGTCATAGGAAGCTTCTAACTGTTGCACTTTCTCTTTCCGCACAGAGCCCTGAGCACTTGCAAAGACGAAGGCAAGAATGCAAGGCACCTGATTAGAAGCAGTAGGGAAAGGATGTGAGACTTTTTCCACTGTTGGAATTTGATTCCTAATTTCACATAGCATTGAGACCAGTCATGATAAACTGTATTCCAGAACAAGAGTTTTTGGGTTTTTTTGCATTGTTTTGTTTTGTTTTGTTTGAGATGGAGTCTTGCTGTGTTGCCCAGGCTGAAGTGCAGTGGCACCATCTCGGCTCGCTGCAACCTCTACCTCCCAGGTTCAAGCAATTCTCCTGCCTCAGCCTCCTGAGTAGCTGGGATTACAGGTGCACACCACCATGCCCGGCTAATTTTTGTATTTTTATTTAGTAGATAAGGTTTTCACATGGTGGACAGGCTTGTCTTGAAGTCCTGACCTTGTGATTTGCCCGCCTCAGCCTCCCAAAGTGCTGGGCTTACAGGCATGAGCCACTGCGCCCGGCCCAGAACAAGAGTTTTTAATGGTTCTTGGTTGCTTTAAGTTTACCATATCCAATGTCTGTTGTTAGCAAAAGGGGCACTCAGAACACCTCAGAATTCAGCTTATGAGCAATAAAAGGAGACGGACCCGTTATTTAAATTGCTTTTTTCTGGACTTTGGAGGTGGAAGACTTCCCAGGCAAGACTAATTCCTAGGCCCCAGGCAAGCTCTTGCTGCTCTTTCATCCTGGGAATTTCCAGAGCTTGCCTTCCAGAGACTGGTGAAATACATTGTCACATTTGGCAAATGTTTGGTTTGTACTATGAGAGCAATATGCATGATGTTTCATCCTAAAAACTGGAAATCCGATCTGGTCTCTTTAGTATAATCTCAGAAGTCATTGCCTTTGTATCTTGATGTGTGTTAGTGGAGAACACTGCCGGCAATGGAAATTCATTAACCATTAGAGAGTCGGCATTTAAAGTAATCATAGGTGATAAGTAAAATGTGAAAACTCAGGCTGGGCGCGGTGGCTCACGCCTGTAATCCCAGGACTTTGGGAGGCCGAGGTGGGCGGATCACGAGGTCAGGAGATCGAGACCATCCTGGCTAACATGGTGAAACCCCGTCTCTGCTAAAAATACAAAAAATTAGCCGGGCGTGGTGGCGGGGGCCTGTAGTCCCAGCTACTCGGGAGGCTGAGGCAGGAGAATGGCGTGAACCCGGGAGGCGGAGCTTGCAGTGAGCGAAGATTGCGCCACTGCACTCCAGCCTGGGCAACAGAGCAAGACTCCGTCTCAAAAAAAGAAAACTCAAAGATTAGGTTGATGCAGAACTTGATTACTTTAAAAGCCCAACAATATATATTCAGAATTTAAACTGCCATATAACATTCTTTCTCAAAATAACTCTCAAGAACTCAAAATATTTTTCATTTAAATGACAAAATATAAAGAAAGTTAGGAGACTCAAATGTTAGTCATGACTAACTTCCAAGATGAAGTTCATGCTAGTTGTCAACAGTAAAGTGTCATGTTGGTTTCAGCTCCAGAGACAGTGCTTTTCTTTGTTACAATAACTTCATGGGGCAGAGGTGACAGTTGGGAAATACTTCCTGCACAAGCAAACATTCTCAACCTAGACAGTGGGAATCCTGGCACTGGGCAGCATGACTGCAGGCTGCATGCGCAGTGAGAGTGGCCCGCATGTGGGAGTGGTGGAGAAATCAACGGTCTCTTGTTTCATAATTCTCCTCTGACTGCACTTGGCTTACTATGACATACCTCAGTTTTGTCAGCTCTCTTCCCACACTCCACATAGCAATGGTGAATTTCTGCCATTCCGAATTTCAAGTTGGGTTCAGTTACTCTTTCGTGTTTTTACGTTTTTGGATTGGATTTCTCAGATGTTTTCTTAGATTAATTTATATGGAGAATTTACAAGCCTTAACAAGAAAGTACAAGTTGTTTCAACACCTGAGGATACTCTGAAATTGCATCAGATTACTGAGAAGACACTAGATGGGCTCAAAAATAATCATTTCTCCTTCAAGGTCTAGAAGAGAAGTGCACTCTAGACTGCATTTAGACAGCAAAGACTGAGCTGGCTCTGCCTGCAGCCCTGGCAGGTCAGTGTCCCCTGGGAATGTGGAGAGGGCAGAGGCTGCAGATGTCTGTGGAGAGGAGCCACCCACAGTGAGAAAACTGCAGTCCTCCTGATCTTCCCTCAGGCAGCTGCTGAGAACTGACCTAAACTGGGCTGGTCACGTAGGATTCCCAGGGTTTTGCTGTTATTTTGTTTTTGGTAGATATAACAGAAATCATAGAAAAGTTGGTGAGGATTAGCTACTCCCTGACAACTTTATTATGAAAGTCATAGGTCAAAATCTGCCTTCCCTACAGACATGCGTTTAGCAGACGTTCATTAGCTAGTACATTAGCAGGAAGCAGGACACCTCGCTGTTCTCCTATGTTCCTGATGAATCGCATTTCTTCTTCCTTTCAGGCTCTCTGAATGAGTCATCCATCTGAGGTAGATAGGACAGTATTTCAGCCAAGACATAATTCCCACCTAAACTAATAATTCCATGGGGTAGCTTAATGGTGGTTTCCCATTTCTAGTTATTAGATCACCTTCTATAGAGTAGACTCCATTAACTAAATCTGTTCACTTATACACAAACATGGGTCCTAATGAAAAGGCAGGATAAATGTTCAGTTCTTTTCTTCTCTACCCAATTTTAAATATAAGGAATTGATGTGATTCATCACATAAACAGAATGAAGAACAAAAACCATATGATCATCCAATAGATGAAGAAAAAGCATTTGATAACAACCAGTATCCCTTCATGATAAAAAACACTCAACAAACTAGACATCAAAGAAACATACCTCAGAATAATAAAAGCCATATATGACAGACCCACAGCCAACATCATAGTGAATGAGGAAGAGTTGAAAGCATTTCCTCTAAAAACTGTAAACTTTAAAGACAAAGATGCCCACTCTTCCCACTTCTATTCAACATAGTACTGCAGGTCCTAATCAGAGCAGTCAGGAAAGAGAAAGAAATGACACCCAAATTGGAAAAAAGGAAGTCAAATTATCTCTGTTCACTGATGACATGATCTTATACCTAGAAATCTCTAAAGACTCCTCCAAAAGAGTCCTAGATTTGATAAATGACTTTGGTAAAGTTGCAGGATACAAAAGCAACATGCAAAGATCAGTAGCATTTCTATACACCTGTAACATTCAAGCTGAGAACAAAATCAAGAATGCAATCCCATTTACAATAGCCACACACATACACAAAATACCTAGGAATCCATTGAACCAAGGAGGTGAAAGATCTCTATAAGGAGAACTACAAAACACTGACGAAATTATAGATGAAACAAACAAATGGATAAACATTCCATGCTTGTAATTGGAAGATAAATATTGTTAAAATGACCATACTGCCCAAAGCAAGATACAGATTCAATGCAATGCCTACCAAATTACCAATGTCATTTTTCACAGAATTAGAAAAAAAATCTTAGAATTCATATGGAACCAAAGGAGAGTCTGAATAGCCACAGCAATCTTAAGCAAAGAGAACAAAGCTAGAGGCATCACACTACCTGACTTCAAACTATACTACAAGGCTATAGTAACCAAAACAGCATGGTACTGGCACAAAAATAGACACATAAATCAATGGAACAAAATAAAGTACCCAGAAAGAAAGCATCATACCTACAACCAGCTGATCTTCAACAAAGTCAACAAAAATATACACTGGGGAAAGGACACCCTATTTAATAAATGATGCTGGAAAACTTGGAGAGCCAAGTTTGGAAATGATGACACCCTATTTAATAAATGATGCTGGAAAACTTGGAGAGCCAAGTTTGGAAATGATGACACCCTATTTAATAAATGATGCTGGAAAACTTGGAGACCCAAAGCTCTCACCATATACAAAACTTAAGATGAGTTAAAGCCTTAAATGTAAGACCAGAAGCTATAAAAAAATCCTAGAAGAAAACCTAGGAAAAACTCTCCTGGACATTGGCCTAGGCAAAGAAGTTATCAGTAAGACTTCAAAAGCAAATGCAACAAACCAAAAATAGATATATGGGACTTAAATAATGCAAGAAACATCTGTACAGCAAAAGAAATAGGCAACAGAGTAAACAGACAATGGGAAAAGGACATGAACAGACATTTTTCAAAAGAAGATACACGAGTGGCCAAAAAACATGAAAAAATGCTCAACATCGCTGATCAGAGAAATGCAAAGTAAAACCACAATGAGATACACCATCTCACATCAGTCAGAATAGCTGTTATTAAAAGGTCAAAAAGCAACAGATGTTGGCAAGAATGCAGAGAAAAGAAGACACTTAAACACTGTTGGTGGGAATGTAAATTAGCACAACATTCATAAAAACAGGATAGAGATTGCTCAAGAACTAAAAATAGAGAACCATTCAATCCAGCAATCCCATTACTAGGTATCTACCCAAGGGAAAAGAAATCATTAAAAAGACACGTGCTCTCATATGTTTATCACAGCACTATTTGCAGTAACAAAGTTTGGAATCAATCTAAGTGTCCATCAACAGATGATTGGATTCAGAAAATGTAGTATATGTGCACCATGGAATACTATGCAGCCATAAAAAAAGAATGAAATCATATCTTTTGCAGCAATATGGATGGAGCTGGAGGCCATTGTCATAACTAAAATAACTCCAAAACAGAAAATCAAATACCACATGTTCTTACTTCTATGTGGGAGCTAAATAATAGGTACACATGAACATACTGACACTGGGAACTCCATTTATAAAATCTGATGGCTTTTTCCTGCCACCTTGAGAAGAAGGTGCCTGCTTCCCTTTTGCCTTCTGCCATGATGGTTAGTTTCTGGAGGTCTCTGCAGCTATGCAGAACTGTGAGTCAATTAAACCTCTTTCCTTTATAAATTACCCAGTCTCAGGTAGTATCTTCATAGCAGTGTCAGAACCGACTAATATGTTCACTGAAAGCCCAGACTTCACCACTATCCAAAATATCCATGTCACAAAACTGCACTTGTACCTCCTGAATCTATAAAAATAAAAATTAAAAGTTAAAAAGGAAGGAATTGGTGTAATAGCTATTTCAGTAGTGATAAATTATTTTGAATGTTTTCTGTTTTGAGCATAACAGACTCCTGAATTTTCATAGATTTAATGGGTTTCTATCAACTATGATACTATTCTCTTTCGCTCAAATGTCCTACCTTTGGCCACTGGGAGCCCTTTAATGGTGACCTTTTGATACAATCCCATCAATCTGAAAGCTTTCGTGTTTGCTGGTACAAGATTCTCCTGCTCACCCTGTCTTTTCCTTGTCCCCAACATGGAAGGAAGAGACATTTCTCCAAGGAGTTCTGGCTGCGTTTATGAGGAGTGGTGTTTGTAGCCAAAAGATGGACTCTTGGCACACTTACGCTATTAGGCGGACATTGCTTTTTGGCCATTTCAGTGGTCAGTGCTAGAAAGGTGTCTTTTTTAAAATCACAAGTTCATATTGATATTTACACTTCAACTCTAGTATTGTATTTCTACTTAATTTACTTGATTTTATAATTGAATCTCTTTTATACTGAATAGCATTATTTCTGATCACATAAATATTCTCTACTTACTTGCTTTAACAATATAGTTTCACAATAACAATACCATTATTAACACAAACAGTGAAACTACTAAATACAATTTCAAAATTTTATTTACAGTTTTTGTCTTTAGAATCCATGTCCTAAGCATGTGTGTTCCAAGTAATAATGGTTCTAAATTCACTTGAAATTACCTTTTACTGTGTGTTATGTAAGCACCTATCCAATGTAGACTTTAATGCAATTGTTAGTTTTTATTTTCAGTGTAAAGTTTCTGCTTTCTAGCAGCTGCTAGTTCTTAGAAGGCTAGTCCTGTTAGGTACAGGAGGTGGGAGGTCAGTCTACCACGAACTTCGAGACAATCTACCGTCAGAGCAATTGGGTCTAAATGCTTCCATTCTTCATCATTTAGTCTGTCTACACCAATGAGTTCTGGATAAACAAATCAATTTCTGCCTTCTCCTTTTTAACTCTTTTTTTTTTTTTTTCGAGACAAGGTCTTGCTCTGTGGCCCAGGCTGGAGCATAGTGGCGCAAACACAGCTCACTGCAGCCTCAAACTCCTGGGCTCAAGAATGTTCCCATCTCAGCCTCCCAAGTCACTGGGACTACAGATGCATGCCATCACGCCCAGCTCATTTAAAAAATTTTTGGAGAGATGCATGTCTCACTATGTTCCCCAGGCTGGTCTTGAACCCCTGGGCTAGCTAAAGTAATTCTTCCACCATGGCCTCCCACGGTATTGGGATTACAGATGTGAGCCACCATGCCTGGCCAGCCTTTTACTATTTAATTTCAAGTGCTATTAGAACCTAGATATTTTAACTTTTTAATCTTGTCCTGAAAGATCATCCTGTGAAGGTTTTATTCTGTGCCCTTTTTGAGTGATAACTTTTCTCTTTAAATAAAAATAATCATATCCAACCTATCTAAATAGCATGCTATGTATTTTCTCATTATGGCTTATACTGTATACATTCAAATAACTGTCAGTTAACATTCTCTTGACTTTATTCGAGTCAGTGTTTAATTTTTCCTATAGAGGGGCTTTAAGGAGATAGATGATGTTTTAAGATTCCACATGATGAGCAGAGGTGAAAAATATAAACGCAGCTCTTAAGGGTTTTGTCTGAAACCTCTTCACTTGTAAGTCAAAATGCAGACTTTGCTTTTTGTATGTGTTTTCTAGTACAACTAAATACCCTTCAGATAACTCACCTACCTCAAACCTTTTAGTGATTACAGTTATTTACTTAAAAAGACAAAACAAAAAAAGCCTAGGAGTTCTGCATGACTAAATGTGCTTAGTTTGCAACAGCAACACCATCGCTGAAGCATGAGTTTTGCAAGTTGGGTGAGGGTTAACACAGCCCAGCTGGATGCAGCACGCGTGGCACAGGGTGCCATTGCAGTGCCTGTGATTCTGGCTGGGAGAGATGAAGTGAGGGCACAGGGCGGGCCACTTCACAGAGGAGGACATGGGCTCTAGTGGCCCACCCCAGGCAGATGGTGTCTCTGGCTCCCCATGTGTCCAATGCACTTCTTACTCCATAGGGAACACACAGCCATCCAGATGCAATAAGGACTGTTCAGCAGATCCAGTTTTTACGCTTTCCTTCATTTAAAGTCAGCCACATTTATACTTTCTTCTAAAAGCACTTCTAATCAAGAATTATAATGTCATAATTTTTTACTATAAATTAGCATAAATTTCAAGTAAGTTGCTACTTAGAGCAAAAAGTGACTCCTTAAAAACAATTAGGGCACATTAGCCAATTGGGGGATGGGGAATGAATCAGGCAGTTACTTTTTCTAGACAAATGCTATGAAATCTCTCTAAGTCGACAAGATCAACTCTCAGTTGAACAAAGCAAGCTTACAGCATTTTAAAAATAGTCTGAAAAATGTATGAACATATGAGGGAAAACTCTGCAAATTTTGTTTAAAATTTAAAAGGCTTCCTTTCTATTTAGAAGACAGAATTACACAAGACCTCATAGAGAGGTGTATATTTTCTGATGTTGGCATGAGCTGCCTGAGACCAGCTACAACTGCGCAGGTGCGTCTCCCATCAGCCCCCGGCGCACTGAAAATGTATGCTTGTCTCTCTCCTCCATTGGATGGTAGGCTCTTTGGGAGCTCCTTAATGAACACTTGTCATAATCATGGACCATAATAATTTAAATAACCTTTATATGTTACTTTAGGACATTCCTGAACTTCCTGTTTATCAGCCTATCTCCCAACACACTTCCCTTGCAGCTAGAAAGCAGGGCATTGGCTTGGACTTGGCCAATAGGACACACCCAAATGAGACTTCAGTTTGGAAGTGTCACAAGGAAGCAGGCTCTCTGTGGAACATCCCTTTTGCCGGTCTACCTGCAGCTTCTGTGATGGAGAAGCGGTGGTTCTTTCCAGCAGCAGAAGTCCAGGCATTAACTGGGGGACAGCAGCAGTGAGGGCAGGTTCAGTCCCACAGCATGGAGGTGGGATTGGTCCTGGAAGCAAGACTTATTCCCACTCTGCAGCATGACTTTGGAAGCAACCTCCGATCCTTTAGTGAATCTCTTTGCTGCTGAAACTGGTCAGAGTAGATTCTGTTACTTGCAATTAAGAACTCTAACCAACCTCAGACAGGTAACAAGGCTTATCAGTCTTCATGTCCTCAGTTCCCAGAGGGAAATCAGTACTGGACATGGGCATGTGGAAATGCACAGTGCACTACCCTCAAAAAGGCTGAGGGATGGGGTTCCTGCCTTTGCAGGCCCAGAGACTTTTGTCAGTGCCGAAGGCTCTGCAAATATTTAAAATGTGCTGCAGGTGGAAAGTCCCAGTCCATTTGGGCTGCCATAACAAATGCCATAGACTGAATGGCTTTGGCAGCAAACACCTACTTCTCATAGTTCTGGAGGCTGGGAAATCCAAGACTGCCAGCAGATCTAGGGTCTGGTGTGGGCTGCTTCCTGGTTTGCAGAAGGCTGTCTTTTCGTGGTGGAAGGGTCAAGGGAGCTCTCCGGAGCCTCTTTTATAAGGGCACTAATCCCATTCACATGGGCTCTACCCTTATGGGCTCATCACCTCCCAGAAGCCCCACCTCCTAATACTATCGAATTGGAGATTAGTTTTCAAAATATGAATTTTGGAAGACACAGCATTTAGCTCTTAATATGAAAGAATAGAATAGAATTGCATTTAACATTTGCAGTAATAAATAAAAGTTTCACATGAACTGGAAAGTCTCATGTTGTGCATTTTGGAAGACACAGCATTTAGCTCTTAATATGAAAGAATAGAATAGAATTGCATTTAACATTTGCAGTAATAAATAAAAGTTTCACATGAACTGGAAAGGCTCATAAGTACATTCTCTAAGTTCAACATCAACAAAAGAGCCTGAGACTGAAATTAGAGCAGGAATTATTGGAACAAAGATGGAAGGAAGGGGGGGAAAGAAGGAAGGAAGAAAACGACAGGAGGCAGAAAGAGAGGAAGAAAGGAAGGAAGGAAGAAAGGAGGATAGGGAGAGAGGGAGGAAGAAAGTGTGGAAGAAAGAAGGAAGAAAAGAAGAAAAAGATGGAAGGGATGGAAGGAAAGGAAGGAGGAAGGAAGAAGGGAGAAAGGAAGAAAGGAAGGAAAGAAGGAGGGAGAGAAAGGATGAAGTTTAAAGGTTCCATATGATTCCAAGGCACTTAGCACAAATGGCTCCATTCTGGTTTGGTCTGCTTTACTGGGGCCTAGTGCAGGAGGGCTGTCCAAAACAGTGGCCTCCCATAAACTCTGTTTAACATTTATCAGTGTCTGTTTGTTACAAAGGATATTTTAAAGAATACAAATGCACAGCCAGATGAATGGATACATAGGGTGAGGTTTGGAAATTCACGAGCAGAAAAGTTTGTCTTCATGGAGTTGGGCTGTGCTACTATCCTGGTACATTGACATATTCTTGTTGATCAACCCAGAAGCTCTCTGATTCCAGCCTTTTTGTTTTTGTATGGAGGTTTCATTACCTAGACATGATTGATTCAATCACTGGCCATTGTGATTGACTCAACCTCCAGCCCTTCTCCCCTCCAAGGCTGAGGGTAGCCTAAAGCTGAAAGTTCCAACCCTCTAATCACACAGGGGTTACCCTGGCAACCCCCTCTAATGCTGAGGCTATCCAGGAGCCCCCAGCCCACAGTCATCTCACTGGCATACAAATAGATGCATCACTTTGGAGATTCTGTGGGTTTTTGGAGTTACATGCCAGGAAAAAGGAGAAAGACCAAATATATGTTTCCTATTATAAATCACAGTATCACAGAAGGCCAAGTAGAAAAAACAAAAAGCCCACACCTAGAAGTATTATAGCAACACCTAAAAATATCAAACACAAAGAATAAAATTCTAAAAGCTTCTAGAGAGAAAGAACTAATCACTTATAAACAGGGTGACTGAACACCTATAAATAAGTGGACCATGTGTCTTAACATACACAGGACAGTCCTGGGTTACACCCACTGACAAGCGTAATTATTACTAGTATCCCCTTCACGCTCCAAAGTGTCCTAGTTGAATGATAAGTTATATCATCATCCTGTCTACAAAGGAATAAGAGTAAGACTGATTGTGGACTCCTCAATAGCAAAATGGTACAAGAGAAAAACAGTAGAATGTTTTTAAAATATTAAAAGAAAAGAACTTTGAATACTAAAAGTTTTATCCAATCAAATTGTCATTAAATGTGAAAGTATAATAACAATATTCTCATTCATATATTTCCAAAATTTTGCCACATGTTGAAAACACTCTTAAAGGAAGGTTTAAATGAGAAAACAGCAAATCCAGGATATTTATACAAAAGACATAAAAATTAAGGGTAACTGAATACCTAGGTAAAGTTTATTATAGGACCTGTCAAAAGAAGAAGTTTTTAGACAAATTAAACAATTTAATTGAGCGAAGGACGATTCATGAATCAGCAGCAATAAACCAGTGGCAATTCAGAAAACTCTCCTCCTCGGAGTGGGCAGGGAGAGTTTATAGACAGAAAAGGGAAGTGAGGTGCAGAATGGGTGTGAATGATTTCAGCTTTGTGTTTGCTGTATTTGGATGCGGACTGATCAGCAGGAAGCCTGTGATTGGCTGAAGGCCACTGCTCAGATCGGCTGACACTCAGCTGTTTGTTACGAAGAATACTCCTTAATTAGGCTTTCAGTTTGTTTACCTACTAAACCAGTTTATACTTCCCTACTCAGGGATTTAAGCTATGGCAGCCTCAGGCCAAGTTTTAATTTAACAGATCAAAAAAGGAAAATGACTGTATTCATAACAGCCCAGAATTAAAATATCAACATGACACAGGGGCTGAGGGAAGAGGGAGATTAATGGACATAATCATGTGCAAAAATTCTTGACTTGAAAGCACTGTAGACATTGCTAAGTTTATTACTATGGGTAAATACACATAATTACAGGCTTCATATTAACTGTAACCACTATGAAAACAAAAGTGTAATGTTTAACTTTTAAACTGGCAGAATACTCAAAATGACCAAAAAGAAAGAAGGAAAAGAGACTTTAAATAAACAAAACAAAAATTCCATAAAGTAAGATATGAAATAAATAGCAAAAAATAAATCCTGTTTATGGTCATTGTGATAATTATAAATGACAAAAAAATTACAAAAACAAAAGATAAAGATCCTCAGATTGAATACTAAAAAAAACTTCAATGATATGATGTCCAGGAAGACTGAAAATAAAAGATGGAAAAAATAGCAAATGGAATTCAGCACCACATAATTTATCATGATCAAGTGAGATTTATTCCAAGAATGCAAAGTTGGTTCAATATTTGAAAAGTCATTAGTATCCTGTATGTATTTATAGATCCAGGGAAACAATACATAGTTATCCCACAGATGCTGTAAAAGCCTTGAACAAAATTCAAAACCCATTCCTGATAAAAATTACTCAACTGAAATTGACAGGTGCTTTATTAATAAAATGAACTATGTCTTATTAGTATACATGGGCACACTTCATTTTATTGCTTTCTGCTTTACCGTCTTTCACAGATACTGCTCTTTTTACAAGTTGAAAGTTTGTGGCAACCCTGCATTGGGCAAATCTATCAGTGCCATTCTTCCAACAGCATTTGTTCATGTTGTATCTGTCACATTTTGGTAATTTTCACAATATTTCAAGACTTTCCATTATTATAATATCAGTTATGGTGATCTGTGATCAGTGATCTTTGATGTTAGTACTGTAATTGTTTTGGAGTGCCAAGAACTGTGCTCATATAAGATAGGAAAGTTAATCAATATATGTTGTGTGTATTCTGACTGCTCCACTGACCGGCCATTCTCCTGTCTCTCTCTCCCTCTCCTCAAGCCTCCCCATAACTTAAATAACAATATTGAAATTAGGCTAATTAATAACCCTGCATGGCCTCTCGGCATTCAAGTGAAAGGAAGAGTCACATGTGTCTCACTTTAAATCAAAAACTAGAAATTATTAAGCATATTGAGGAAGGCATGTCAAAAACTAGCCCTCTTCCACTGAATAGTTAGCTACATTGTAAATGCAAAGGAAAATTTTCAGGAAATTAAAAGTAAGTGTCACTCCAGTGAACAAATGATCAAAAAATGAAAGTGCCTTATTTTTGATATGGGGAAAGTTGTAGTAGTCTGGATAGAAGATTAAACCAGCCACAATCCTCCCATAAGCAAAAACCTAATCCATAGCAAAGCCCTAACTCTATTAAATTCTATGAAGCCTGAGGGAGGTGAGGAAGCTGCAGAAGAAAGGTTTGAAGCTCGTTGGTTCATGAGGTTTAAGGAATGAAGCCATCTCCATAACATAAAAGTGCGAGGTGAAGCAGTAAATGCTGATGTAGAAGCTGCAGCAAGTTATCCAGAAGACCTTACTAAGATAATTGATGAAGGTGGCTACACTAAATAATAGACTTTCAATGTAGACAAAACAGCCTTAAATCAGAAGATGTCATCTAGGACTTTCATAGCTAGAGAGAAGTCAATGCCTAGCTTCAAAGCTTCAAAGGACAGGCTGACTCTCTTGTTAGGGGCTAATGCAGCTGGTGACCTTAAGTTCACACCAATGTTCACTTACCATTCTGAAAATCCAAGGGCCCTTAAGAATTATACTAAATCTACTCTGCCTGTGCCTGTACTCTGTATAAGGAACATCAAAGCCTGGATGATAGCACATCTGTTTACAGCATGGCTTAATGAACATTTTAAGCCCATTGTTGAGACCCACTGCTCAGGAAAAAAGATTTCTTTCAAAATATTACTGCTCATCAACAAGGCACCTGGTCATAGAAGAGCTCAGATGGAGAGGCACAAGATGAATGTTGTTTTCATGCTTGCTAACACAACACCCATTCTGCAGCTTATGGATCAAGGAGTCATTTAGACTTTCAAGACATATTATTTAAGAAATACCTTTTATAAGCCTACAGTTGCCATAGACAGTGATTCCTCTGATGGATTGGGGCAAAGTAAATTGAAAACCTTCTGGAAAGGACTGACCATTTTAGATGTCATTAAAAACATTCATCATTCATGAGAGGAGGTCAAAACATCAACATTAACAGGAATTTGGAAGAAGTTGATTCCAACCCTCATGGGTGACTTTGAGGGGTTCAAGCCTTCAGTGAAGGAAGTAACTGCAGATGTGGTAGAAATAGCAAGAGAACTAGAATTAAAAATGCAGCCTGAAAATGTGACTGAATTGCTCCAATCTCATGAGAAAACTTGAACAGATGAGGGGTTGCTTCTTACGAATGAACAAAGAAAGTGGTTTCTTGAGACAGAATCTATCCCTGGTGAAGATGTTGTGAACATTGTTGAAATGACAACAAAGGATTTAGAATATTGCGTGAACTTAGTTAATAAAGAAGTGACAGGGTTTAAGAGGACTGACTTCAATTCTGAAATAAATTCTACTGTGGGTAAAATGCTATCAAACAGCATTACATGCTATAGAGAAATATTTCATGAAAGGAAGAGTCAATCAATGCAGGAAACTTCACTGTTGTCTTATGTTAAGAAATTGCTGCAGCCACCCTAACCTTCAGCAACCACCATCCTGATCAGTCAGCAGCCATCAACATCCAGGCAAGGCCCTCCACTAGCAAAAATATTATGACTCACTGAAGGTTCAGATGATTGCTAGCATTTTTTAGTAATAAAGTATTTTTAAATTAAGGCATGACCATTGTTTTTTTCAGACATAATGCTATTGCACCCTTAATAGACTATAGTATAGTGTAATTATAACTTTTACATGTACTGGGAAACCAAAAAATTTATAATTGCAATTTTTTGCTTTATTGTGGTGATCTGAAATTGAACGAAGGTCACTCTAGTGAAGTTCTCCTGGGCATTTTTCTACTAAAGGTTTGGCCAACTTTCTCAAAACATAATAAACAGACATTACTGCACTTTGGCCCTCCAGAAAGTCAACGAGCAAAATGTCTTGGCATCCCAAAACACTGTTGCCATGACCTTTGCTCTTGACTGGTCCACTTTCGCCTTAATGGGACCACTTCGGCCTCTTGGTAGCCATTGCTTTGATTGTGCTTAGTCTTCAGTATTGTACTGGTGAAGCCATGGTTTATCTCCTGTTACAATTCTTTCAAGAAATGCTTCAGGATCTTAATCTCACTTGTTTAAAATTTCCATTGAAACCTCTGCTCTTGTCTGCAGCTGATCTGGGCATGAGGGTTTCGACACTCATTGAGTGGAAAGTTTGCTCAACTTTAACTTTCAGTCAGAATTGAGTAAGCTGAACCAGTTGAGATGTCTATGATGTTGGCTATTGTTTGTGCTGTTGTCAGTCCTCTTCAGTTAGGGCATGAACAGAATGAATTTTTTTCTCATAAATTGACATGGATGGTCCGCCACTGCTTCATCTTCAAATTAATCTTGTCTCTTCTGAAAACAGGTTATATCCATTTGTAAACTGCTGATTCCTTTGGGGCACTGTCCTGATTAGTGTCTTGTAAAGTATCAATGATTTCACCATTCTTGCAGCCAAACTCAGCATAAATTTGATGTTTGTTCTTGCTTCATTTTTTGTTTTTTCTTCTTGCTTTCAAGTCATGTTGCTCTGACAGGGGCTCTTTTCAAATTGATGTCTTATCCTTCTTAATGCCTCAAACTTGAACCTGTTCAGACATGTTATAACAAGTTAGTACAGGTTTATTTTGGTGCAAAAAGTTTAAAATTCATGCATAGTTTTTTCATAATACACATTTCCCATTAACATTTTGAAGACCTCTCATATACATATATATGTGCATTATATTATTTATTGCAATATTGTTTCTTACTGAAAAATATTAGAAACAATCTAAGTAGTCATTGAGAAAACTATAGAACAATGCAGTATTGTGCAGCTGTGCCAAAAAAGGGGAAAAAATCTCTGAAAACTGATATGAGCTGATTTCCAGGGTATACTGTTAAATGAAAAAAGCAAAATGAAAAGAATGTAATATATTATCCTTCACGTAAGAAAGAAGGGAGATGTAGGAAAGTATGCATGTATCAGGTCTCTTGTGCAAAAGAAACAGAGGAAGTAGAAACCAGTAATTAATGAGATCATTTACCTATAGGGGATGGGTGGGAATGGGGTGGAAAGAATGAGAGGAGAGAATGAGAGGAGACAAGGGGAAACTGATACCTCTGGGTGTAGCTTTTGATATAGTTATGGCTCTTAGAACAATGCTTTTCCATACTCCCCCAATAAATTAATATTTATAACCAACTGGGATGGGGGAGCCCAAAATAGAATTGTCATTCTGTGTTAAGCACTCAGTGTAGACACTTAGGAGGGAGGCTGTTGGCTTTCAACCAGAGATGACCTTCAGTGTTTATGCCAGTCCTGTGGGATGGTGGGATGGGCTTCTCCCCATAGGATCAGCTCCTTCAGTTCAGGCACCACTTCTTTTCCATTTTCTCTCTCTCTCCCTCTCTCTCTCTCACACACACACACACACACACACACACACTCTCTCTCTCTCTCTCTTTGCATCAACCAATGGGCAAAGGGTGGTAATTCCAGAAGTTCACTAGAGATAATCTCATCTTTCCCTCTTCTTCTTTTTTAAAAATAAAATAAGGAACCAAAGATCCAAGGACTTTCTTGCAAGTGACTTTCTTGCAGTTTCATAGCTGGTTAGGAGCTGAGCAAATGGCAATGAATTAACAAACCCTTGTCCCAAGCACCCTTCTGTGACATCAAGAGTCCCCTCTCACTACCCACATTTCCATCTAGGCATGTTCATGGAGGCAGAGGGCAGTTAAGGGGTAGATTTTCTTTATTTGCATCAAGGCCATTTGTTAATCACTGCAGAAGAATTGGTTGCAAACAAAAAATGGAAGCTTTATACTTTTTCCAGTCTATGCCCCTGCCTTACCTAGCCCAGACACTACATCTGAGGAGTTGAGATTTACAAACATTTGGGAAGTTTTTGCCCTAGAGTTTTCTGTACATTTTAGTAGATAAAGGGGATATTCCAATAAGGAGAAGGTATGTGTTTCGGAAAGTACTTTTCTACTCCTAACAACAAACGCCTCAGAATTTGAATTTGAAGTCCCACTGCCCTGGGGGACAAAGGTCCTCTGAGTCAGAAGCCACTAACCAGATGATCCAGCAGCAGGACTGAGGGTACCAGGGCAAGCACCAGCCCATGCCATCACCCACACAGAGCCCCAGGTATGCTTGACCATTGAGGGCCAGGAGGTTAACTGTTTCCTGGACACTGGTGCGGTCTTCTCAGTCTTACTCTCCTGTCCTGGACAATTGTCCTCCAGATCTGTCACTATCTGAGGGGTCCTAGGACAGGCAGTCACTTGATACTTCTCCCAGCCACTAAGTTGTGACTGGGGAAATTTACTCTTTTCACATGCCTTTCTAATTACGCCCGAAAGCCCCACTCCTTTGTTAGGGAGAGACATTCTAGCAAAAGCAGGGGCCATTATACACTAGAATTAGAAGGAAAAAGGTTAAATATACAGACTCTAAGCATGCTTACCTAGTCCTCCAAGCCCACGCAGCAATATGGAGAGAAAGGGAATTCCTAACTTCCGAGGGAACACCTATCAAACATGAGGAAGCCATTAGGCCCCCCAAATTCTCTTTACCTCTGAATCTACGTCCTCTGATCCCTGCCTAAAGATAATTTTGTGGGGAAGAGGATTTGCTTGTGTCTCTCCAGGTGACACTCAGGTGTCTGTGTGGGTGCCCACCAACCATCTGAAGATCTATCACGAGCCACGGCATCTAGTGGACCCACATGTAGAGTACAGTGCGAATTGAAGGTTTGAAAAGCCTCGATTTGCTTTCTCTATGCCTTCTGTTAATCAGAAAAGGCCTGTTTCTCATTATCAGTGGCCTCCCGGCTACAGCCACAAAAGTTTTTGCTTCTGTTTCAGTAGATTTACTAACGTGGGGGTGAGGGTATGCTTGTGTTTTTGCAGGAGATGAACAAACCGTGTGGATACCCTCAAGATGTGTACGACCATGGAATGGGAGACTGGAGGTACCCATGGATCCCAACCTTGGACCGGGTTCCCCCAGTGTGAGCCATGAGCCAGTTGAATCTGAATGCGAAGAAGGAATGAGGACCGACCGGAGTCACGATGCTTAACGGGCCAATGCTTTCTGACTCAGCTCCTCTCTACCCTGAATATGAGAGACCCTAACAGTTAGACAGGAATATCGTCACCCCTATTCAGCATGAAGAAGTTACAGAAGATGGACCTTCATCCTTCTGCAACCCCTAGGATTAAGGGTCTTCTTGTAAAAGGGAAAGGGGAGATATGTGGGAAGCATTCAAACCAGAGCCATGCTAGTAATAATGATAGCTAGTAATAATGATATCTTCTCTTTTACAATAAAGAGAAGGGGGGCATGCTGGGAAAAAGCTGAGTGTTGGGGGGAAACTGAGGCAGGGCTTGCATAATGTCCTCTGGAATGTGTCTAGACTTGCTGGCTCCTTGCTTCTAGCCTTCCTAGGCTCCTAGGCACCTATTCCCATTATCTCAAGTAGCAGAACATGTTCCATATAAATGCTAAACTGTCACAGCTGTAAATCATGTGCTTAATGCAACATGACCTCCACATTCTCACCACCTGTTTCTTAGTTGGATTACCAATAAACACTGTGGGCTCCCAGAGCTCGGGGCCTTCACAGCCTCCGCAATAGCAATGGCCCCTGTTGTCCCACATTTCTCTCTCAAACTTTTTTCTCAATCTTTTGACTCTGCTGGACTTTGTCACTCCCACAACCTGGTGTTGGGTCTGATCACCCCAACAATTTTGTGCATGTCCTTGTGTTCAGGAGTCATTGGCTCTTGAAAAAACTATGTGGCCAGGAAGCAGGAAGAGCTAGGAAGTAAGGTTTTTTTGTTTGTTTTTTGAGACAGAGTCTCACTCTGTTGCCCAGGATGGAGTGCAAACGAGCGACCTCAGCTCACTGCAACCTCCACCTCCTGGGTTCAAGCGATTCTCCTGTCTCAGCTTCCCAAGTAGTTGGGACTACAGGCGCCCGCCACCATGCCCAACTAATTTTTGTATTTTTGGTAGAGACGGGGTTTCACCATATTGTCCAGGCTGGTCTCAAACTCCTGACCTTGTGACCCACCCGCCTTTGCCTCCCAAAGTGCTGGGATTACAGGAGTGAGCCACCGCGCTCGGCCTATACTTGAAAATCTTGAAAGCAGTTATGTCAGATATGTGAACCAGAGAAGCCCATCTTGAATAGCGGCTGGGTAAAATGAGGTTGAGACCCACTGAGCTGCATTCCCAGACAGTTAAGTCATTCTAAGACACAGGATAAGATAGAAGGTCAGCACAAGATACAGATCATAAAGACCTTGCTGATGAAACAGACTGCAGTAAAGAAACCGGCCAAATCCCACCAAAACCAAGGTAACAAGAGAGACCTCTGGTCGTTCTCATTGCTACACTCCCACTAGCGCCATGGCAGTTTACAAATGCCATGGCAATATCACGAAGTTAGCCTATATGGTCTAAAAAGGGGAGGCATGAATCCACCCCTTGTTTAGCATATCATCAAGAAATAACCATAAAAATGGGCAACCAGCAGCCCTGGTAATAGACAGCCCTGCTCTGCCTATGGAGTAGCTATTCTTTTGTCCTTCTACTTTTTTTTTTTTTTTTTGAGACGGAGTCTCGCTCTGTCGCCCAGGCTGGAGTGCAGGGGCGCGATCTCGGCTCACTGCAAGCTCCGCCTCCCGGGTTCAAGCAATTCTCTGCCTCAGACTACCGATGTTCCTCTACTTTTTAAATAAACTTGTTTTCACTTGCCCTGAATTCTTTTTGCGCAAGATCCAAGAACCCTCTTTTGGGGTATGGATCCGGACCCCTTTCCCGTAACACTTACGGACATACTCTCTTATTCAACAGAAACATAGTTTTATTCTATAGATTTTACAATCTATTTTCTGACCTTTTAAAGTTAAGGACATAAGGATAAGACTTCTCATATTAGTATGAACAGGCCACATAGAAATATCTTCTGCCTAAAGGAAAAGGATGCTGAGCATTGGACCGTTTCATCACAAGAAGGCGCGACTTGCTTTCCTAGGGTTCCTGTGGTATTTGTTTTTATCTAATTGAGTTTAGATAAAATCTCTACTGAGGCAGTAGGATGGACAATGAAACTTTTTGAGGATCCACCTTTTAACTGAAAGATTTTAGGGAGGAAATGGAGTGGGCAAAGTAATCAAAAGAACAGGCATTCTCATTACCATCTTACCAAGCCTAGAAGCAAACAGAAGAGCAAAACCTATCACTTAATGACTTCTGGAGACCATATTAGACAGGCAGCCCTGATTTTTAATCTCCTTTCTTAGCATGGTGGAAAATGAGAGAGAGAAAAATGCCACTTCCCCATTTCTTAGTGTTTGTTCATCCAGCACGAGCCGGAGAACAGTAAACGCTTGTTCAATGGTTTCACTGTTCACACAAAACTGGAAAAATGGGTTGCATTAGCTATTCCTTTTATAAATAAGATTTCACTCTTTCAAACTCCTAGCTGACCAGTGAACTGAGTAAAGAAATAGCTCTCACAAGGGCAAAGGAGTGAGGCAGCCTCTTGCTATTTCTCCTGAGACGGTCTGAAATACAGCTCCTCGCTTTAATCCTGAGGCAGGTGTTTGTGTCTCCGGATGAGGACACCCAGCTGGGAAGGCTAGCGACGCCCCCAGGGCCACCTCATGGGTGGCAGGGCGCTCTTCGGAGCACGGCCACCTGCCCGCAGGAGCCCTCCGCTCTCCGATTCCAGGCGAGGGGAGGCGCATTCGGGGCCTCGACTTCTGGGAACCCGGGGTGCCGCGGACCCGCCCAGCAAGGCCCCTCGCGGGGCCCGGAGGACGCCAAGTGCAGGGTTCAGTGGTCGTGCCCCAGTCGGGTCTACACTCAATGGCTGTGCGCCAGCTGTGGGCAGGGGGTCCACACCCGCGCTGTGTCCCCGCGCGTTACCACGGCGCACCTCGCGGACAGTGGGAAGGGATAGCCCCACCATCAGCGCCCACTCCGCGGACTTCACGGACCACTACCGGGTCCGAGAGAAAGGCTGGTGAGCATGCGCGCATTGCTACGGCGGCCGCGCTGACGCACAGGAAGCGGGCGGGACCGGACTTCCGGCTGGTCTGTGGGGTTTCGGGTTCGGGGTTTCCTGGTGGGCGTCAGGGGCAGGCAACAGAGTGGCGGCCGCTACGGCCCTGTAACAGGGCCATGGAGAAGCTGCGGCGAGTCCTGAGCGGCCAGGACGACGAGGAGCAGGGCCTGACTGCGCAGGTAGCGAACTTGCGCCCTCGTCCAGTCCCGGGGCTGCCCGCTGGCCCCGGCCGCACTGAGGACCGGCCGAGCGGGTGGGGTGGGTGCGAGGCCGGGGGTCTGGGACTCCTCTGCCCGGCTGGTTGATTTAGGAGGGCTCCGCCTGCTTCCTGGGTAGAATTTGAGAACTTTCCAGTTTTCCATGCGGTCTACTTAAACCCACTTTGAGGCCCCCCCCCGACTCTCCCATCTGGCCTTCTGACTTAGGAATCCGCTAACGTCTGCCCTCGCTTTCCCAAATAATCCATCGCTCCCACGTACTATTTGGTTTTCTGAGCCTGGTGCGGGGTCTGGCCTCGGGCTGTGCAGCGTAAGTAGCTATGCAGGGCATTTATCCTGCAAGCTGCAGTGAGCCGAGACCCTAAAGCTTGTTGCATCTGTTTGTCTTTGGAGGTAAAGGTGGTGTTATGTGTGTGTTTGCTGGGGGGTGGTCTTTTGGAAATAGGGAGACTGGAGGAAAAATAAACAGGACATTGGTAAGTGAAATAATATTGAATTAAAATTTTTCTGTTAAGGCAGTGAGCCCTGGTAAGAGATTTTTTTTTTTTTCTTAATAAAAGCCCTTGTGTCTGCGCCTTACCAGCGAGACTTGATAAGGGTTACTTCCTCCAGCAAGAAGGTTAAAAGTAGCAGTGGAGCAGGAACTGCGGTGTAAGTTTTTTTGTTATTGCATGCGATTATATTGCACGTTATTGTGTGCTGTCGCAGAAGTTGGACGTTTAAAATTGAATTGTATTTCATAAGGATCTTCTATTTGTCTCTCCTGACTTCCTTGTCATTATACTTACTCAGCACTTGGTGTGGGTAGAGTTCTGGGCTACAGTTTTGGGTTCAGAGAGTGTAAGACAAGTATCTGTTCTCATTGCACTCTGTAACTCTGTATATTACCACAGCCACATGTGGCCAATGAATTTTTTTTTTTTTTTTTTTTAGATGGAGTCTTGCTTTGTCGCTCAGGCCTGGAGTGCAGTGGCGTGATCTCGACTCGCTGCAACCTCTGCCTCCCGGGTTCAAGCAATTCTCCTGCCTCAGCCTCCTGAGTAGCTGGGATTACAGGCACCTGCCACCATGCCCTGCTAATTATTTTGTGTTTTTAGTAGAGATGGGGGTTTCACCATGTTGGTCAGGCTGGTCTCGAACTCCTGACCTCAAGTGATCCGCCCACCTTGACCTCCCAAAGTGCTTGGATGACAGGCTTGAGCCACTGCGCCTGGAGCAATTAAATTTAAATTAATTAAAATTAAATAAAATTTAACATTCAGTTCCTTAGTCACAGCAACCACATTTCACATGTTCAGTAGGCACATGTGGTTAAAGGCTACTGTATTAAACAGCGCAGATACAGAACATTTGCATTGCAGAAAGTTCTATTGGACAGTGCTACTCTAAACTTTGGAGATGCAAAGGTAATATCACTTATCTTGAGCCCACTGTCTAGAGGGGAGAAAGATATGTGGAGAAGTAATCAATCAAAGATTAGAGTGACTGGCTGTATAGACAAGTGCTGTGAGTTCAGAGGAGGTGATCGTTCATTAACAAATATTCAAGTTCCTGCATATGTTTGACATTGTTCAAGATGCAGGTGTTAATAACAGTGACCAGTGCAAATACCTCTTTCACATGGAACTTAAATTTTAATTGGAGGAAACAGTGAATAAACAAGTATATAATGTGTCAGACAGCCACAGAAAAAGTCAGAGCAGGTTGAGGAGGTTGGGGTTGCCATATTACTTAGATAAGGCCTCCCTGCCAGGGAGTCATGTGAGCACAGCTCAGAAGAGCTGCTGGGATGTCTGAGCATCCTGTGAATAAAAGCCTCCAAGGCAGATACAGAGTCCCAAGTGGTGTGTGGTCAGCATGTTCAGGGCCAGTAAGGAGGCCAGAGGGGCTCTAGCAGCGGGGCAGAGAAGAGGGACAATTGTAGAAGAAAAGGTGAAGCAGGAAGGGGGATTCTCAATTGTGAGGGTTCTCATAGGCCATAGAAAGGATTTTAGCTTTACTCTGAGTGTGATAGGAAGCCTTTGGGTTTAGAGCAGAGTGGTGGTGTGACCGACTTGGATTTTAAAGGATCACTCTGGCAGCTCTGTGGAGAACAAACTGTAGAGGCAATGTTAGAAGCCCAGAGACTGGGCTGGAGACAAGTACAGTTGTCCTGGCAAGAGATGACTGTGGCTCAAATCAGTGATAGAAGTGGTTTAAAGAGCAAAAAAGCCTGTTTAAAAAACAAAAAAGTGGTCAGATTCTGTAAATGGTCTGAGTGTACAGCCAGCAGGCCACACTGTTGACGGATTGGATGTGTGAGAGTGGGAGGAGGCAAGGATGCCTCATGGCATTCGACCTGAGCATCTGGAGAGGTGGAGTTGCCATTAAGTGACTGTGGGAGGAGCAGGTTCAGGGAGGAAAATCATTTCAGTGTGGACGTGAAGTCTGAGATCCAGGTAGCATCCAAGTGGAGATGTGAGGAAAGCAGTTGGACGTAACACTGTAGAGTTTGTGGGAGGAAATAGGAGAGAGATGAGATCGTCAAGATGAGGTCCAAGGTTTGACCTCTGGTTTTCTCTAGGTGTGTAGAAGTTTAGAGGATGAGCAGAAGCCGGCAAAGACAGCTGAGAGGCGTGGCGAGAGAAGGAGGAGGAGAACCAAGAGAGAAGGATGCCCCAGAAAGTGAGGGAAGAGAGTGCTTTAGGAAGGGGATGGGACCCAGTACTGTTGATGGGTCTCAGAAGTTAAGAGCAGATTACCCGTGGAGGTTATCAGTTGTCACTTCCACGAGAGCAGTCTTGGTGGCTGGATGGGGTCAGAGGCCTGATTGAAGTCAGGGGAGAATAGAAAGAAGATGGAGATGGTATGGCCATCTCAGTGATTTTTCCTGTGGAGCAAAGAAGTGGGTGGTAGTTGAAGGATGCAGTGGGGTCGGGGAACATGTCATTTTCCCAAGGAAAATACTGGATGTTTCTGTGCATTGGGAATGGTCCAGGAAAGGGGAAAATTATGGTGCAGGCAAGAGGGAATTGTTGCTAGGGGGCTATTGAGGAGTGACTTGGAAAGCAGGTTTCTCTAGGGAGGAGGAAGGGGCAGGAAGTGGCAGTGAGGAGGGCAGACACCTAGCTCACTGCCTGTCCAAGTGGTACAGGATTCACAGGGGAGAGCCCTGGTCCTGGAGACTAAATTTCAAACCTAGCCGGAAGGTGAGAGGATCATCAGAGAAGAGGGTGAGGACATAGGGAGGTTTGCTGTTGGTTTTTGGAGATGGGTAGGAGATGAGATGGGATTAAAGGCGCACAGACCTGAATGGGGTGAGGGATGACCTGAGAGTGTTGCACGTCTTGTGCAGCAAGACGTAACCAGGATGGCGGGCACATTGGAATTGGGTCTTGACAGGGATGGTTCTAGGCCAGTTGAGGAGTTGGGCGAGGCAGTGAAGGTCATAGGGGAGCATCCTGACATCCAGGCTGCATCATCCTCCTATGCAGGCGCTTTGAGCCCCGGGGAGAGGCACGGTAGCCAGAGTTCTGGGACCTCTCCTTCGAGATGCCTGGGAAGAAGTCAAGGAGGGAGAGATATTGAGCCAGATCTTAAGAGAGTTGATCATATTCCTCCCCTGATCACATCCTTCATTGACTTCCTGCAGCACTTGAGTAAAATCCAGATCCCTCCCTTGGCCTCTCAGCCCTGCACTGCTTGTCGGCCCGCCTCCCCACCCTCTCCCCAGTGCTTGCCTTGCCCTGCCCTCTTTCTCCTCCTCAGTTGGAGCCATTTTCTTCTGCCTGGGAGACCTGGCAGTTGCATTTCTTTTTTCAGGAATGCCCCTTCCTGGCTCTTTTCAGAGTTGGATTGGTCACTTCCTGATGTCTTCACTTGGTCACCTCTTTAGAGAGGCTCTTCCTGACCCAGTTACTCTGCCCCTATTTATGTCCTTAGTAGAACCTGCCTCATTAGTTTATTGCCCATTTTCCCCCATCTGAATGTAAGTACGCTAGGTGCTGTCTTATTCCTTTCTGTGTATGTAGAACCTACCAAGTACCTGGTGTCTAATAGCTGTTCATAACTACTTGTTGAACAAACAGATGAGTGAGTTGTTTGGATTTGGGTAACTACCAAGGAGAGCTGAGGGCATTGGCATAAGGTAATTGTTGGGAGTTAGATGACAAGAACATAATGCCGGAACATTCTACAGAGTTCTCTTGTGGGAGTCCTACTAACCCCTGCTGACAATTTGCGAGATGTCTTAGTCCATTCAGCCTGCTGTAATAAAATACCTTAGACTTTGTGATTTATAAACAACAGAAATTTATTTCTTACGGGTTTTGAGGCCGGAAGTCAGAGATCAAGGTGCACTCATGGGTTCTTGGTGAGGCCTCCCCCTTCCTGGTGTCACACTGTTGCCTCTGGTTATATCTTGACATGGCAGAGAGCAGAGAGCTTTAGTCTCTTTCTCGTCTTATTAGGGCGTGGATCCCATTCATGAGGACTCCATCCCCATGACCTGATCATCTCCTGAAGGGCCATCTTCCAGTACCATCACCATGGGGTCGAGGATTTCAGCAAACACTCAGACCATAGCACACAGGTTGAGACAAGTCATTTGCTTGTTGACTGAGTTATTTCATATTTACAAATGGCATTAATTTATCATGTTTCACTTCAAAGATCACCGCGTGGAAGATGGTAATAAGAGAAAAATGCCTAATAAACAATTTAAGCTCTCTCTGCCTTTCCCACTTAGAAGATTGTAAGTATACCTACCTTATCTATTTCCCTCACTGTTCCCATGGTAGGTGTGGGTGAGGTGGTTAGGGGGAGTGTAGAGAAACACAAGGAGGAAGCTGTCTTTCCAGGTAGAAGGAGCTAAGGCGGCAGAGGAGACCCCAAGCAGGAGCAGCTGGCGAGGCGGGAGGACAGTCAGGAGAGCCGGTGGGACATGGGAGTTGAAGAGAACATTGTAAGCAGGAGGGAGTGCCAAAGTGTCCTGTGCTGTTGAGTTGGAAAGGATACTGATGCTTCAAAAATGTTCCTTGGAATTAAGGACACGGAAGTGACTTGTGTCTGCAGGGTTTCAGCCAGGGGAGGGCTGAAGCTAGAATGGTCAAGGTGAGCTTCCCAACCACTGTGCCAGGCGTGTGCCAGCTGGGGGTCCCGTCTACTCCTACAGCCTCAGATAAGGATTCCTGGGAAATAAGGCACTGGGCTAGGAAGGGAACTACATGAAAAAGTGTGGTGGGCCGAAGGGCCTGGGACCTTGACTGCACCTCCCCAGGGGCTACACTGCCTGGGCTGTGCTCCAAGTCTGGTGTGCAGAGGGAGCTTTCCCCGGGAGGCCTGCCTGCTAGAGCCTGTGTAATTGCCTGTGGCCAGCCCCAAAATCACTCACAGTGCTGTGGTCTGAATGTCTGTGTCCCCCCCAGAATTCCTATGTTGAAACTTAATCCCCAATGTGATGGTATGAGGAGGAGGTGCCTTTGGGATGTGATTAGGAATGGGTTTCATGCCCTATTAAAAAAGAGGCCCCAGGCCACATGCAGTGGCTCATGCCTATAATCCCAGCACTTTGGAAGCCTGAGGCAGGAGGATTGCTTGGGCCCAGGAGTTCAAGACCAGTCTGGGCAACATGGCGAGACCCCGCTTCTACAAAAAATTAAAAAATTAGTTGAGCGTGATGGTGTGTGCCTGTGGTCCCAGCTACATGGGAGGCTGCGGTGGGAGGATTGCTTGAGCCTGGGAAGTTGAGGAAAAGAAGGATCCATTGCCCTTTCCATCGTGTGAGGACTCAGAAGGTGTCATCTGTGAACCAGAGATGCCTCACCAGACGCCGAATCTGCTGGCGCCTTGATCATGGACTTCCAGTCTCTAGAACTGAGAGAAATAAGTGTCTGTTGTTTATAAGCTACCCAGTCTACAGTGTTTTTTTAAGAGAATTAAATAGTTTATTAGCTACATACAATTATGGATGATACACAAGCTTCATTCCCATCTATAATGTTATCTGGTACCATTATTCAGTTTAGATATATTGCATGGGATGTGCCAACAATCATTTTTATAACTAATAATTCTGTGACTTTGCTTGGGTGATCCCCTTTGGTGGTGAACTTCAGGTCACAACAGTAACTGTCAGTTCAGCTACACCGAGCTCACTGAAGACAGTGGCTTCTCCACCCGAGCAGAGTGTAAATAAGTTCCAAGTAGAACCTGGCATCACCCTGAAGGAATTCTGACTTCACACTCTTGGGGGAGTTTACCAAGATGGCTTCCGAGGAGACTAACTTTACACAGCACGTTTTTTAAAAGGACACATTTATTCAGTCTCATGATCAGACTATTACATTTAGCAATCAACAGCATGAGTGCAAAAGAAAAAAATTACATTAAAACCCTTTGTTGGAATGCTTGGTACTTTCCACAGAACAGAAACGAAAATAACCTGTTAATAAAATTAGTCACAAATACAGTCCTGGAGTTTTTTGCTCATACACGTGAGTATTGTCTAAAACATATCTTCTTTGTAGCAGCTGGGCTCTGCCACCACTGTGCTTGGCTGACTGAGTTCACAAATCTCTTGTAACCTGTAGCTTCCCTATCGCTTCTCTGGCTCTCCTTTCCGGCTAAACTTTGTTTCCTGGCAGTGATTAAAATCTTCTGCCAGTGCCATGGCTACTGCTGCTACTAGAACCACCATAGCCACCTTGGTTTTGTGAACCCATTTATGCCTGGTATTCCATTATTGGAACGCTAAGCATGTGGGAGTTATTTATGTTCTCCTGTTCAAGGTCATCGCCAAGGTCTGATTTTTCAAATTCAAAAAGTGCAACCTCAGGCATAAATGGGTTAAAATCTTCTGCCAGTGCCATGGCTACTGTTGCTACTGGAACCACCGTAGCCACCTTGGTTTTGTAAAGTAAAGTAAAATTTGGCAAAGTATTGTTCTCCACCACCATAAGGGCCAGAGCTTCTGCCTCCAAAGTTTCCTCCCTTTATGGGTCCAAAATTTGAAGGCTGATTGTTGTAATTGCCAAAATCATTGGAGCTTCTGCCACCTCCAGAATTGATTCCATCATTACCAAATCCATTACAGCCATCCCTGCTGCCACTGTATCCACCGCCACCGCTGTGGACAGCTGCCACCAAAGCCATCATGACCACTGAAATTTCCTCCATGACCGAAGTTGTCATTCCCACCAAAACCACCTCCACAACCACCACCAAAGTTTCCAGAAGCACTTCGACCTCTTTGGCTGGATAAAGCACTAGCCATCTCTTGCTTTCACAGGACTTCCCTAACTTCACAGTTTTGGCCATTCACAGTATGGTATTTCTGAGTGACAGTCTTGTCCACAGCGTCGTGGTTGTCAGAGGCACGAAGGCATAGCCCCTTTTCTTGGCACTACCTCTGTCAGTCATGATTTCAGTCACTTCAGTTTTTCCATACTGTTCAAGATCTCTTAGGCGATGTTCTTCAATGTCTTCTTTAATGCCGCCAGCAAATATCTTTTTCACAGTTGGGCACCTCGTCTTTGAGAATCTTCTCGAGACAGCCCTTTGGTTCCACAACTCTTCATCCACCTTGTGTGGCTTTGCATTCATGGCGCATCCACCTCCTTCACAGCGGCATACAGGACAAACCCAAAGCCCCAGAGTGCTTGGTGCTTGGATCTCATGACTACACAGTCCACGAGCGTTCCCCATCGCTCAGATTGGCTTCTCAGGTTCTCATCAGTTGTTTCAAAGCTCAGCCCTCCAGTGCCGAGATTCCACAGTCGGCCCTCCAGTGAGGAGCTTCCACAGCTGTTTAGGCTCTTTGGGAGACTCTGACTTACACTGGAGTGCAGTGGTGTGATCTCGGCTCACTGCAACCTCTGACTCCCGGGCTCAGGTGATCCTCCCACCTCGGCCTCCCAAGTAGCTGGCACTACATGTGTGTGCCCCCATACCTGGCTAATATTTGTATTTTTTGTAGAGATGGAGGACTCGCCATGTTGCCCAGGCAGGTCTTGAACTGGGTTCAAGCAATCCGCCTGCCTCAGCTTCCCAAAGTGCCAGGATTACAGGCGTGAGCCACAGTGCCTGGCCTATGGTATTTTTGGTGTAGCAGCCAGCACATAGATTTTTAACCAGGAGCTGGATCCCTTACCCAGCACTTAGAACAGGCACATAGCAGCACTCAGTATTTATTGAGCCAGTTAGTGGATGGATGGATGGATGGATGAATGGATGTATGAGTGTACAGAGGCTGGAAGGTGAAGTGAAGTAAGCTTTCTGTTTAAGATGGAAGGGACTTCATGTTTAAAAGTTGATGGATGCATTTTCAGAGAGTGAGAACATGTTCACTAGAGGAAAAAGCCCAATAGCATCAATTCCCTGAGCAGGTAAGGGGTTGGCTGTAAAGCAGGGTGGACAGGTGGATCTCAGCTCTGTGGGAACCAGGAAAGGACAAGAGCATGGGTGTTCTTAGTTGGTGTGTTTGGTGGTTTGGTGGTTTGGTGGCAGCAGGAAGGTAAGGGAGTTCACACTGATGGCTTTGGGTTTCTGTGTGTGAAGTAGGGGAAGTTGTCTGCTAAGAATGGAAGTGTGGGGCAGGAAGTGGAGGTTTGAAGTGGTTTAGAGTAAAATGGACGTTGAGATAAAGCAAGAAGCCTTAGATTGCCAGGCAGCAATGTGCAGGCCATGGGGGGCTGATGAGGACTGGCTCAGGACCCCCCTGCCCTGTGCCTGACTCCACCCAGCAGTGCTCAGCTCAGCACCTCCTGGAGCAGGAGGAGGGAAAGCTGCACTCCGGTGGGATTTTACCAGGTGGAGGCAGCGGAAAGGGAATTTGAATGTCCTGTTGAAGCCGCTGAAAAAACGGAGAAGGGCCGGATGAGGAGTTCAGGAGGCCAAGGAGTCAGCACGGTGGGGCCGAGGAACCAGCCTGCTGCCAGAAGAAACGGGTCGGAGAGCGGCAGCCGGAATTTTGGCGATGGTGTAATTTCGAGCAGGAAGACTGCCCTGGGCTGGGTCACTGAGTGGAGTGGAGGGGAAAGGCCAGTGGAGATCAGGGGATGCTGCACAGAAAGGCCAGGCTGCCCACGCACACGTGGAACCCGTGCCGCATGCTGCAAGGATCTGGATAGGCCCCGCGATCAAGAGTCCTGAATGAGAAGGAGAAAGTGTGGACCCCAGCAGCGGGTGTGGGGAGCGGGCGGTTCTGCCTGGAATGGGCCTGAGGGTCTGCGGATGTCTGTTTCTTTTTCTCACTTGTCTGCACAACTTTGACTTTTTATACCCACTGCTATTTTGAAAAAGGAGTGGGAGGAATACTGGATTCAGTGTCATCATTAGTGGAAAGCCACAAGTGTTTCCTATGTTTAGATGGCAGAAGCCCAGGGGCAAGGCTCAGGTCCTTCCAGCTGTGCTGTCTCCTGGCGATCCGTGGATTAGAGCTGTTCCTCAGCTTCTCCGTCACTTAAAGGGGTGGGTTTCGGCTGTGCTGTGGGAGCCACTCATTCAGCCTTCATGTTGTTGCTGCTAGGACTACATTTTCCTCTATTATGTTTCTCACCTGCTTTTGTAAAAAATTAATGAATGAAGTTCTAGTTGCAAGCAGTGCTGTGCTTACTGTGGCGGGAATAGGGGAGCAGCCCCTCCTCAAGGGCCTGTATTCTCTTGGCTTCCTCTTCCTCTGGTAGCAGATAAGTAAAATGATGGATGGTGGTTTTGGGAGAGGAAGAGGTGGCAATTTTATTTCTTTTCTAAGACTAAGAGATTAACAAAGTTGCTGGTTTTGGTGGGATTGCTCCTGATTGGTGGTAAAAGAAAGCAGCACATAAATGCTTATGATAAGCAGGCTGGGTGCAGTGGCTCGTGGCTCATGCCTGTAATCCAGCACTTTGGGAGACCGAGGCGGGTGATCACTTGAGGTCAGGAGTTTGAGACCAGCCTGGCCAACATAGTGAAACCCCGTTTCTACTAAAAATACAAAAAATTAGTCAGGCCTGGTGGCGTGGACCTGTAGTCCCAGCTAATTGGGAGACTGAGGTAGGAGAATCACTTGAACCTGGGAGGCGGAGGTTGCATTGAGCTGAGATGGCGCCTGAGCAACAGAGTGAGACTCTGTCTCAAAAAAATGCTTGTGATAAGCAGACGTCAGGGTTCCTTCTGTCTCCTAGTTGGAAGATGCACTGCCAGGTTTTCTTTCATGTTGAAGCATATCACAGTTTTCCCAATTAGGAGTCAGGAAATCTGTATAGTTGTTTCGTATCCTAGACAATTTGCAAGACTTGAGACAAATCATTTGCTTGTGGATTGAATATTCCATGTTTACAAGTGGAAATAATTTGTCCTGCTGTTTCGTTTTAAAGATCAATACACGGAAGATGGCAATAGGAGGAAAAAATACCTACTATTATACAAATAGCCGTGCTGTTTCCTTGCTGAGAGAAAAACTGGCTATTGAAAAGCAGCGATTGAACTTGTGAACAATGGGGTGATTTGAACTTGGAAAAGAAGGAAAAATGGATGCTTTTTCCTCTCACTAAATCCTCACAGCATTGTGGACTCACACGAACCTTTAGAAATCATTATTCTTTCCATTTTTAATTGACAAATAAAAGTTATATACATTTATTGTGTACAGCGTGATGTTTTGACCTATGTATACTTTGTGGGATGGTTAAATGAAGCTGATGGGCGTGTCTCCATTTTTTTTAACAGATCATTTACTATGTAATTCAGTCTTTGCAGTTTATTCTGGCCTGCGTAGTTAAAATATACTTAGTGTATATTCTTCCTGATCAGTAAGAATGAAATGTAGATGTTTTTATAGGCAATTTCACTCTTTGTTTAAAACCAAGTGTTTAGTTTTGCCATAAACAGATGACATTGCTGGAAACAAGAATGTGAATTAAAACTTAAAAAACATTTAAAATGTGTTAAAGAGTGATATATGTTTCATTACAGAATACTTAGTTATTTTTATCTGCTTTTCATGCTACATAAGGATTCACAGATTAATCTCTTGAGGTAAGGAATGTAACCAAATGTATTTTGAACTGTTGCATATAGAACTTTCTCTTATTTTTCATTATTCTTGAAAATATAAGCATGTAGTCTTATTTTTAAGTGGATGTGGTAGTATAAATTAGAAATTTAAGTTTTGGAATATAAATCCTTGCTGTATATTTCTAGTTTCTTGCACAGCTGCTGTTGATAGATACTTTTTTAGCCTTATTTGGAAAATATATTTTAATAGTATAATTAGTAATCTGAGTGTGTTTATTTCACCACTACTGTGTGCTGGGTTATCATACTGTACA